>NC_000011.10:969090-1272121 GCF_000001405.40 Homo sapiens | reverse complement strand
TGCAGGGGGTGGCCCGGGCCCTGCGTGTCCTCTGGGGCCTTTGCCGCGGCCCCTCCGGCGCCCCGCACCCCACTGGAAGTGCTCTGTGTGGGTGGGAGGCTCAGCCCTGCGCGGTGGCCCCAGGAAGTGCTGAAATGAACGAGGTCCCCTGGTCCCCGTCCCCGGGGCCTCCGAGACTAAAGGGACCCGCAGCACCAGCAGGGTGCCCCAGGCTGGGGGGGGTCCCAAACGCGGCTCCCAGATCCCTCCTTCCCAGCTGGAGTGGAGAAGAGCCCTCTCAGCCTGGTTCCTGCCGCTGAGCAAAGGGCGGACACTTTTCTTGGATTTTAGTTTTGAAAACAGTGTTCAAAGCGTCTCTTTGAACTGTAGATTTCTGCAGAGCAACGGTTTTGGGAGCAAAACCTTGATACCAAGTTTTACTCAAAACAGAAAGTGCCAGGTAGGGAACAGAAAAGGAAGGCCTGCCGGTGCGTGGCTTTTCCCAGAGCTTGGCAAAGGCCTTGTTACCTTAAATTTCTAGCCTCAAAAATAAAATGCTGGTGCCACACTCCCCGACACAGAGCCGGCCTCACTGCTGAGTGTGAGAGTCAGGCTTGAAACATCTGCCTTCCCTTGAACGTGCTGGTGGGCATCGCTGTGCAAAGCATGACACCTGACCCCGTAGGAAACCCCTTCTTACTCATTTGCAGTGTCACTGAAAGAAACTTATCTCCTGTGCCTGTTAACTGTCAGGTATCACTAAAGTTAAAGCAATAAAGCTCACTTAAGATAAAATGGAAAAGTGAGAAACAGCGAAAATGTCAGTGCAGACGTCACAAACTCAGCATGAGTTTCCTCGAGGCATGACACGGGTTTGTGATTATGACCGGCAGGCTGAGCTGTGCCCAGCGTGAGGCGTTTGCCCCAGTGCAGGCAGGAGGGGCTGCAGTGGGCTCCGCCTCTCGGAGGACCCGAGGCTCCCCCAGGGCCCTCCCCACGGCCCCTGCTCGCTTTGTGGAGTGGGTGAGACTTGGCCTTCTCTGCTGACTCACCATACACCACTCCAGGCCCTGCTGCCCCAGGCCGGCTCCCTCTGCCTCCTCAGTGCCTGTTCTGGGCCCCAGAAGAGGCTGGAAGGGTCCTGAAGACCTCGATGGCCTCCATTCAGCTAGGGAGCAGATTCGGGGGAAATGAGGAGGGAGGTCCCCAGGGTCACCCAGAACCGAGGGAAAGTTGTGGCCAGAGAGCTGCTCGCTTCCCACAAACACCACAATCACCCCTTGCAGGATAAAGTTTCGCACAAGTTGCTGAGTGCAGAGAACCTGGGCCAGAAGGCCAGGTCCTGAGTTCTGGAACAGGTGAGGACCCACCCAGGCTGCCCCATCCCTCCACCCTCAGTGAATGGCGACAGCCTCTGGGCTTTCTACTGCCTCTTGGCTCCCAACCCAGACCAAGCCCCTTCCCTCTGTTGAGCCTGGCCGTGGAGACGGGTTCACCCCGACGGCTGCGTCCAGGCGTCAGCAGGGCTGGAGGAGCCCTGACAGAATGCACTTGGCCCACCAGGCCGGGCATGTAGCGATGGGTCAGGGTCCTTTCTGGTGGGCCAGGGACTCCCAAGGCCCAGGACCAGGGTTCCAGAGGGAAGGACAGCAGGGCCCCAGCTGGATCCTGCATCCAGGGCTGGGGCATGGGAAGAGAAAAGTTTCAGGAGCTGAGACTCAGCCCTTGGCCCCAGAGTCTCAGAGGGCAGGGCCAAGGGCCAGGTAAGGACCCACAGAGGCAGGATGGTCTTCAGCACAGACACCTCATCATTAAGCTCTTCCTCATGATGCTGTAGACATGTTCTCCTTGACTATGGAGAGGAAATGGAGCCAGGGGGATGCAGCTGGTACCAGCTGAGAGAGAGAGCTCAGAGAGAGTGTGTGTGGGCACAGGCTCCAGGGATGCAGCTGGTCCCAGCCGAGAGAGTGAGCTCGGAGTGTGTCCAGTCACAGGCTCCAGGGATGCAGCTGGTCCCACCCAAGAGAGTGAGCTCAGAGAAAGTGTGTCCAGTCACAGGCTCCACGGGGAGGGGGAGCAGGACTGAACCTTCCTCTGCCCGCAGAGCCTCAGTCCTCTCAGTGGGGACCACAGGACCTGGGCACATCAACCAGTGCTGGCAGAGTCCCGAGGCCTCTCCCAGGAGAGCTTTGGCCAGAGGTCATTAGAAGCCAAGGGGTGTCTCTGTGTTGCAGACACTCACTGGAGCAGGTGCACAGCCCCAAGGGGTGGGTTTACAGCAGCTCAGGCGGCCCCCTCACAGGAGCCTCCAGAGCCCCTTGATGTGGCCACAGCACAGCTGGCCCCTTACAGGGTGTGCGTGGGCAGAACTGATAGGTACTGCTATACCTCTGAGGCCTGTATCCTCTCTTGAAAGGGGACACCTCATCCCAGAAATCCAGCAAGGTGGATTTATTGAGACCATCTCACTGAAAACAGCCCAAAATGATGGATATCATGTTTTTAAATTCTTCCTGGAGTTTTTGAAAAGATGACAAAGGAAAGGCGAACCCAGAGAGGCTATTGCAGCAAAGTTAAGCTTCAGTCCAGGTGGTCTTGTGGGGATGGAGGGTGGAGATGTACAATGTTCATGGATTGAAATAGTCAATATGTAAAGATGTCAGCTTCTCTCAAATTAATTTAGTCAGTATAATCCCAAAGTCCCAGCAAGCCCCGTTTTGTTGTACTGTTTTTTGTAAAGCTTGATAAGTTAATTCTGAATAGCTAGGAAGAGTCAAGACATTCTTGTAAAAGCAGCACAAAATGTGAAAGCTTGCTCAAATAGATATCAAGGCCAGGTGGCTCACACCTGTAATCCCAGCACTTTGGGAGGCTGAGGCAGGAGGATCACTTGATTTCAGGAGTTTGAGACCAGCCTAACATGGCAAAACCGCACCTCTACTAAAAATGCAAAATTAGCTGGGTGTGGTGGCAGGCACCTGTAATCTCAGTTACTCAGGAGGCTGAGGCAGGAGAATCGCTAGAACCCGGGAGGTGGAGATTGCAGTGAGCCGAGATCGCAGCATTGCACTCCATCCAGCCTGGGCAACAGAGCAAGACTCTGTCTCAAAAAAAAAAAAAAAAAAAAAAAAAAAAAAAAAAAAAGGGCTGGGCACGGTGGCTCATGCCTGTAATCCCAGCACTTTGGGAGGCCGAGGTGGGTGGATCAAGAGGTCAGGAGTTTGAGACCAGCTTGGCCAACATAGTGAAACCCCGTCTCTACTAAAAATACAAAAAATTAGCTGGGCATGGTGGCGGGTGCCTGTAATCCCAGCTGCTTGGGAGGCTGAGGCAGGAGAATCGCTTGAAGCCAGGAGGCGGAGGTTGCAGCAAGCCAAGATCGTGCCATTGCACTCCGGCCAGGGTGACAGTGCGAAACTCCATCTCAACAAAAAAAAAGATATCAGGACTATCAACACTGTTGTCTACAGACTGTTGTCTACAGTAAGACAATAAATAGTCCAGGGAACAACACAGAGACTGTAGAGATGACAGGGTGGGGAACAGTTGCCATTTTAGTACATGATATTGGGCCAAGCAGCAAGATCTGTGAAATAAAATGGAGTCAGACCCCCTACTTCATGCCACTTTCATACACCAGTTCTGGGTGGATTCAAAATGTAAAGGCAGAAGGCAAAATTGCAGAGCTTTTAGGAAATAATTCAGAAGACAGCATTCCTGATCCCAGGGCAGAGAAGGGTTTTCTTAAATAAGACCAACAGGCACTAACCACGAAGGATTGAGTCGCTAAAGTTAGCAACTTCTGTATTGTGACCTGTGGATTTCTGTTAGGTGCGTTTCTTATTCGGATATAACAGGGCATGTAGGCCGGGCACGGTGGCTCACACCTGTAATCCAGCACTTTGGGAGGTCGAGGTGGGCGGATCACCTGAGGTCAGGAGTTCGAGACCAGCCTGGCCAACATGATGAAACCCCGTCTCTACTAAAAATACGAAAACTAGCTGGGTTTGGTGGTACATGCCTGTCATCCCAGCTACTCGGGAGACTGAGGCCAGAGAGTCACTTGAACCTGGGAGGCGGAGGTCGCAGTGAGCCGAGATCATGCCACTGCACTCCAGCCTATGCAACACAGTGAGACTCCATATCAAAAAAACAAAAAACAAAACAAAAAAACCAGGGCATGTCACCCATTTCTTTGCTCACCATTATGGCATGCGTGTGACTGCACTTGGCCGCTGGCCACCTCTGTTAGTAGCTCATTCACAGAGGATCTGTGGGAAGTGACCTTCTCAGTCCCTGTATGTCAGAAATGTCCTTGTCACTCTTAAATGACAGTCTGGTTGGAATAGAATAGAATTCTGTGTTGATTTACCTTCCCTCAGCGCTTTGAAAAATACCATGGCACCATCTTGCTGCATCCAGTGTTACTAATGAGAAACCAGATACCTGTCTGGTTCTCATGCCTTTGTGGGTGAACTGCCTTGTCTTTCTGGTGGCTTTGAGGTTTTCTCTTTCTCTTGGGTGTATTTTTGCTTGGCCTGTCTTGGCACTCATTGAAAGCTTTGAGCCTAACAAAGACGTCATGTTTTCGGTTCTGAAAATATGGCCTCTCTTCCATTCTCTCTATTCTTTCCTTTTGTGGCTCACTAGAAAAAGCGTTGAGATTTCCAGATCTGTCCTCCAAATCCTCTATTAAACCTGATAGCTTGAGCACATTGCCTTTGTCTTTCTCTACTGATGGAGCGTTTGCTCTCCTTCAGGATGTTAGCATCTCTGAGCTGCTTGGTGGTTTCAGGCTGAATGCCCATTTTCTATAAAGAAAAGTGATGTCAGGCTCTGTGTCCCCACCCAAATCTCACCTTGAATTGTGTCTCCCAGAATTCCCATGTGTTGTAGGAGGGACCCAGGCAGAGGTAATTGAATCATGGGGGCCAGTCTTTCCCGCACTATTCTCATGATAGTGACTAAGTCTCACAAGATCTGATGGGTTTATCAGGGGTTTCCACTTTCGGTTCTTCCTCATTTTTCTCTTGCTGCCACCATGTAAGAAGTGCATTTTGCCTCCTGCCATGATTCTGAGGCCTCCCCAGCCATGTGGAACTGTAAGTCCAATTAAACCTTTCTTTCTTCCCAGTCTTGGGTATGTCTTTATCAGCAGTGTGAAAATGAACTAATACAGAAGTTGGTACCAAGAGTGGGGCATTGCTGAAAAGATACCTGAAAATGTGGAAGGAATTTTGAAACTGGGTAACAGGCAGAGATTGGAACAGGTTGGAGAGCTCAGAAGAAGATAGGAAAACATGGGAAAGTTTGGAACCTCCTAGAGACTTGTTGAATGGCTTTGACAAAAATGCTGATAGTGATATGAACAATAAGGTCCAGGCTGAGGTGGTCTCAGATGAAGATGAGGAACTTATTGGGAACTGGAGCAAAGGTGACACTTGTTATGTTTTAGCAAAGACACTGGTGGCATTTTTGCCTCTGCCCTAGAGATTTGTGGAACTTTGAACATCAGAGAGATGATTTAGGGTATCTGGCAGAAGAAATTTTTAAGCAGCAAAGCATTAAAAAGGTGACTTGGATACTGTTAAACATTCCATTTTAAAAGGGAAATAGGCCGGGCACAGTGGCTCACACCTGTAATCCCAGCACTTTGGGAGGCTGAGGTGGGTGGATCACCTGAGGCTGAGTTCGAGACCAGCCTGGCCAACATGAAGAAACCCCGTGTCTACTAAAAATGCAAAAATTAGTTGGGCATAATGGCTCATGCCTGTGATCCCAACTAGGGAGGCTGAGGCAGGAGAATCACTTGAACCCGGGAGGTGGAGGTTGCAGTGAGCCAAGATTGCGCCACTGCACTCCAGCCTGGGTGACAGAGCAAGACTCCGTCTCAAAAAGATTTTTTGTTGTTGTTAAAGAGGAAAACAGAGCGTAAAAGTTCAGAAAATTTGCAGCCCAATGATGCAGTAGAAAAGAAAAACCCATTTTTTGAGGAGAAATTTAAGCTGACTGCAGAAATTTCCTTAAGTAGCAAGGAGCCTAATGTTAATCCCCAAGACCATGGGGAAAATATCTCCAGGCCATGTCAGAGACCTTCACGGCACCCCCTCCCATCAGAAACCTGGAGGCCCAGGAGGAAAAAATTGTTTTGTGGGCTGAGCCCAGGATCCCTGTTCTGTGTGCAACCTAGGGACTTGGTGCCCTGCATCCCAGCCTCTCCAACTGTGGCTGAAAGGGGCCCAACGTGGAGTTCAGGCTGTGGCTTCAGAGGGTAGAAGCTCCAAGCCTTAGCAACTTCCATGTGGTGTTGAGTCTGTGGGTGCACAGAAGTCAAGAACTGAGGTTTTGGAACCTCCGCCTCAATTTCAGAACATTTACGGAAACACCTGAATGTCCAGGCAGAAGCTTGCTGCAGGGGCGGGGCCCTCATGGACAACCTCTGCTAGGGCAGTGCAGAAAGGAAATGTGGGGTTGGAGCCCCCACACAGAGTCCCTACTGGGCCACCGCCTAGTGGAGCTGTGAAAAGAGGGCCACTGTCTTCCAGACCCCAGAAAGGTAGATCCACCAACAGCTTGTACCATGTGCCTGGAAAAGCCACAGACACTCAACACCAGCCCATGAAAGCAGCCAGGAGGGAGGCTGTATCCTCCAAAGCCACAGGGGAGGAGCTGCCCAAGACCATGAGAACCCACCTCTTGCATCAGCGTGAACTGGACATGACACCTGGAGTCAAAAGAGATCATTTTGGAGCTTTAAAATTTGACAGCCCCGCTGGATTTTGGACTTGCATGGGCCCTGTAGCCCCTTTGTTTTGGCCAATTTCTCCCATTTGGAACAGCTATATTTACCCAATACATGTACCCTCATTGTATCTAGGAAGTAACTAACTTGCTTTTGATTTTACAGGTTCATAGGCAGAAGGGACTTGCCTCGTCTCAGATGAGATGTTGAACTGCAGACTTTTGGGTTAATGCTGAAATGAATTAAGACTTTTGGGGATGGTTAGGAAGGCATGATTGGTTTTGAAATGTGAGGACATGAGATTTGGAGGTATCAGGGCAGAATGATATGGTTTGGCTGTGTCCCCACCCAAATCTCACCTTGAATTGTATCTTCCAGAATTCCCACGTTGTGGGAGGGACCCAGGCAGAGGTAATTGAATCATGGGGGCCAGTCTTTCATGTGCTATTTTTGCGATTGTGATTAAGTCTCACGAGATCTGATGGGTTTATCAGGGGCTTCCACTTTTGCTTCTTCCTCATTTTCTGTTGCCACTGCCATGTAAGAAGTGCCTTTCATCTCCCACCATGATTCTGAGGCCTCCCCCAGCCATGTGGAACTGTAAGTCCAATTAAACCTCTTTTTCTTCTCAGTCTTGGGTATGAAGACAGTGTGAAAACGGACTAATACATCCCCATGATCCCCACATGTCATGGGAGGGACACTGGGAGTGATTGGATCATGGGGGTGGTTTCCCCCATGCTGTTCTCGTGATAGTGAGTGAATTCTCACGAGATCTGGTGGTTTCCTAAGCATCTGGCATCTCCCCTGCTAGGTCTCATTCTCTCTACTGCCACCTTGTGAAGAAAGTGCCTGCTTCTGCTTCACCCTCCACCATGATTGTAAGTTTCCTGAGGCCTCCTCAGCCAGGCAGAACTGTGAGTCAGTTAAACCTCTTTTCTTTATAAATTACCCAGTCTCAGGTATTTCTTTGTAGCAGTGCGAGAATGGCCTCATACAAAAAGTTTTGGGCCCCCCTCTCAGCACTTCCCAAATGTTTCCTTTTCGGGATATCTGCTGGCTTTGCAGATGATTTAGTTTCTTGTTTTCAATTGCTGCTATTTTAAAGTTTCTTTCTATCATTGTCACAGTTTCTGTGTCTGTAGGGGAAGACAGGCCCACTTTTCCATCTGGAAACCAGAAATCCCTTTTAAAACGTCTTTAAAGTCTAAGTAACATTGGTTTGTATTCACTGTGTTTATTTATTTATTTAATTTTAATTTTTATTTTTTTTGAGACGGAGTCTCACTCTGTCACCCAAGCTGGAATGCAGTGGCGCGATCTCGGCTCACTGCAAGCTCTGCCTCCCGGGTTCACGCCATTCTCCTGCCTCAGCCTCCTGAGTAGCTGGGACCACAGGCGCCCGCCACCACGCCTGGCTAATTTTTGGTATTTTTAGTAGAGATGGGGTTTCACCGTGTTAGCCAGGATGGTCTCGATCTCCTGACCTCGTAATCCGCCCGTCTCAGCCTCCCAAAATGCTGGGATTACAGGCATGAGCCACCGCGCCTGGCCCACTGTGTTTATTTTTATAGTTACTTGCTCTGGGGCATTGCAGAGCCCTGTGGTTTTGAGTGTGGCCTCGACTTGGGCTGCCTGGATGTGAGCCCAGCTTTCCCCCTGACAGAACCACACCTTTTCATTGCTTTGTGCCTCAGTGTTCCCATCTGTGGAGTGGGAGACACAATAGCAGACACCACACAGGGTATTGTCAGGATTGAATGATACGGTTCTGGGGCACAGAGACAGCACAGCATGGGCCTCTGAGAGGGGTGCTTGTACCCATACACCGACATAAATGGGTCTAAGGAAACCATCGCACCATGGGAATGACTGAGGTTTCGGAAACCATTTGTTTACACGTGGCGGAATGCAGACCCAGGTCAGGCAGTGACCTGGCGCAACCTCCAGACAATCAGCCTCGGAGACGCAGGGTAAACCTATAGAAGCTCACCCCAGTGGTGACCAACCTAGCCCACCGCCCACCAGAGCCCACCTGCAACCTTGTCAGGCCCCTGCCTATCTCCAGCCCAGTCCTGGGGTGGCTGGCCCTGCTGGGCCTCGGCAAGGAGGGCAGGAGAGGCTGGAGCTCTGGAGCGCTGGCAGGGGCCTGGCTGGGCCCCCAGGAGCTGGGAGCTCTGTAAATGTACAGTGTGATGGCATCACTTCCTGGGCAGGGCAGGACCCACCCAAGGGCACAGGGCAGAGGCAGGCCCCGGTGTGGGGAAGGCCCCGCTCTGCACCCACACCACAGGCTTCTGCAGCCAGGCACGAGCATTGCTTTTGTCTCCCCAGGCCACGGTCTGCCTGTAGCCACCCCCTGCCCAGTAGGAGGTCATTTTGTGTCCAAAGCTCCCTGCATCCTGCTATGCCTAGGTCCTGGCTGGCACCACCTTCACTGTCTTCCCTGCCCACACCTGCAGCCCCAGCTGCTGACCCCACCCATCCCACAGGCTCCCCGATACCCTGCTGTCTGCACCGGGTGCTCTCTGCTCTGGACAGAGCAATAGAAAGGAAGGGCAGAAAGCCCTGCCCGTGCGTGTGGAGGCGGGACAGGAGGTGGGACAGGAGGCGGGACAGGAGGCGCGACAGGAGGCGGGACAGGAGGCGGGACAGGAGGCGGGACAGGAAGCCAGCAAGCTCACGTGTCGCTTGCGTAGCAAGTGCCCCAAGGAAAGCATTCCCGGAGAGGTGCGCGTGGAACAGGGTGAAAGGCGGCCCCGCAGGGCCCAGCACCAGCCTGGGAGCATTGCACCTGGCTCCGTGCACCTGCCCTGGGGGGCAGCTGCCTCCCCGCTGACCGGGCCTGGTCGCCTGCTTGCCCCACTGACTGCCTCCATCTTCCTACATGAGCTGGTTTCCTCACACAATCCCCTACACTGGAAATAACAGCCGGGGTGACCTCTGAGTCCTGGCGGCCCCCTGCCCCCTGTCCCCTGGGCAGTGCTCCCACAGCCCAAGACTGACTCTCGGGGTGCCCACAGGGGCATGTGGATGACCAAGCGGCTCCTTGTCCCCCACCCTGCCTGGCCTTCCCAGAGGCTTCCTGGTCCTTCAGTGGCTGCTGGGGGTCCTGGACTGCCCCCCGGATGTGTCCTCCAGCCTGCAGGCCCCAGGCAAGCAGCCCACAGAGGACCTGGACAGCCTGGGAAAGACGGTAGGCAAGAAAAGACGTCAGGACAGGAAACGTACTCAATGCTCAGGGTTTATTTGCAAAACTGGGCTGGGTTGAGCAGAGGGGGCTTTGGGATGCTGACCCCTCTCTGACCTGGCCGTTGCGACCTCAGCCCTGAGTTACCCTGCAGCAGGCATGGACAGGCGGCCGCCTTGCCTGTCGCAGCTTCCTGGCAGCAGCTGGCCTTGCCTGGACCAGCCTGTCTGCCCCAGCGGCCGGACGTGGCCAGCTGGAATCCGTGCTGCGCGGGCGCTCCGGCCGTGGCAGGGACACATAGGCCCGCACATGCTTAGTTTGTTCCAGGGCGTCCCAGTGACATCAGGGAGGGGCAAGGCCAAGGTGGGCCACAGGCTCTCCCAGGGTAGGACTCCTGAGTGGCGCCCTCCCGAAAGGGGTCCTGCTGGCCCCTCACCCTTCTGGGGCCGGTTTCACCCACGGGGTGGGCAGCAGGAGCACGGAGCGCGGGGTGCCACACACAGGCCGGGGGGCTCCGCAGAGGAGGCCCAAGGTTTTCATGATCAGACAATGCACATCCTGGCTCCAGGTGGACAGAGCATGGGGATGGAGGCAGAACGTTCTCAGACAGCAGTGGCCTCCTGGGCCGGGAAGCCACGGGTGTGTGGGGGAGCCATGGGCGCAGGGACACAGAAGGGCGTGCAGCCACACTCATCCACGTGGGTGTAGGTGTGCAGGATGGCTGAGCCGTTAGGACAGTGCAAGGGCACCGTCTCCTCGTGGACCCGCCTCTCCTGGCAGCAGGTGCACTGGTGCTGCATGGCCTGGGCCTCTGCTGAGTACCTGTGGACGCAGGGTGGCCCTCACATCAGCCACCTTGGCCCCGCCGTTTCTCTGCCCAGCCATGGTGACACATGGGCCTCTGGGGTCCTGGGCCAGACGGCCGCCCCCTTCTGTCCACAGTGGCCTGCTCTGTGGGCACGTGAGGCTTCACCTTCTCAGGATGGGGCAGCTCTGGGCCCCCAGGGTCCCTTGGCTCCCGGCTCTGTCTTCTGTGGCCTGCACTTCCCCTGTCTGAACCAGCTCCTCCAATCCTGCTGACCCTAAGCAGCCCTTGACCCTTCCTCCTGCCTCTTCTAGCTAAGGGTCAACCCTTCTGGCCCCTCCTGCTGACAGCCAACCACAGTGGCAAGCCATGGGGGGCTTCACAGAAGGCTCTGGTTCCACCCACCCTCCCCAGGGGGACACCTGGACCTGGGTTCGCAGCGGGGAGCTCTGTGCCATGTGGCTCGGCTCAGCCGGGCCCTGGCCTGGCTAGGAGAGCGGCCCCAGGCTTTCTGCCAATGGACGTGGAGAGGGGGAGCCCTGCTGGGGAGCCCCTTCCCTCCTTCCTGGAGCTGGCGTAGGCCCTCCTGACCCAGAGCAGGCTGCCAGCCAGCTGACGGGCCAGGGCGGACCCACCACACGCAGGTGCTCTTGGCACAGGGCCAGGAGCCCACTCACTTGGACGCTCCGGGGCAGGAGCCCTCGCAGAAGGTGATGTTGACCTCGGTCTCGCAGCCCTGGTGCCACAGGATGGTCGTGTTGATGCGGACTTGACAGGAGTCTGGGAGGAGGAAAGGCAGATGTGGAGCCCCACTGGACCCTCACTCTGAGGGCCTGGACTTGCTGGGCCGACCCTCCCCATGGGACCACCCCTCCCATGGCCCTCCAGGACCGAGGGTGGAGTCTGGACGCGGGCATCCCACTGCTGCCTAGTGCAGATGTCTGGGCAGGAATGGATGGGTGGCGACGGGCTGGAGCTGGAGGGCTGGTGTGGGAAGGTGGCTTCCACTTACCCTCCTCACAGGAGTAGCAGCAGCCGGTTTTCCTGAGGCTCCCCTGGTGGGGGCCAAAGACAGGGGGCAGGGCTGTGGGCGGGGCCTCCCTGGTGGGTGCGGCCTCCTGGGGAGGGGCCCACCCGGGCAGGGGCATGGCCTCCCGGGCAGGGGCGGGGCCTCCCAGGCAGGGGTGGGGCTTCCCAGGCAGGGGTGGGGCCTCCCCAGCAGGGGTGGGGCCTCCCTGCTGTGCAGGGCATCCCAGACAGGGGTTGGGCCTCCCTGATGGACAAGGACTCCCAGGCAGGGGCAGGGCCTCCAGCACACACCCTGCAGCTGGACACATCTGGGCAGGATGCAGGCTGTGGGGTCAGCAAATGGACTCCACCCTCAGCCTCACAGAGGTACACGGTGCAGTTGTCCACATGGCTGTTGACCCAGGTTTCATTCAGCTGAAATGCAAGGGTGAGTGTGGAAGCTGAGTAGGGATTACCTCTTGTGCAGAGCCCCATTGGGGGTGAGGGTCTCCAGGGAGGGAGCTGAGACCTGCCCCCACATGCCTCTGCTGTTACCTGGACTGGCTGGCCATCGGGCGTGAGGCAGGCGGTCTGGACGCACTCCCCACAGCACTGCCCGGCCACTCTCTTGTACTCAAAGCCCTGTGGGGACATGAGGGGCGTCAGGCCCTAACCCTCTCCTCCAGCACATGCCCCGGCCCAGCCTGCCCTCCTGTCTACACCCCAGTGGTCCAGGACCCCTTAGCCCTGTCCCTGCCTGGGCCTATACCCGAAGAAGTTGCCCCCACTCAGTTATCCCGGCTCAGCCTCACCCCAGTTTCCAGCACCTTCTCTCTGCCTACCCCTGCCTTCCTGGAACCTGACCTCAGCCCCTGTCCCCAGCAGCCTGCAGGTCCTGTCCCACCCCCAGACCCCCTCAGTTATCCTCCTACTTCATACCCTCCCTTTGGAAACAAACAAGACCCCAGCAATGGCTGAGCTAGAGAACCCCAGGGAGCCAGGATAAGTGACTCAGGGCTGGGTCTGCCCAGCAGCTGTGGGCTCACCTGGGGGCAGGTGCCTCGGGTCTCACTTGGGGGCAGGTGCCTTGGTGGCTCACCTGGGGGCAGGTGACTCAGGTCTCACCTGGGGGCAGGTGCCTCGGGTCTCACCTGGGGGCAGGTGCCTCGGGTCTCACTTGGGGGCAAGTGCCTCAGGGACTCACCTGGGGGCAGGTGCCTCGGGGGCTCACCTGGGGGCGGGTGACTCAGGTCTCACCTGGGGGCAGGTGCCTCGGGTCTCACTTGGGGGCAGGTGCCTCGGGGGCTCACCTGGGGGCAGGTGCCTCGGGTCTCACCTGGGGACAGGTAGTATTGTTGCAGGCATCCTCCTGACATTGCACCGTTGGGTCCTGGGTGTCCCCAGAGAGGCAGGTACACATGTGGCAGGGAAGGGCGCCTGGGAAGGTTGCACCAACCTGCAAGGGGTGGGAGGGTGGCACTGAGGGCACTGGTGGGGCAACAGGGCCAGGACCCCTCCCCATGACCCAATGGGGCCTGCAGGGAGTTGTTCCTTCCTCAGATGGAGCATAGATGCACCCCTGGCTGAGCATGGACCCAGGCAGGCAGGGAGCTGATGCACACAGGGACCACAGGTGGGCAGGGAATCTGGGCAGGCAGAGACCCCATGTGGGCAGGAATCTGGGTGGGCAGAGACCCCATGGGGGCAGGAATCTGGCAGGCAGGAATCCGGGCGGGTAGGAATCTGGGCGGGCAGGCGGGGACCCCAGGCCAGTGTGTGCTGCCCCCAGGCTGTTGCTGGGAGCCCCTGAAGGGACCTCTCAGAGGCAGCAGTTGTGGAGCTCATGGCTGTCGACGTAAGGTGCCCCTGAGTCCCAAGCATGTCCCAGCTCTGACGTGTCCAGGGCCCCTGTGCGGATCGGCCCTCAGGGCAGGAATGTCAAGACAAGGAGTGGGGCTCAGAGAGCCCCGGGGCATCCCACACACATGTTCAGGCCCCAGGGCCACACCCACCCACTGCTGTGCCCTTACCCCGTAGAAGGTGCCATTGTACGAACACAGCTGAGGTCCTGGAAGGAAAGGGAGCTAAGCCCTCGACAAGTGGTGGGGAGCATGTGCTCCAGCGCCCCCACCATCCTGCACTCCCCCACCCCCAGCAAGAGGCCACCCAGGAGCCCGGCCCCAGCCCCGCTCACTGCAGCGGAAGGTGGGACAGCAGTCGCCCTCCTCCTGGGTGCAGATGGACTCCTGCCCTGGCGGGCACACAGGCAGGCTCTGGGGGCAGGTGGTTGTGTTGCACACTGCGGGAGGATGGAGGCCACTGTCTGGGCGCTGCTCACTCCTCCTCCCGACCACTTGTTCCCAGAGTAAGTCGCAGGCGTGCTTTTCCCCGAGGACCTGACCGCTTCACAGCCCCTGGGGGCTCCCTCCAGGCCCCTTGCTTGGCCACCTCCCCGCTGCTTCCCACGTCCCTGGGCCACTCCTGGGCAGGCCAGAGGTCACCAGCCTCATCGTTAGGAGGAGAATGAAGCACCTGGAGGCCATCTCTGCCGAGTGGTCCTGCCGCGGTCACGCCAGGACACAGTGGCTCTCCTCTGCTCTCCTGTGCCCAACCCACAGGCCCCTGGTGGGCACCGGCTCTGTCCCCCCTCACCCTATGCCGGGCACCTCTGCTCTGCAGCGTCTTACCGCACACCGTCTCGGGGCAGCAGGGGTTCTCGGCCCGGGGCCTGGTCACGGTTACGAAGCCGGGACGGTTGCACGGCGGGGGCTGACCCTGGGCGTCACAGGGCAGGGGCTTGCACTGCACCGACACTGAACCCTCGTCACACACGCAGGACTGGCAGTTGCTGACCCACCGCTCCCCGGGCTGGAATGGATCAAGGGGGTCCCTGAGGGCTCCTGGACAGACACAGGTCAACCCTGGGCATCTGTCCAGCCACCCCCTCCCTCGGGCTGGTACCCGAGTGGCCCAGAGTGATGGGGCAGGAAGCGCACACCAGCCACTGGCACGTCCACGTCACACTCGGGCGCCCCACAGCTGCCCTGTGGGATGGGGATGCTCCTTCCCTCCCTCCCTCAGCTCGCGAGAGGGTGGGGTAGGGCAGGTGGGGGTGGAGCCACTCACAAATTTAGGAAACCCATCGGGTCCCACGCAGGCTGGAAAGAAAACAGCATGGCATCACGGAGGGTGCTGAGTTTGCAGGCGGAGGGGCCTCTGGCCATGGGAGGTGCTCTCAGGCCTGGAGCCTGCTTCCCCCCGGGATGGAAGGCCCTGGAGAACTTTTGGGGTGTCAGATGTGGCTGGAGCTCAGGCCAGGGCACCGTGAGCCCAGCTGTCAGTGCATGGAAGCCTCGTCCATGGTGGTGGGAGGCAGGGCTCAGGGGAGGGACCATCACAGGATCACTCAAGGACAGAGCCTCCCTGTGGGGCTTCAGGGGACCGTGGGGGCTCTGCAGGGTTCAGGGCCACTCTGGGGCCATCCCATGCTCTGGTGGGGCAGAACAGGTCACGGGGGTCAGCTGGGGAGAGGGGAGAGCACATCATGGTCCTGGGCGGCTCCTCCCACCCTGTGTGTGCTTGGGTCGGGCCCAGGGTCGTATCCCGCCACAGGTGGCGGAGCTTACGGCAGGCCTGCACGCAGATGCCCATGTGTGCGTTGAAGAGGATCTGGTCCTCAGGGCAGAAGCAGCCCTCCGCCATCCCCTCCAGCTGTGGGCTCTGGTTCCTGCAGGATGACAAGAGAGGCCCTGAGACCTAGAGATCCAGGAGGCCTCCACTGTCATCCACGTGAGTCCCCAGGATGGGCAGTGGGGAGCAGGGAAGGAGATGAATGGGTGGAGTGCGGGGCTCAGGGTGGGCGGGGCTGGGGGCGGGGACGGGTGGGGCTGGGGTGGGGGTGGGCGGGGCTAAGTATGGGCGGGGATGGGTGGGGCTCGGTGGCGGGGCCAGGTGGGGATGCGGGGCCAGGCGTGGCCAGGGATGCGCCCCCTGCCTGACTCTGTCTCTAAGGCATCTGGGAGCAGCAGGGGATGTTTTCCAAGGAGTCCTGGGCTCGGGCACCCCAGAGATCTGTGGCCCACAGTGGGACACCCTCTGGCCTCCTCCTGCTCCCCCAGACCGGTCAGGCAGGCCTGGGTGGCAGGGAAGGCACCAGCCATCCCTGTACTTACCTAGAGTTGCAGGTGGCAGGCTGTATGGGGCCGCATGGCTTGTACACTTTGGTGGGTGGGCAGGTGAGGTCTGTGGGCACAGAGAGGTGTCAGACAAGCCAAGGGGTTGGGGGGGCCCAGGGCCGCCCCCAATCACCGCACAGGACACTCAGAGAGGCCGAGGAGTCTGGGGGGCCCGGGGCCGCCCCCACTCACCGCACAGGACACTCAGAGAGGCCGAGGGGTCTGGGGGGCCCGGGGCCGCCCCCACTCACCGCACAGGACACTCAGAGAGGCCGAGGGGTCTGGGGGGCCCGGGGCCGCCCCCACTCACCGCACAGGACACTCAGAGAGGCCGAGGGGTCTGGGGGGCCCGGGGCCGCCCCCACTCACCGCACAGGACACTCAGAGAGGCCGAGGGGTCTGGGGGGCCCGGGGCCGCCCCCACTCACCGCACAGGACACTCAGAGAGGCCGAGGGGTCTGGGGGGCCCGGGGCCGCCCCCACTCACCGCACAGGACACTCAGAGAGGCCGAGGGGTCTGGGGGGCCCGGGGCCGCCCCCACTCACCGCACAGGACA
Source organism: Homo sapiens (assembly GCF_000001405.40). Lineage (NCBI taxonomy): Eukaryota > Metazoa > Chordata > Mammalia > Primates > Hominidae > Homo > Homo sapiens. Next base: position 1,255,665 of record NC_000011.10, on the reverse strand, counting down.
CTCAGAGAGGCCGAGGGGTCTGGGGGGCCCGGGGCCGCCCCCACTCACCGCACAGGACACTCAGAGAGGCCGAGGGGTCTGGGGGGCCCGGGGCCGCCCCCACTCACCGCACAGGCCACCGGTTGCACCTCGCCAGTCACTGCACACTCCCCGGGCGCGGCAGAGCTCTGCGTAAGCCTCCAGGCTCTGGCAGGGCACCTCAAGGCGGCCCCTGCAGTGGTCGCTGATGCAGGCGTTGAAGAATGGGCCCGGGGGCACAAGGTTGTGGCACTCAGCAAAGACCCTGTGGGGCAAAGCGATCAGGACGGAGGGCCCCCAGCCCCAGGGAGCTGCGTGCGTGCGTGCATGCGGGCGGGCGGGGGCGCCCCAGGGCCTGCAACCCCCGAGGGGAGGACTCACTGGCTCAGCATCAGATCACAGAGCGGCTGTGGTGGGCATGGGGTGGGGGTGGGTGTGCTAGACACCGGGGCTGCGGGGCTGGCAGTGGGGGGTGTGCCAGTCGGGGCCCAGCAGCCATCCTTTCTGCTGTCGGGGACCAGCCACGTCTTGGCCATGTCCTTGCAACTGGCGGCAGTGGTTCCGTCCCGCTGGAGACAGTCGTCCCTCTGGTTGTTGGTGCAGGTGCCTGGGAGTGGGGGCGTCACCGCGGGGCTGGAATCTGGGGAGCCTTTCACAGCCCCCACCCCCCTCCCCCACTCATTCCCCTCCCCAGGCTTCCCCTATGCTCACTGGGTTGTCAGGCCCAGCAGCAGCCCTGGCCGGGGCAGGACCCGCCGCCCACTCACCGCACTGGCCCTCGGTGTTGTTGTGGAAGAGGCTGTAGGGCAGCCGGGCCTGGAAGACTTGGCCATTGAAGGTGACGCTCACGCCCAGGGCAGGAATGTCCACACGCATGGTGGTGGTCCCCAGCACAGACACAAGCACGCCGTTCTTGCTGAAACCGCTGCTCACCGGAATTTGGTCAAACAGGATCTGGGGGAATCCAGGGGAACCCTGAGCTGGGAGGCAGTGCCAGGTGGGCTCGGGGAGCAGGGCTTCTCTTTGGGGCTCTGCCTCCATGTGCAGAGACCCCCCTGTGTATCCCCCACCCCAAAGCCCAGATCTTCCCTGGGGGCCTGGAGTCTCCAGCTGGCTGCATTTAGGCCACAGGGTGCGCTCGGCCTTAGGCGGCTCCACAGGCCTTCCCTGCCCCCTGGGAGCTGTCTTGGGCACTGGGCCATCGCTGCGGCACCTGGGTCACCCCGGCCTGCAGTCGGCCTGCCCAGGTGCGGTTGGGACTGGGCCAACACTGTGCCACCCGCAGCCTGGACTCACCAGGCCCTCCTCCTTCCCATGCACCATGGTGACAGTGAGGACGATATCCATGGACTTGTAGTGGATGCTGAGGGCGCGGGGGCAGCGGGCGGCAGCGGCAGTGGCAGAGGCCGTGCAGTAGTGGTTGTCCAGGTAGAGGCTGAGATTCCCAAAGCGTGCATGGATCTCTCTCATGAGGACATAGGTGCAGTTGCCCCGGAAGGTGTAAGAGGTGCCGTCAAAGGTGGAATAGTGGGAGCCGCCCCACATGCTGCAGATGCCTGCGGGACAGAGATGGACGGGCTGGCAGGCTCCGTGGTGGTGCCCTCGCTCCCCAGGCGTCATGGCAGCCAGCGTCACCACTGTGACTGCCGCCTTGGGGAGCCACTGAAGCCCCTGGGGCCTCAGCTGCCTCGTCTATAAAAATGGGTCCAGTGTGTAGAATGGGGTCCCCCAAAATCTATGGCTATCCCAGAACCTCCGCATGTGGCTTTGCCGGGAGAAAGTGTCTTTGCAGATGGGATTAAGGGAAGCATCTTGAAATGACATCATCGTGGACTAGCTGGGTGGGCCCTCAATCCAATGACCAGTGTCCTTACGGGAGACAGAAGAGACACAGACACAGAGAGGGGAGGCCACAGAGAGGCAGAGGCAGAGATCGGAGGGATGCAGCCACAGCCAAAGGACACCTGGAGTCCCCAAAGCTGGGAGAGGCAGGAAGGACCTCCCCAGACCCTCAGCAGGGAGTCTATCCCCTGCCCGCCTGGATCTCAGACTTCCAGCTCCAGGACGGAGAGTGGGTTTCTGTTGTATAAGCTCCCCAGCTTGTGGCGGTTTGGAACAGCAGCCCTGGGCCAAGGACATGGGGAGGAGTGAGAACGCCGTGACCTCTTAGCGGTGGGTCCCGCACGGTGATGGAAGCCGCTGTTAGGACCCAGGAGACAAAAGCTCCTCTGGGCTCCCGCTTCCATCCTGAGCTTCTCCTGGCCCCAGAAGCCCCTGGGCAGGGTCCCTTTCAAACCACACAGGCTGATGTGCAGAGAAGCTCAGCAAACCAGCCTCTGCTGCCTCTCCCTTGGGCTGTGTCAGCATTTTCAGCCCTGTGGACACGGAGCCTGCATACTAACAGCTCTCACGACGTGCACCACTGAGGCCCAAGACAGCATGGTGCATGATGGTTTCCTGAAGGGATGCCAGCGATCTCCCAAACACCACCACCACACCCCACCATGCCCCACCATGCCCCACTGCACCCCACCATGCCCCACCATGCCCCACCATTCCCCACTGCACCCCACTGTGCCCCACCATGCCCCATTCTGCCAGCCTAGCCGACGGTGCACTCTGCTCCACCTGCCCCCGGGGTAATCCCGCGGCCACCGACGCACTCACACTCGCACTCATAGTGGAAGTCACAGGGCTGGCTCGGGTCCGACACTTTGATGGGCAGGTGCTTGTTCACGCAGGTGACGTTGGCCACAGGCTTTGGGTCCAGCAGGACGACACGGTTGTCACCCACGCACCTGGCCACCGTGCAGTTCTCCAGGGTCCAGGTCTCATTCACCTGGGGCAGGGAACATGCACGTCCTCACCTGGACCAGCTCACGGGACCCATCCACGGCTCATCCCACCCCTCATGGCCCAAAGCCCCGGGTGGCCACAAGAGCCTGCCTGAGGAGGGCGGCCCCCATGCTAGCCTGGCCCCTAGGCCCTGTGTGCCTCCTCCAACTGGAGATACTGGCGGCGGGGTCACTGAGACGGGCCTCGGGAGCTGGACTGTGGCTGTGCCTCCAGCCAACCCAGACCGTGTGCACGCAGCACGGGAGGTGGAGGGCAGGCGGGGCCCACCTGCCGGAGAGGGATGGCATTGTCACAGCCAGGGGCAGGGGAGGGCGAGGACAGCGGGGCGGAGGACACTGGCGGTGGGGAGGTGGGACAGGCGCCCTGGAAGCGGTCAATGTCACAGTGCTGATTGCACACTGCGTAGAAATGGCAGCCGGCTCGGTCGGTCTTATTGTAGATGACTTCCCCTGTGAAGAACAACACCATAGAAAGATAAGCCACTCCCAGAGATGGGTAAGCCAGAGTTCTGGGAGAGCAAAGGCAGAGGTCAGCGCAGGAGGGAGCAGCGGTTCCAGGGAAGGGAGTGGAGAGGGCAGAGGCTGAGTGTGGCCAGTGGGGACCAAGTGTGGCCACTGGGGACGGATTGTGACCAGTGGGGACCGAGTGTGGCCAGTGGGGATGGATTGTGGCCAGTGGGGACCGAGTGTGGCCAGTGGGGACTGATTGTGGCCAGTGCGGACGGATTGTGGCCAGAGGAGACCCAGTGTGGCCAGTGGGGATGGATTGTGTCCAGGGGAGACCGAATGTGGCCAAGGGGGACGCATTGTGGCCAGTGGGGACCAAGTGTGGCCAGTGGGGACTGATTGTGGCCAGTGCGGACGGATTGTGGCCAGAGGAGACCCAGTGTGGCCAGTGGGGACCCAGTGTGGCCGGGAGGGGCCAAGTGAGGCCAGTGGGGAACAAACATGACCAGCAGGGAGAAAGCCACTGGCTCCCAGGACAGGCAGACCCAGGTTGGCATAGCATGTGGGGAAAGGGTACAGCAGTGTTATCCACATGCACTCACCGGGCGAGAAAAACTGTCCAAATGCCCTGCAGAAGCAGGGAGTAGAGAAGTGGGAGCTGGGGAAGCCAGTGGGTCTCAGGGTGGTGAGGACTGAGGAGGACACAGTGGACACGCTGAAGGTTGGCAGGCTGCTGGGGAGCACTGCAGGGGTGCGGGTGGTCCCCACGGTGGACGAGCTGGGAACCGTGGAGGCAGTGGCTGTGGGCATAGTGGCCATGGTGGTCACCACTTTGGGGGTGTGAGCTGTTCCCAGAGTGGAGGAGGCGGTGGCCGTGGAACCGGTGGGCACCATCACGGTGGCTATAGTGCTCGGCTCTGTGAGGATCCAGGTGGTCCCTGGGGTGGAGGACAGGGTGGCCGTGGATCCAGTGGCTGCAGTTGTAGTGGCTGTTGTGGTCAGCTCAGTGAGGATCCGGGTCGTCCCCAGAGTGGAGGAGGGTGTGGCCGTGGAATTGGTGGCCCTTGTCATGGTGGCTGTGGTGGTCAGCACTGTGGAGGTGTGGGTGGTCTCTGGAGTAGAGGAGGTGTGGATTGTGGACATGGTGGACATGGGTGTGGTGGTCTGTGCTGGGACGGTCCACGTGGTCCACAGGGTGGAGGAGGGGATGGGTGTAAAGCTGGTAGCTGTGGATTTTGTGGCTGTGCTTGTCAGCACTGGAAGGGTGGTTGCAGTCCTTGGACTGGAGGAGGAAGTGGCTTTGGAGCTGGTGGCTGCGGGTGTGGTGGCCGTGCTGGTCAGCACTGGGGTGATGGGTGTTGTCCCTGGAGTTGAGGAGGGGTTGGTGGTGGAGCCGGTGGCCGTGATCGTAGTGGCCGTGGTGGTCAGTGATGGGGGAGTACCACTGGTCTGTGTGCTAGAGGAGGGTGTTGCCATAGAACCAGTGGCCACAGTTGTGGTGGTGGTGGTCAGCACTCTGGCGGTGTGGGTGGTCCCCGGGATGGAGGAGGGGGTCACCGTGGAGCCACTGGTTGTGGGTGTGGTGGTTGTGGGTGTGGTGGTTGTGCTGATCCACACTGGAGGCGTGAGTGCCGTCCCTGGGCTGGAGGAGGGGGTGGCTGTGAAGCCCGTGGTTGTGGTAGTCGGCACTTTGGTAGTGTGAGCTGTTCCTGGGGTGGAGGAGGGGGTGGCCACAGAGCCGGTGGCCCCGGTTGTGGTGGCCGTGGCGGTAAGCACTGTGGAGGTGTGGACAGTCTCTGGAGTGGAGGAGGGTGTGGCTGTGGACATGGTGGCCGTGGGTGTGGTGGTCTGTGATAGGCGGGTCCAGGTGGTGCCCAGGGAGGAGGAGGGGATGGCTGTAAAGCTGGTAGCTGTGGGTGTGGTGGCTGTGCTTCTCAGTGCTGGAAGGGCAGTTGCAGTCCCTGGACTGGAGGAGGGAGTGGCTTTGGAGCTGGTGACTGTGGGTGTCGTGGCCGTGGTGCTCACATGTGGGGTGCCAGCAGTTGCCTGGGTGGAGGAGGCGGTGGCCGTGGATCCGGTGGGCACCGTCACGGTGGCTGTAGTGCTCGGCTCTGTGAGGATCCAGGTGGTCCCTGGGGTGGAGGACGGGGTGGCCGTGGATCCAGTGGACGCAGTCGTAGTGGCTGTTGTGGTCAGCTCTGTGAGGATCCAGGTGGTCCCTGGGGTGGAGGACGGGGTGGCCGTGGGGCCAGTGGCTGCAGTTGTAGTGGCTGCTGTGGTCAGCTCTGTGAGGATCCAGGTCGTCCCCGGAGTGGAGGAGGGGGTGGACGTGGAACTGGTGGCCCTTGTCGTGGTGGCCTTCGTGGTCAGCACTGTGGAGGTGTGGGTGGTCTCCGGAGTGGAGGAGGGGTGGATTGTGGACATGGTGGCCACGGGTGTGGTGGTCTGTTCTGGGAGGGTCCCGGTGGTCCCAAGGGTGGAGGAGGGGATGGGTGTAACGCTGGTAGCTGTGGATTTGGTGGCTGTGCTTGTCAGCACTGGAAGGGTGGTTGCAGTCCTTGGACTGGAGGAGGAAGTGGCTTTGGAACTGGTGGCTGTGGGTGTGGTGGCCGGGCTGGTCAGCACTTTGGGAGGGGGAGCTGTTCCCGGGGTGGAGGACGGGGTGGCCGTGGATCCAGTGGATGCAGTCGTAGTGGCTGTTGTGGTCAGCTCTGTGAGGATCCAGGTCGTCCCCGGAGTGGAGGAGGGCATGGCCGTAGAGCTGGTGGCCGGGGTGCTGGGGCAGTGGCCGTAGTTGCAGCAGAACACACGGATTTCATAGTTGAAGCACATCTTGAACTTCCCCACCTGCTCACGGTTCCTGCAGACCAGGCCAAAGTCCAGGCTGCATTCCACGACCTGGCCCAACTCCCCCAGGGGGACACCAGGCTGGGCCTGGGCACGGCACTCGAGGCCCAGGGGCTGCTCACAGACGGCCCCTCCGGCCGCACGGATGTTGGAGTAGGTGTCAAAGTCCCCGCCAGAGGGCCCCGGCATGGGGTAGCTGTAGTCCAGCCACTCTGACCAGGCACACTGGGGCTCACAGCCCGTGGTCACCACCGTGGTTATGGGGGCCGATGTGGGGCTGCTGGGCAGCAGGGTCGAGGTGCGGGTCTTGCTGGGTGTGGCCGTGGCCGTGGTCCTGGAGGTGGCCGTGGTGTGGCCCGGGGTGGTCGTCCCTGGGGAAGGGGGTGACTCGGTGGTCCTGCTGCTAGGGTGAGGGCTGGACAGGGCTGGAGTCGAGTGCTGGGTGGTACCGGTGGTTGCTGCTGGGGTGTGGGAAGTCCCCGTGGAAGGCTCTGTGATGTGGGTGGTGCCCAAGGTGCCTGAGGTGGCCGAAGTCCAGGCTGTGCGCACCGTGTGGGGACTGCTGGGGGACAGGGATCGCCCGTGTGTGGTGGCCGTGGTGTTCGGCACTGGGGGTGTGTGGGTGGTCCCTAGGGCAGAGGAGGGAGTCACTGTGCTGCTGGTGGCTGCAGGTGTGGTGGCGGTGGTGGTCAGCACTGGGGGGATAGGTGTTGTCCCTGGAGTTGAGGAGGGGTTGGTGGTGGAGCCGGTGGCCGTGATCGTAGTGGCCGTGGTGATCAGTGATGGGGGAGTACCACTGGTCTGTGTGCTAGAGGAGGGTGTTGCCATAGAACCAGTGGCCACAGTTGTGGTGGTGGTGGTCAGCACTGTGGGGGTGTGGGTGGTCCCCGGGACGGAGGAGGGGGTCACCGTGGAGCCACTGGTTGTGGGTGTGGTGGTTGTGCTGATCCACACTGGAGGCGTGCGTGCCGTCCCTGGGCTGGAGGAGGGGGTGACTGTGAAGCCCGTGGTTGTGGTAGTCGGCACTTTGGTAGTGTGAGCTGTTCCTGGGGTGGAAGAGGGGGTGGCCACAGAGCCGGTGGCCCTGGTTGTGGTGGCCGTGGTGGTAAGCACTGTGGAGGTGTGGGCAGTCTCTGGAGTGGAGGAGGGTGTGGCTGTGGACATGGTGGCCGTGGGTGTGGTGGTCTGTGATAGGCGGGTCCAGGTGGTGCCCAGGGAGGAGGAGGGGATGGCTGTAAAGCTGGTAGCTGTGGGTGTGGTGGCTGTGCTTCTCAGTGCTGGAAGGGCGGTTGCAGTCCCTGGACTGGAGAAGGGAGTGGCTTTGGAGCTGGTGACTGTGGGTGTCGTGGCCGTGGTGCTCACATGTGGGGTGCCAGCAGTTGCCTGGGTGGAGGAGGCGGTGGCCGTGGATCCGGTGGGCACCGTCACGGTGGCTGTAGTGCTCGGCTCTGTGAGGATCCAGGTGGTCCCTGGGGTGGAGGACGGGGTGGCCGTGGATCCAGTGGACTCAGTCGTAGTGGCTGTTGTGGTCAGCTTTGTGAGGATCCAGGTCGTCCCCGGAGTTGAGGAGGGCGTGGCCGTAGAGCTGGTGGCCGGGGTGCTGGGGCAGTGGCCGTAGTTGCAGCAGAACACACGGATTTCATAGTTGAAGCACATCTTGAACTTCCCCACCTGCTCACGGTTCCTGCAGACCAGGCCAAAGTCCAGGCTGCATTCCACGACCTGGCCCAACTCCCGCAGGGGGACACCAGGCTGGGCCTGGGCACGGCACTCGAGGCCCAGGGGCTGCTCACAGACTGCCCCTCCGGCCGCACGGATGTTGGAGTAGGTGTCAAAGTCCCCGCCAGAGGGCCCCGGCATGGGGTAGCTGTAGTCCAGCCACTCTGACCAGGCACACTGGGGCTCACAGCCCGTGGTCACCACCGTGGTTATGGGGGCCGATGTGGGGCTGCTGGGCAGCAGGGTCGAGGTGCGGGTCTTGCTGGGTGTGGCTGTGGCTGTGGTCCTGGAGGTGCCCCTGGTGTGGCCCGGGGTGGTCGTCCCTGGAGAAGGGGGTGACTCGGTGGTCCTGCTGCTAGGGTGAGGGCTGGACAGGGCTGGAGTCGAGTGCTGGGTGGTACTGGTGGTTGCTGCTGGGGTGTGGGAAGTCACCGTGGAAGGCTCTGTGATGTGGGTGGTGCCCAAGATGCCCGAGGTGGCCGAAGTCCAGGCTGTGCGCACCGTGTGGGGACTGCTGGGGGGCAGGGACCGCCCGTGTGTGGTGGCCGTGGTGTTCGGCACTGGGGGTGTGTGGGTGGTCCCTAGGGCAGAGGAGGGAGTCACTGTGCTGCTGGTGGCTGCAGGTGTGGTGGCGGTGGTGGTCAGCACTGGGGGGATGGGAGTTGTCCCTGGAGTTGAGGAGGGGTTGGTGGTGGAGCCGGTGGCTGTGATCGTAGTGGCCGTGGTGGTCAGTGATGGGGGAGTACCACTGGTCTGTGTGCTAGAGGAGGGTGTTGCCATAGAACCAGTGGCCACAGTTGTGGTGGTGGTGGTCAGCACTGTGGCGGTGTGGGTGGTCCCCGGGATGGAGGAGGGGGTCACCGTGGAGCCTCTGGTTGTGGGTGTGGTGGTTGTGCTGATCCACACTGGAGGCGTGAGTGCCGTCCCTGGGCTGGAGGAGGGGGTGGCTGTGAAGCCCGTGGTTGTGGTAGTCGGCACTTTGGTAGTGTGAGCTGTTCCTGGGGTGGAGGAGGGGGTGGCCACAGAGCCGGTGGCCCTGGTTGTGGTGGTCGTGGTGGTAAGCACTGTGGAGGTGTGGACAGTCTCTGGAGTAGAGGAGGGTGTGGCTGTGGACATGGTGGCCGTGGGTGTGGTGGTCTGTGATAGGCGGGTCCAGGCGGTGCCCAGGGAGGAAGAGGGGATGGCTGTAACGCTGGTAGCTGTGGGTGTGGTGGCTGTGCTTCTCAGTGCTGGAAGGGCGGTTGCAGTCCCTGGACTGGAGGAGGGAGTGGCTCTGGAGCTGATGACTGTGGGTGTGGTGGCCGTGCTGGTCAGCACTTTGAGGGTGCCAGCAGTTGCCCGGGTGGAGGAGGCGGTGGCCGTGGATCCGGTGGGCACCGTCACGGTGGCTGTAGTGCTGGGCTCTGTGAGGATCCAGGTGGTCCCTGGGGTGGAGGACGGGGTGGCCGTGGGGCCAGTGGCTGCAGTTGTAGTGGCTGCTGTGGTCAGCTCTGTGAGGATCCAGGTCGTCCCCGGAGTGGAGGAGGGGGTGGACATGGAACTGGTGGCCCTTGTCGTGGTGGCCTTCGTGGTCAGCACTGTGGAGGTGTGGGTGGTCTCCGGAGTGGAGGAGGGGTGGATTGTGGACATGGTGGCCATGGGTGTGGTGGTCTGTTCTGGGAGGGTCCCGGTGGTCCCAAGGGTGAAGGAGGGGATGGGTGTAAAGCTGGTAGCTGTGGATTTGGTGGCTGTGCTTGTCAGCACTGGAAGGGTGGTTGCAGTCCTTGGACTGGAGGAGGAAGTGGCTTTGGAACTGGTGGCTGTGGGTGTGGTGGCCGTGCTGGTCAGCACTTTGGGAGGGGGAGCTGTTCCCGGGGTGGAGGACGGGATGGCCGTGGATCCAGTGGTTGCGGTCGTAGTGGCTGCTGTGGTCTGCTCTGTGAGGATCCAGGTCGTCCCTGGAGTGGAGGAGGGCGTGGCCGTAGAGCTGGTGGCCGGGGTGCTGGGGCAGTGGCCGTAGTTGCAGCAGAACACACGGATTTCATAGTTGAAGCACATCTTGAACTTCCCCACCTGCTCACGGTTCCTGCAGACCAGGCCAAAGTCCAGGCTGCATTCCACGACCTGGCCCAACTCCCGCAGGGGGACACCAGGCTGGGCCTGGGCACGGCACTCGAGGCCCAGGGGCTGCTCACAGACGGCCCCTCCGGCCGCACGGATGTTGGAGTAGGTGTCAAAGTCCCCGCCAGAGGGCCCCGGCATGGGGTAGCTGTAGTCCAGCCACTCTGACCAGGCACACTGGGGCTCACAGCCCATGGTCACCACCGTGGTTATTGGGGCCGATGTGGGGCTGCTGGGCAGCAGGGTCGAGGTGCGGGTCTTGCTGGGTGTGGCCGTGGCCGTGGTCCTGGAGGTGGCCCTGGTGTGGCCCGGGGTGGTCGTCCCTGGAGAAGGGGGTGACTCGGTGGTCCTGCTGCTAGGGTGAGGGCTGGACAGGGCTGGAGTCGAGTGCTGGGTGGTACCGGTGGTTGCTGCTGGGGTGTGGGAAGTCCCCGTGGAAGGCTCTGTGATGTGGGTGGTGCCCAAGGTGCCTGAGGTGGCCGAAGTCCAGGCTGTGCGCACCGTGTGGGGACTGCTGGGGGACAGGGATCGCCCGTGTGTGGTGGCCGTGGTGTTCGGCACTGGGGGTGTGTGGGTGGTCCCTAGGGCAGAGGAGGGAGTCACTGTGCTGCTGGTGGCTGCAGGTGTGGTGGCGGTGGTGGTCAGCACTGGGGGGATAGGTGTTGTCCCTGGAGTTGAGGAGGGGTTGGTGGTGGAGCCGGTGGCCGTGATCGTAGTGGCCGTGGTGGTCAGTGATGGGGGAGTACCACTGGTCTGTGTGCTAGAGGAGGGTGTTGCCATAGAACCAGTGGCCACAGTTGTGGTGGTGGTGGTCAGCACTGTGGGGGTGTGGGTGGTCCCCGGGATGGAGGAGGGGGTCACCGTGGAACCTCTGGTTGTGGGTGTGGTGGTTGTGCTGATCCACACTGGAAGCGTGCGTGCCGTCCCTGGGCTGGAGGAGGGGGTGGCTGTGAAGCCCGTGGTTGTGGTAGTCAGCACTTTGGTAGTGTGAGCTGTTCCTGGGGTGGAGGAGGGGGTGGCCACAGAGCCGGTGGCCCCGGTTGTGGTGGCCGTGGTGGTAAGCACTGTGGAGGTGTGGACAGTCTCTGGAGTGGAGGAGGGTGTGGCTGTGGACATGGTGGCCGTGGGTGTGGTGGTCTGTGATAGGCGGGTCCAGGTGGTGCCCAGGGAGGAGGAGGGGATGGCTGTAAAGCTGGTAGCTGTGGGTGTGGTGGCTGTGCTTCTCAGTGCTGGAAGGGCGGTTGCAGTCCCTGGACTGGAGAAGGGAGTGGCTTTGGAGCTGGTGACTGTGGGTGTCGTGGCCGTGGTGCTCACATGTGGGGTGCCAGCAGTTGCCTGGGTGGAGGAGGCGGTGGCCGTGGATCCGGTGGGCACCGTCACGGTGGCTGTAGTGCTCGGCTCTGTGAGGATCCAGGTGGTCCCTGGGGTGGAGGACGGGGTGGCCGTGGATCCAGTGGACTCAGTCGTAGTGGCTGTTGTGGTCAGCTCTGTGAGGATCCAGGTCGTCCCCGGAGTGGAGGAGGGCATGGCCGTAGAGCTGGTGGCCGGGGTGCTGGGGCAGTGGCCGTAGTTGCAGCAGAACACACGGATTTCATAGTTGAAGCACATCTTGAACTTCCCCACCTGCTCACGGTTCCTGCAGACCAGGCCAAAGTCCAGGCTGCATTCCACGACCTGGCCCAACTCCCGCAGGGGGACACCAGGCTGGGCCTGGGCACGGCACTCGAGGCCCAGGGGCTGCTCACAGACGGCCCCTCCGGCCGCACGGATGTTGGAGTAGGTGTCAAAGTCCCCGCCAGAGGGCCCCGGCATGGGGTAGCTGTAGTCCAGCCACTCTGACCAGGCACACTGGGGCTCACAGCCCATGGTCACCACCGTGGTTATGGGGGCCGATGTGGGGCTGCTGGGCAGCAGGGTCGAGGTGCGGGTCTTGCTGGGTGTGGCCGTGGCTGTGGTCCTGGAGGTGGCCGTGGTGTGGCCCGGGGTGGTCGTCCCTGGAGAAGGGGGTGACTCGGTGGTTCTGCTGCTAGGGTGAGGGCTGGAAAGGGCTGGAGTCGAGTGCTGGGTGGTACCGGTGGTTGCTGCTAGGGTGTGGGAAGTCACCGTGGAAGGCTCTGTGATGTGGGTGGTGCCCAAGATGCCCGAGGTGGCCGAAGTCCAGGCTGTGCGCACCGTGTGGGGACTGCTGGGGGGCAGGGATCGCCCGTGTGTGGTGGCCATGGTGTTCGGCACTGGGGGTGTGTGGGTGGTCCCTAGGGCAGAGGAGGGAGTCACTGTGTTGCTGGTGGCTGCAGGTGTGGTGGCGGTGGTGGTCAGCACTGGGGGGATGGGAGTTGTCCCAGGAGTTGAGGAGGGGTTGGTGGTGGAGCCGGTGGCCGTGATCGTAGTGGCCGTGGTGGTCAGTGATGGGGGAGTACCACTGGTCTGTGTGCTAGAGGAGGGTGTTGCCATAGAACCAGTGGCCACAGTTGTGGTGGTGGTGGTCAGCACTGTGGCGGTGTGGGTGGTCCCCGGGATGGAGGAGGGGGTCACCGTGGAGCCTCTGGTTGTGGGTGTGGTGGTTGTGCTGATCCACACTGGAGGCGTGAGTGCCGTCCCTGGGCTGGAGGAGGGGGTGGCTGTGAAGCCCGTGGTTGTGGTAGTTGGCACTTTGGTAGTGTGAGCTGTTCCTGGGGTGGAGGAGGGGGTGGCCACAGAGCCGGTGGCCCCAGTTGTGGTGGCCGTGGCGGTAAGCACTGTGGAGGTGTGGGCAGTCTCTGGAGTGGAGGAGGGTGTGGCTGTGGACATGGTGGCCGTGGGTGTGGTGGTCTGTGATAGGCGGGTCCAGGTGGTGCCCAGGGAGGAAGAGGGGATGGGTGTAACGCTGGTAGCTGTGGGTGTGGTGGCTGTGCTTCTCAGTGCTGGAAGGGCGGTTGCAGTCCCTGGACTGGAGGAGGGAGTGGCTTTGGAGCTGGTGACTGTGGGTGTGGTGGCCGTGGTGGTCAGCACTTTGGGAGGGGGAGCTGTTCTCAGGGTGGAGGTCGGGGTGGCCGTGGATCCAGTGGACGCAGTCGTAGTGGCTGTTGTGGTCGGCTTTGTGAGGATCCAGGTCGTCCCCGGAGTTGAGGAGGGCGTGGCCGTGGAGCTGGTGGCTGGGGTACTGGGGCAGTGGCTGTAGTCGTCACAGCAAAGCACACGCACGTTGTAGTTGAAGCACATGTTGAACCTGCCTGTCTGGTCTTCGTTCTTGCAGGTCAGCCCCGTCTCCAGGCTGCAGGTCAGCACCTGCCCGACCTGGTCGATGCTTACCTCGGGGTAGTTCTCCGCCCGGCACTCTATGCTCTTTGGTGCCCAGCACATCTTGCCCCCAGCAGCCCTGATGTTTTCAAAAGTTTCCATGTCCCCGCCTGCAACCCCTGAGGTTGGGAAGTCCACGTCAAACCACTCTGTCCACTCACACTTCGGTTGACAGCGGGTCGTGCCCTGGCTGGTGGTGGTGTTAGTCAAGGGGCTCATTGTCGTCTCTGTCCTGGGCGTGCTGGTCTCGGCCTGAGAGGTGGACAGCTCGCTCGTGAGTGTTGGCGCCAGGCTCGTGGTCAGCGGCTCTTTGGAAGCGGTGCTGGCTGTGCCTGTCGGGCGAGCTCTGGAGGTTGCCATTGTTGTTGGGGCCAGCGTGGGTGGCTGTGAGGGGCGCCATGTGCCCAAGCTCCCCGTCGTCCCTGGAAGGGCTGAGCGTGTTGGAAGGGTGGATGTGGCCACCCCTGGGACAGTGGGTTCTGTGGAGCCTGCAGGCGTCGTGGGGCCTCCCGTGGTGGCTGTACCAAGGGTGCTTGTGTATCTGGGGGATGTCAGTCCTTCTGAGAGGGTGGGGACTGCTGTGGTGCTGGCCGGGGGAGCCCTGGTCAGCCCCGGGCTACTCGTAGGCTGCGGCGTTGAGAACAGGGCCTGGGTGGTGGTGGTGGTGGCCGTCTCCAGCTCTGTGGTCGGTGGCGGGGTTGTGGCACGTCCCCTGCAGTGGTCGTCACTGCAGCAGAGGACCCGGATCCTGTAGTTGTAGCACATCTTGAAGACGCCCTCCTGCTCCCAGTTCCTGCACACCAGGCCGAAGTGGACGTCACAGTGCACCTTCTGCCCCACCTGTGCCAGGGTCCAGTTGGGGAAGCTCTCGGCCTGGCACTCTATGTCCTTAGGCTGCTGGCATAAGTGCCCTCCAGCGGCCCTGATCTTATCGTAGGACTCAACGTCCCCTCCAAGTTGTTCAGACTTGGGGTAGTCCTCATCAAACCACTCTGTCCACTGACACCGGGGCTGGCAGGTGGTGGTACCTGGGGCCGAGGGGGTGACCGTCACGGGGCCTGAGCTGGACCCAGTCTGCGAGGTGAGGGCCGCCGTCGACCGGATGCTCGGGGTCACCCATAGGGTGGTCTTTTCGGTTGCTGTGGTCTGGGTTGGGGTAGGCACAGCAGGCTCCGTGCTGGCACTGAGGGAGGGCTGAGGGCTGGTGCCTGGGGCCGGGGAGGGGCCACAGGGCACGTATTCGCAGCAGAGAACCCGCAGCTCGTAGTCGTGACAGAGCGGGGGACTCTGTTGGCTGTTGGCGCACATCAGCCCCCGCATGCGGTCACAGTCCACCTGCTGGCCCAGCTCCTCCAGCGGCATGTCGGGAAGCTGCGCCGCCCGGCACTCGATGTCAGCCAGCACAGGGCATACCTGGTACCCTCTCTGCCTCAGGTTTTCAAACGTCTCAAAGTCTCCGCCTCCCAGGCCGGGCTCTGGGCGGTGCCCATTGTACCAGCTGGACCAGCGGCAGACCTCGCGGACACACACGGTGGAGACCGGGAGGGCCGGGCCTGCAAGGGGCATGGGAAAGGGGTCCTGGCTCAGCATCCTCCAGTCCTGGCCTCACAAGGTGGAGGGGCCCCAGAGGACCCTTTCCCCAGGGCTGGCCCTGCCCCTGTGGGATACTGGGGACCCCAGTGCCTGCCTCAGCCTTGGTTAGAGCCGTTTCTGCATGAGGGACTGGGGCCTGGCAGCCTGGCCTTGAGGGAGCTGGCTGGCTGGGATAGGCCGTGCTGAGGGATGGGACGGAGTCCAGGAAAGCTTTATTGTCTCCTTGGGGTATCCCATCAATCATTGTGCTGAGGCTTCGTGGGGAGCCCCTGGAGACACGCAGGGTGTTGAGGGGCCGTGCACCCCTAGACAGAGCCCGGAAGGTCAGTGGATTGGGACTGTCGCTACCATACAGGGCACCTGCACTAAGAGCCCAGGGGGTCCTCCTTGTCACCCAGACGGTACTGGGCCTCAGGAGAGCCAGGCAGGGCTTACTTGTCGTGGAGTGGGGGACCCAGGCGGTGGTGAAGGTGAATGGCGTTGTGGCTGGAGTTCCAGGACATGCCACAGCCTTCCTGATGATGGTGCCGTTGCTTCCGCAGATGGCGATCAAGCAGGCGCCAAGCCCATCGGTGGTGTTGTAGATGACGTCCTGGTAGCTGTAGGTCCTGTCCTCATAGGTGCAGGTGCAGGCTGGGGATGGAGCCGGCAGAGTCACCCAGGGCCTCCGAGCCCCTGGCCCCAGCCTTCACCGGCCCACTAACCCCCCGGCCCTTCCTTACCCTCAAGGCTGTGAGCGCACTGGATGCCACTGGGTGTGCAGTTACTAGGGGTGGGGGAGAGGCGAGCTGAGGGCCTGGGGGGCAGCCTGCAGGGCCTGCTCCCCAGCCCTGCTCCCCCAGCGCCACCCGCTTCCCACCCCCTCACCAGCTCTGGCAGTTCTCCGCTGTGGGGACCCTTGCACCGACGTCATAGTAGTTTCCGTCCTTGTCGTAGCAGCCACACTGGGCCACGCACTTCATCTGGTCCTCATTGAAGAAGGGCTGGCTGGGTGGGCACTTCGGGTAGCAGCCTAGGGCCGGCAGGGTGAGCAGAAGACTCACCAGGGCCCTTTAGTCTCTCCAGCCAGGGGCTCCATGCTGCAGGGAGTAGCCGCCCCCCACCAGCCAGCAGGGGCCTGCCCTCAAGGCTTGCATTGTGCAGTTTACGGGAGCCTACACCGCGTCCCTGGGGATCCCCGCCCCCCCACGTACACTCGGGAACCCAAGGAGAGGAGGCTCCATCCAAGAAAGGCTGCCCCTCACCTTCCAGGCCAGGCAGGTCCACCAGGCAGTGCCCACTGGGGTTCCGGCAGGTTTTTAGGCAGGGTGCCCCGCAGGGCTGGTAGTGCCACTCACAGCCCCCATGTGGGTTGTAGAAGTCACAGAACAAGGCTGGGGCACAGAGGGCAGAGGCTAAGGAGGCGCCCACCAGCCCTCACCCCTGTTGTGCAGGGCAGCCCCTACCCCGGGCGTGGGGGCCGGTGTCCCCAGAGCCAGACCCGGGCTTGTCCCAGACATGCAGGGCCTCGGCCGGGTGGTGCCTCACCTTCCCCTCCACTCCCCAGCCCTGCCCTTGGAACTCTTGTCCCCTAGGAGCTGTCTCATGCTGGGGCAACCTGTCTGGTGGTTTTGCACAGGTCTTCCTCTGTGCATAGAAACTTGTGCACTCACATGGAGGCACATGCGTGTTGGATGTCTGTGTGCGGCTCAGGCCCAGGTCAATGCA
Source organism: Homo sapiens (assembly GCF_000001405.40). Classification (NCBI taxonomy): domain Eukaryota; kingdom Metazoa; phylum Chordata; class Mammalia; order Primates; family Hominidae; genus Homo; species Homo sapiens. The sequence goes on along the minus strand of NC_000011.10, from coordinate 1,239,103 downwards.
CCTTCGGAGGCTGCCACACCTCCTCCCCTGCCCCAGCAGCTCCACCCTTCAGCACCACGGACAGAGCCCGACTCACGGCAGGTGTCCGGAGTCCGCCAGGACACACACAGGCCCGCGTCGTGGCAGGCCTGGGCGTAGGCAGCCACAGCCGTGCAGAAACACTCGCAGTCGCCACCCGAGTCGCAGGCACACGCGTCGTTCACGCAGGCCTCGTAGTACTTGGTGGAGTCAACCTGCGGGTGAGGCCAAGGTGCAGCTCAGCCGGGACAATGGCCCCCCCGGCCAGGGGGTGGCTGGCCCAGGGCCAGTTGCTGGAACCATCTGTATTTCAACACCCCCCATGGCAGCTCTCTGAGCTCCTGGGGCCTGGAATACCTCAGAGCGTGCCCCAAATGGGAGCTGCCCCAGCACTTCTCCAGCCCACCTGTGCCCTCGTCCACCTATATCCCTGCCCACCTGCCCATCTGCCCACCTGTCCATCTGCCCACCTATGCACCTGCCCACCTATGCACCTGCCCATCTGCCTGCCTTCACATGTGCTCTTTGGATCTTTCTATCACGTGGATCTGGTCATGTGGCCCACAGGTTTCAAACCCATGTGGAGCATAGCACCCCTGCTTACCCTCTGCCCTCGCCCCCACCTCCCTCCGCTGCAGTCGTACTGGCCTCCTTTCCACCTGGGGGCCTTCCCTCCAGCGGAACCAACCCCCGGCCAGGGCCCTCCACATCCTAGCATCCGACCACCCAGCACCCACCGCCTTTCTGCCTCCTCTGGAAGCTCTGTGAGGGTCAGCCTCGTCCCCTGATCACTGGGGTGAGCCCAGAACATGCCAGGCTATTCCAGGCACCCAGTGAATGTGCACTAAGGAAGGAGTGGTCACTTCCTTTCCAGACCAGCCACGCGGGGAGCTGAGCTGTGAATGCGTCCTGACCATGGGAAGCTGCCTGCTTCCTCCAGGCAGCCCACACCCCTCCCAGGCCCCATCTGAACCTGGGCTCAGCTTTGTCAGGCCACAGGACCTTCCAAGGGGTCACCAGCTGCCTTCTCAAGAGGGCAAGCGGCGGCCGACATGAGAGTGCTTCAGGGCCTCCCACGAGCGAGTATGCCCACTGCTGCCCCTACGCCAGCCCCTCATCTCAGCTCCTGAGCCACCATGCTGTGTGCCTAAGTGGGCACTCAAGTCTTCCTTAAGATGACACGAAACTGCTTTTTGGTTTTTTGTTGTTTTGTTTTGAGACAGAGTCTCACTCTTTTTGCTTAGGCTGGAGTGCAGTGGCACGATCTTGGCTCACTGCAACCTCCTCTTCCCAGGTTCAAGTGATTCTCCTGCCTCAGCCTCCCGAGTAGCTGGGATTACAGGCACACACCACCACACCCGGCTATTTTTGTATTTTTTGTAGAGACGGGGTTTCGCCATGTTGACCAGGCTGGTCTCAAACTCCTGACCTCAGGTGATCCACCTGCCTCAGCGTCCCAAAGTGCTGGGATTACAGACATGAGCCACCGCGCCCAGTCAGGAAACTGCTTTTTGGAAGTCTCTGCTTAGGGCAGATCTCTGATTCCTCCCTGGCTGAGCGGGGAGCCAGGCTGGCATTCCAGTTTGTGCTGAGGACTGGGCAGGTCTGGGGATCATAGAGGAGGGTGGCTAGGGGCCACATAGAGGGCTGCCCCTCCCTGTGAGCCTCTGGGTGTGACTGAGGCTGTGGTCAAAGGAGTGGCCGGGAAACAGCCAAGATGGCTTCGTGCCAGGGGCAAGAGGCACAGGTGTGGGGCTGACGGGAGATCCGGACTTGGGACCTGACATCCAGGACTGTGTGCCGTGGGACATGGTCAGACCCTCCTTGGAGCGCTGCTGTCTGCCCAGAAGACCCAGTTCTCGGCGGGAAGGAAGCAACTGCCATCCCCACCAGACCCTGCCTGCCAAGACCAGAGCCCCACCTGGGAGCGGCAGGCGGCGAAGGTGGGGCCGTGGAGGATGCTGCACTGCTTCTGGGCCCAGGACTTGCGGAAGGGGTTGGCCGTGCAGGGGTCCTTGGGTGCCAGGGCGTCCGGGCAGGAGGGGGAGAGCTTCCAGCTGTTCCCAAACTCCAGTGCGTCCCCCACCACGGACCGGCTACGCGTGGCAAAGTCATTGATGGCATTGTCGTCGAAGTTCCCGCACAGGCCGCAGACCCTGCCCTGCAGAGGCAGCGAGAGAGTGGGGCCCTGGAGCTGGGGCCACAGGCACCCGTGGGAGGCAGCACAGAGCCCACCCTGGGCTCCAGAGCCCTCGGGGGATGGAGGGAGGGCAGCCGGTTCCCCAGGCAGTGCCTGGTGAACTTGTAGGAGACAGGTGTGCAGTGGGTCCCTGGGTGGGCCGCTGGGTGGCACCTGCTTCCCTGCAAAATCCTCTGCCCACTGTGGAGGCCACAGGCAGGGCCCTCACCAGCCAGGCTCACGCACCCACGGGTCAGCGAGTCCCACAGACCCCACCTGGCACCAGGGTTTCTGTCACTGTGAGAGGGTCCTGCAGGGCCTAGGAGTGCACGGCCCGAGCTCACCTTGTAGTCCTGGTGCAGTCGGATGAACACGCTGGTCTTCCGGTCCCAGGACACGGCCATCCCGTGGGTCTCGATGACCAGGAAGATCCCCATGTAGCGTATCTTGTAGGGTGGGTCCCCACCCGGCCCTCTCGCCACCGCCTTAAAGGTCCCCTCTTGGAGGATCAGCTCGTAGCTCTGCAGGGGAGGCAGACGCTGCCGGAAGCCGACCCTGTGGCCCCCAGGGAGGGGCCTGAGACCCAGGGATGCCCCACCCAGTGCTCTGCAGGTGCGCACGGGCTCTTAGCACAAGCGGCTGGCGTTAGGGGTGAGCTGGGTCCGTGAGACCCTCAGCGAAGGTTTGGCAAGAGGCTGGCCAGGAAGTGCTGGGAACAGGGGCTGCCTGGGAACCTTGGGGCTGCACGGGAGCAGCAGAGGCTGCAGTAGGCCCACTCCACCCCACCCTGCTCCCCATCCAGCCCTGCAGCCCCCACGCCCTCACACCAGCCTCCCCTGACCCGCTGCGGTCCTCAGCCCCTCCCGCCATCTGCAGGGAGCATCCCGGCCAGCGGCGCTGCTTTATCCCCTGGGAGCTCTGGCCCCCCTTTGCTGGAGTGGGTGTCTCTAGGTGTGGCAGGGTGAATCGTGGCTCCTGAAAATGCCTGTCCACATGCGAACTCCCAGAACCTCAGCCCGGGCCCTCACTGGGAGAAAGCATCTCTGCAGACGGGATTAAGTGAAGCATCTTGAAATGAGATCATCCTGGACTACGTGGGGGCGGGGGGGGGCCCTAAATCCAATGACCAGTGTCCTTACAAGAGACAGAAGAGAAAAACAGAGAGAAGACAGACGCAGACACAGCGGGAGGCCACAGGCAGCCACAGCCCAGGGACGCCTGCCGCCTGTGAAGCTGGGAGAGGCAGGAAGGACCTCCCCAGACCCTCGACAGGGAGTGTGGCCCTGCCCGCCTGGATCTCTGACTTCCGGCTCCAGGACTGAGAATGCATTTCTGTTGTCTAAGCCCCCTGGTTTGTGGCTGCTTGGAACAGCAGCCCGGGGCCAGGACACTGCTGAGAACCTGTGGGTGCAGCTAAAGCCTCACGAAGCTTCCCTGGGGGCCGGCTCGTTGGCTGCAGGGTCGGGGGTGCTCACAGCTGGGGCCGTTCTCACCTCCACGAAGAGCTTGATGGCCTTGGAGCAGGTGGTGCCGGTGGTCCCACAGGGGATGTTCTCGGTGACGATGCGGAAGGTCCCGTGGGTGGTGTTGTCCCCACAGTAGTCCTGGGCCAGAAAGAGACAAGCTGCTGGCCGCGGGCTGGAGTGTGCCCGGCCTGCAGGAGTGGGCGAGGGGGCGGCGTACCTGGGCCAAGATGTACTCGCAGCTGCCTTCAAAGCTGTAGCGATCGCCATCAAAGGTGATGAAGTGGCCATCCCCGTAGGCCACGCAGGTGCCCAGGCAGAGCCGGTGGCTGCACTCCCACCTCCGGTTCCTGCAGGTGCTGCAAGGGGCCACAATGGTGCCTGCTCACAGGGGCCTGCTCTCCCGGCCTTCCTGAGACCCGGCACCCAGGCCTGTGCAGGTCAGCACGGGGCCTCAGCCTCCCCAGGCCCAGCCTGACCCCTCCTCCGTGGAAGAAGTGGTGTCCCCCACTGTGAATGCAGGGCACGCAGCCCCACCAGGCTCCTGGTAGCACCACGGCCCCTGGGCCACCTTCCAGAGGACGCACAGGACGGCCCATGGCTTTCCTAGCAACTCTCTCTCCTGCCACGGCCCCACCTCACCCTGGCCAGCTGGCCCCCTGCCCTCCCCGCCCCCTGCCCTCCCTGCCCGCTGCCTCCCCACCCGCTGCCCTCCCCGCCCCCGCCCTCCCCACCTGCTGCCTCCGAGAGACTCACGACCCACCAGGTGTTGCAGTCGACCCTGATGGTCTCTCCAGGCTTGTAGGTGGCCTCGTTGTGCACACAGGGGCAGTCCTCCTCGGCAATGCAGCCCCCACTCCCATCCGACACCAGCCCCGGGGGACAGACACAGCCGGACACGCAGTGTGTGCTGAACTGTGGGGCCCAGGCAGGTACCGGTCAGGGCTGGACACCAGGGTGGGCAGATGTCACTCACCCTCTGGGACAGGCGCACCCAGCAGCACCCAGGGCAACGCATGGGCCAGGGCGGAGCTTCCAGGTGGGTAAGTGTCTCCAGGACCACCAGATCCCTGGGCTCGGGAGCTGGGAAAGCTGGGACCCCTTCCCTGCCCACCCCTCCCTGAAGCATGGAACTCACACAGCCCACGTCCAGCGTGTGGCAGCTCCGGAGGCACTCGGCCCCAGGGGTGCCCGCCGAGCTGTTGCTGCAGTCCAGGTACACCATGGGGGCTGCACACCCTGGGGACAGAGCTTGGTGGGAGGGGTCCTGGGGAAGGGCAGCCACGGCCCTCAACTGACCCCAGGCAGCCCTGAGCCTGTCCTGCTGATCAAGTTAACAGCCCCCGAGCCAAAGCTTCCATGACACCTGCAGCCCCCAACCCCAGGACACCCCGGCCACACTGCGGGGCAGAGACCCACTGGCCCCTCCGTCCCTGGCGTGTCAGGGCATGGGTGCCTGTGGCAGAGCCCAGGTGAGGACTGACCTGGCCCGGCAGGGTTCAGGTGGGGTGGGGCAGGGTGGGGCGTGTTGGGGCCAGGCCAGGCGGGGTGATGCGGGGCGGGGCAGGGCAGGGCAGGGCAGGGGTGGCACTTACCTGTGCTTTTCTGCAGAGAGGCTCCCAGGCAGCTTAGCTTCCCACCCGTACATGAACTACAAGAGACAGACGGCACAGCCTGGATCTGCGGCCCTCACCCCGCAGACCCCACCCCCGGGCTTCCGAGCCCCCGCCGAACGCTGGGCCTCCCCAGCCTGGCCACCTCCTTGTAAGGCCAGACGGTGCCTGCTGCTGTGTTTGCTGGGAGCCCCCAAATCCCCTGGAGGCACATGGGTAAATACACACAGGGGGGCAGCAAAGCAGCCAGGACCCTGGGGTTAGGAGCGGCCTTTGAGCCCAGGGTGGGAGTGGGGGCCACCCACCTTTCCTGGCAGGGGCTGCCATGTGGACCCAGCTGAGAACAGCCAGCAGGTGTCCTCCCAGGGCCACCTCCTCTCCTGGCCTCTTTCCCAGCTGGGAATTTTCTCTTCAGAATGTGCTGGGTCCACCCTGCCCCACTCTCCCCAGCCTGGCCCCTCATGTCTCAGAACCCTCGGGGGGAGGCACAGAAGCCTTCGGGGAGGGCGGGAAGTGGCTCTGAGGAGCACCTGGGGGGCCTGCTTTCCCCCCAGACCCTTACCACACGGCGCCCTCGTCGTGCACCACCTCTCCAGGAGCCAGCACGGTGCCGTGAGCGTAGCAGGGGCACTCCTGGGCGGGCACACAGGCGCCCGCGTCATTGAGGAAGGTGCCCGCGGGGCAGGTGCAGCCGTCCACAGGCACGAAGGAAACGCTGCAGGTGACGTCGGCCTCACTCAGGCCGCGGCAAGTGGGCTGGCAGGCATCCACCACGTAGGCGTAGCGCTGGGACTTGGGGCAGTTCTGCATGTACTTGGCTGTGGTCGGTGGGGCCAGGGGGGACAGGTCAGCGGCCGAGCAGCCTGGCCAGCCCCCATCTTCAACTCAGCATCCCCGTCTGTGACGTGGGGATCGCAAGGGCATGAGGTTCTTGCGAGGCTGGGATGAGGAAGTGCAAAGCTCTGGGCTGAGAACCGTGTGAGTGACGGCTGCTGCCGGCCAGGGTCCCCCGCACCCCCACGCGGTGTGGACACATCCCACCCCCAGCGTGGGCACTCACTGCAGACGCCGTCCCTCCAGTCGCTGAGCTGTACGCCCTTGGCGGCACAGGCGTGCACATAGGAGGACAGCGCGGCGCACAGGCAGTCCTCGCTCCGCTCACAGTTGCAGGTGTCAAACATGCAGTTCTGCGGAGGTGGGAGGCATCGGGGCGTCAGGGACCCCAGCCTGCCAGGGCTCCCCCACCCATCCTGCCCAGGCGTGGGGGTCTGGCCTCAGCCTCTCACCGAGTGGAAGGGCTTGGGGTTGATGATGGAGTGGCAGCGCGAGAAGGCACTGTTGGGATCGGTCAGGCGCGAGCACCAGTGCCGGGCGTAGTTCTCTGTGGGGAAGACCTGACCTCATCTCCACGCCCTGCCCCGAAGCCCACACCCCTGACACGCAGGCCTGCGACCCCCTCAGCCCGGGGAACAGTGAGTTGGAATTTGCGGCTCACCTGCTGCGCCTTGGGGGGTTCTGGCCGCCTGGCCCCAAGCACCTCCTCCTGATGCCTCCCACCTGCCTCCATGGGGTCCCCAATCCCACCCAGGGGTCCCCGTGGCCCAGGGGACAGGAAGGTGCTGGGTGGGACTTGAGCCTGGGGTGACTGTGGGGGTGGGGGCGAGGAGTACCATTCTCCACACTGAGGGAGCAGGGGTCCTCAAAGCTGTTCCTGGCATTGGCACAGGCAGCCTGGGCCTTCCAGGTGTTGGCGAAGGCTGCGCCCGTGGCCTCCACCACCCCGCTGAGGGCCGTGAAGTCGTCAGCCTGGTTCTGGTTGAAGTTCCCACACAGGCCTGGGGGCCAGGGTTGGGGGATGTCAGCGGCCACTGTTGGGCCCACCTGGCTCCTGGCCCCTGCCATCCCTCCAGGCACCACACAGGGTGGAACGGCTGGGAGCCCTGTCCCAGGATTCTGCTCCCAGAACCCTCTGCAGATAAGCCCTGGCGGGGGGCGCCCCTGTGCAGTCGGCCCCTGTGCAAAGCCAGCCCCTGTGCAAAGTCGGCCTGAGCCAGGGCAGGGCTGCCCGCTCCATCCTCCCAGCTGGCTGCTTCCGGGGCCGCTGGTCCAATGCTGGTGTCCTGCGCTGGCACCAGGATCTCCGCCATGCCCTGGGGGCAGCCCCCTCCCCGGTCCCCTGCCCGCCTCTGCCTGCCCCTCCCTGCAGCCTGGCGCTAGTCCAGGCCCCGTCCCCAATGGCCCTGTCCCCGAAGGCCCCTGCCCAGCCTCACCGCACATCTGGCCCTGGTGGGCGGGGTCCAGCCTGACAAACACCTGCATGAGTGGCACCAGCTGCACCAGCAGCTGCAGCCCCAGGCCTGTCTGCACCACGATGAAGAAGCTCGAGGGTGTGAACAGGGTGATGTTGGCTGCCGGGAGTGTGGGGGAGAGGCCGGTCAGGGGTGCAGGGACAGATCTGGCTAGATTGGAGGGGCAGGGCATCCAGTGGGCCGGGCCACCCCACTGAGACCCGGGAGTGAGACCCAGGAGTGGCCAGGAGCCCTCAGGCTCCCTGTCCCATGCCTGTGGCCGCCAAGTGGGCTCAGGTGGAGACCGGGCTCCCTGAGAGAGTGGGGCTGAGCGAGCTGGATGTGGGGTCCCTGCCGCTGCCGGGGTGGGAGCCTGGCATCCCCACTCTGCAGACGAGAAACCGAGCACAGGGAGCTCCTGGAGCTGCCCGAGGCCACGGAGAACTAGCAGGGATGGAGCGGACGCTGCCCAGGCTGTGGGAGCTGCCCCTGCAAGCAGGCGCCACCCAGCCCGGCCGTCCTGGGAGAGCCACATACCTGCCGACAGGGGCAGCTGCGTGTAGATGGAGTTGAGGAACACGCCGCCGTCCGCTTGGACCCGGATGGCCTGCGGAAGGAGGCGGGCGGGAGGTCAGCTCTGGGGAGGAACCCATTCCCGACTCTCAAATGAGGGGGTGGCCTGCCCAGGGGCCCCCACTGGGGACAGAGCCCACAGAGAAGCTCAGACCTGGACCTGCGGTGGGCTCTGCAATTGCCCCCCCGGGAGGACCTGACCTCAGGGCTGGAGGGGGGACCTGACCTGGGGGCTGGAGGGGGACCTGGCCTGGGGGCTGGAGGGGGGACCTGGCCTCGGGGCTGGAGGGGGACCTGACCGTGCTTGCTCCCCACACACCTTCGCATGCCTCTTCCTGTCCCAGCCCAGGGCCCCAGCCAGGTCCTCACCGTGTCCCCGCCGTCCAGGCTGAGCGTCACCGCTTTCAGGCAGTTCTCGTTGTCCGTCAGGCCGCACTTCCGCAGCTCAGCCAGCACGGTGAAGCTGCTGTCGGCACATTTCTGGGGAGAAGGACCCACGCGTGCATTGGGCCTGGCTCGATGATGTGGGGTGCCCCCCAGAAGTGTGCTGGGGATGCCCATGTGGGGGATGTGGCTCTGTGGGGAGGTGGTCCTTGGCACCTCTGGTCACCTCCCAGCAGCTTGTCTCAGGGCCTGGGGGCTCCTTGGCCCCATGCCGCTCAGCAGGGAGAGCCATCCCTCTATGACCATCATGGGGACCCAGGGCTCCCCCCTCAGCAGGGACATCCACCCCTCTATGACCATCGTGGGGGCCTCCCCTGGGTGGAAGTGGCATGAGGGTCCCAGGAGGGTCTGGGTGTCTGAAGACCCGGCCCCAAGCCCAGACCTTGGACAGAACGTAGCTGCAGTCACCATGCAGGTCGTAGAGTTTCTCATCATAGGTGGAGATGTGGGCCCCGCCCTGCACAGAGCAGGTGCCAGGGCACGGCAGGTCCTGGCACTGCCATAGCCCCCCGGAGCAGGTGCTGGGGAGGGAGGCCGTGAGCAGAACCGGCATGTCGGGAGGAGGTGGGCCCCACCCTCCACACCCCCACCGCAGGCGGAGGCTGGTGGGTGCACACCAGGAGCTCCACACCCCCACCCCAGGCAGAGGCTGGCGGGTTCATAAATACCAGGAGCTCCACACCCCACCCCAGGCGGAGGCTGGTGGGCTCATAAGTACCAGGAGCTGCAGGTGGTGTTGAAGGAGGTGCCCGGGCTGTAGGTGCGGCCGCCGTGGGTGCAGGGGCACTGCCCGAGGGGCAGGCAGCCAGAGTGCGTGATGTCATCCAGCACCGTGCCTGTGGGGCGCGGCGTGAGGCAGGGCCGGCCCATGCACGGGGGACACCAAGGTCAGAAGACACCGGCCTTGGGGACAAGCTGCCTCCCTTGGGGAGGAATTCCTGCTCCAGGACACCGCCCCCGCCCTGAGCTGCACTCGCTTGGATGAACACCAAGCACCTCTGGGCCTCAGTTTCCCCACCATGCCCAGCTGGCTCATGGCACTGCTCTACCTCCCTCCACGCATCGGCAGGTCTTCCGGCACCCTCCCAGCCAGTGCCCTTCCCACCCTGGGCCCTCTGGTGGGACCTTCTGGCATGAGGGGCTCTGCTTCCACGCCTGATGAGGCTGGGGGCGGGGTTGGGAGCAGGGACCTGAAAGCCCCCTGAGGGGTTCAGGGCACACAAGACCTGCCTGGGGGGCAGAAGCAGCCGTCCACACAGTGGTCCTCGCAGAGCTGCGCGCGCTGGGGGTTGGAGCAGGTGTCCGTGCAGGGTGAGCCACACTCCTGGTGCTGCATGTTGAGGGGGCAGGTCCGGGCTGCGCAAAAGGAGGTGGGGCTGGGCCAGGGGAAGGGCCCTGTACTGCCCGTGTGGTCAGCCCCAGCCGCCTTCCACGGCCTTCCACATGCCATCAAGTCCACAGAAGCCAGAGCTAGGCCCCAGGGTGGCCCTGACGCCCCTCATCGTGGGCAGCTCCACCCTCCAGCCCCAGCCCCCGCCACCTGCTGCACAGCCTCTCCACAGCCTCTCCTTCTCCTGCAGCCCCCGGAGGCCCCACCCCCTCCTGGGGTCCTGGGGTGGCCTCTGCCCACTATGCCTGGGGTGGGTCCTCTGCCCTCCACCCCTGTCCCCCAGGCCTCCCCACCCCCAGTGGCCCCCAAGGCGCTCCCCCTGCCCCTTCTCTCTGGCACAATCCCTGGCGAAGGCCCTGGGAGCACTCACGGCAGAGCTCAGGGCACCTCCAGTTCCGCGGCTGGCCCCCCGCGTGGGCGCACTGGCGTGAGTATTCCACAAAGGTGGCACACGGGCAGGTGGGGCAGCGGCACAGGTCCTGGGCGCAGGCGGCCAGGTACGCAGTGCTGTCCACCAGTGCGTGGCACTCCGCAAAGGCCGGCCCCAGCAGGGTGCGGTGGCAGATGCCCTCCTGGGGAGCACAGTGGGCCAGGCTGGGCACCCCTGCCATCCATGGGGGCTGCCACGGTGCTGGAATAGGACCCATGGCAGGCCAGGCCGGGAAGCCCTCTCCCTGTCGGGGTTCCTTGTACCCAGCCCCACCCCTTCCACCCACTGTGGCCATGCAGAGCTCTGCTTGGCCCTTGGGGAGTGACCCGTGACCGGGGATCCCCTACTCCGGATGTGCCTGCCCGTGGAGTAAGCGCCCAAGAAAGGTGCAGACCCCCACCCCAGGAGGCGGAGCCAAGGAGGGGAGGTGGAGGCCCCGCCTCTCTGGGCAGCCCGGCAGGTTCAGGGCAGTCCAGTGCTGAGTGTCCTCCGTCCCCAGGCCCAGGGCTGCCGGCTGCGGGGCCCAGCTCACAGGGGGGCTCATGCTGTCATTCACAGCACAACTTAAGGCTCAGAGATCCTGCTGGTTTGGGGATCCTGGAGCCTCCAGGCCCCTTCTGAGTCCACCTGCTGGTGGGAAGGGCTGGCTCCGGGCTTCCCGAGTGCCCACCCTCAGCCCAGCCTGTGCAGCATGGGCCTGTGTTTGCTCACACAGATGGGCACACGCGTGGCCTGATGAACACGCACGTCACCACACTCGGACAGTGTGTACCGTGGAACTGAGCACACAGAGGGTGGCTGCCCGGCCTCCCTCCAATGGCACCATCTCTCCACCAGCTGGGAACATTCCTCAGACCTCGGCCCAGCTCCCCCTGGACCTGGAGGCCGTCCCTGCCCAGGAGCTGGGGGTGGCGGGGGACTCACCTCGTCCGTGCAGTTGCCGGCCGGCAAGGGCAGCGGGTCCGGGCACTGCTCCGTGGGCCCATCCAACTTCTGCAGGTTCCCAAACTGGAGCGGGGTCAGCCTGGCGTCTGCCGGGAAGAAAGCAGGGGTGTGGTGGCTCTGAGGGGCTCCTGGGGACAAGATATGGGCTCCCACTTCCTGAGCCCAGGCCAGAGGACTCCCACTCCTGCCTAGGGCCCAACACCCCCGAGGGGCACTCCTCCCACCATGTAGGGCACAGTCCTCGTGGCCCCTCCCTGCCTGGTGCCCGGTCCCCACTCCGCCCCCTCCCGGCCTCCCCGGGACTGTGGCTCTTCGTTGGCCGACATAATTGGTCACCGCCCCCTCACCCAGGTGGCACTCACTGTGGGCATAGAACTCGTTGAAGGCCGGGAGGCCGTTGAAGTCCCCACACAGGCCACAGGTCTGGTTGGCGTATTTGGGATCCAGCTCCAGCTGAGAGTGGGGAGGGGCAGCTCCAGCCTCAGGACCTCTGATCCCCACACTGGCAACATGCCCCAAGCCCCGTGACCCCAAGCCCAGGGAGGCATCCCTCGACCCCCGGTGGGGGTTTTGTGGCCAGGCCTGAAGGGGCAAGGGGCGAGGGGGCTTCCTCACCAGGGCACTGTCCTCTCCGTTCCACAGGAATGTCAGCACCAGCCGGATGCTGACCTTGATGTAGTCCCCGCTCTGCTCCACCAGGAGGCCAGTGCGGCTGTAAGGCAGCTCCTCCCTGCGCAGACAGCGGGGTCTCTCCCTGGGCCCCGCTCTCCTGGCTGCCTGCCCACCCAACCCCCCCCCAGCCCTGGCCCAGGTCAGACATGGCCGTGTGGGGAGGTCACACTGTGTGGCCCGGCCCTCGCCCCTCCCCAGGGTGGCCGGCTCACCGCTGCCCATTGATGAGGACGGAGCCGTTGGACGCCTCCAGCACCAGCCCCTGGGCCTTGATGACAACACGGGTGACCACAGGCCTGGAGCCCACTAGGCCTCGGCGTAGCTGGACGTTGAAGTCCTCGTAGGCGGCGCGGCAGTGCTCAGAGAACACGTAGTTGCAAAGGCCAGGGAAGCGGAAGACGTCGCCGTCGAAGGTCTTGTAGTGGAAGTCACCCCAGGTGCTGCACACCCGCCCATTGTGCGCCGGGTTCAGGGCTGTGGGGAGCGCGGGATGAGGCCCATCCCCATGCCAGCCCCCCACGGGGTAGCCTCCCCTGGGCCGAGGCACCCTGGTTTTTGGAATGGAAAAGCCCATGGTCGGCTGCTGGCTGTGCCCTGCCTGGCTCACCCTGGACTGCGTCTGTTTTGCTCCAAGACCCCTGACCCGTCCCCATCCCCCAGGGTGGCCAGTGACCAGGAGACCGCCCACACGGAGGACTCTGGGTCTGGCCCAACGGCCCCACCTGGTGGCAGCTGCACCCCTAGATCTGGGCCCCCACCTTTGGGACTGGCAAACACCCCCTTCCCGGCTGGCAGGGGCAGCATCTGCTTACGGCTCAGGCTGGGGAAGACAGTGACGGGTGGAACAAAGCTCACGCGCCGGGTGGGCGAGGACGTCGGGGCACCTGTGGGTGAAGGCTGGTCACCCCAGGAACGTGGCCAGGAAGGGGAAGCAGAGACACCCTCCCCGGGGCCCACCCTCCTCGCCAGCCACCAGAGTTGAAGGGGAGCCCAAAACTGATGGGCTGGGGCCAAGGCAGCCCCTTTACCCTTGGCCCTGTCTGCCCCACAAACACTGCTGCCCTTGTGTTTTGGCCTGTGTGTGCACACATGTGTGTGCCAGTGTAAGTGTGGGCACGCATGTGCCTGTCCACGCGTGTGCTTCTGTGTGCATGTCTCTCTGCTCTGCACTTTCCTCTTCTTTGGAGCACCAAGCTCCGCCTCGGGTGCTGGGTATTGTCCTGGGCAGGGGACCCAGGGAGGGTCTCTGTCAGACGCATGGCTGCTTGGAGAGGCGTCTGCCTGCCCCAGCCCAAATTCCAGCCCCTCCAGCCTGGTCAGGAACCCCCCACCCCCGAACCTGGCCACATACCGCCATCCATGGTGTGCCCTGCATTCTCCCAGCTCGGCTCCACAGGGCCCTGGGTCTCTGTGGGAAGAGGGAATGGGAGTCAGTGAGGAACTAGATGTGGCTGCCAGCCACGAACCCAACCACGGACCTGGCCACATCCCTGGTGCGGCAGCCGCATGTGGGGTCCTTGGTGGCGGTCTCCATGCCCTGCAGGTTCACCCTCACGACACACTGTGGCCAAGGCCGGGACTCCTCCCCAGCCGCTCAGGCCACCCCAACCGTCAGCCGCAGATGCCTCCGCTCCTGCTCAATGCTATGGAAAGCCTGCGGGATGGAAGCTTCCAGCAGGGAGCCCTGAGCTGCCCCCAGCACGGCCTGCCCTGTCCCCGACTGACAGGCGGGGATGGTGCCTCCTTCTCAAGGGATGGGGGAGAAAATGGAATCAGGAAAAGGCGTTGGCCGCCCCAAGGGGGGATTTCGCCCCATCCCACACATCCCTTGGAGAAGGACAAAGACCAGCTTTGTTAGGAGGACACACTTGGAGCCTTCCAGGCGTGACTTAGCAGAAACCTAAACACAGAACCAGTTTCGAACTAGATCCTAAGTCAGGGCGAGTGGGGCAGGCTGGGGGCAGGACTCTGGGCCGCGCAAGCTGTGTGGCCGTTGATACTGGGATGGCCGCCCAAGGTCCCCCAGGCTGACCACCGCCTCCGGGCAAGGCCTCACCCACCAACCCCATGGAGGCTGGGAGGAGGCAGCTCCAACCCACAGGACTCTGAGGACCCCCGGCCATTGTCTGCCCAGTTTGGGTTGGGGCGCCCCCTTCACAGGACCCCAGAGCTCCTCCCTGGATCCTGATCTGAGACTCTCTGTGGGGAGGTGGGAGGTGAGGCCCCAGCCCCCACAGCATGGTCAGGGCTCAGCGAGGGGCCGGCCCTGTGGTTCGCACTCTGGCCTGGCCCTGCCTGGCTTTTCCAGCCAGGTCCTGCTGACATCTGGGAACCACCACAGGGGCCGCCTCCAGAGATCCAGGTTGACTGCCTTTCCCAGAAAGCCAGCCGATCCCTGAGTCCTCCACCCCGACCCACAGCTCACAGCCCTGCCCCTGTGTGCCAGCCCAACCAGCCACTCCCACGCCCCGGCTCCCGCCGCAGGCAGCCCCTCCCCACCCCAGCAGCCCCTCCCCAGCCCCAGGCAGCCCCTCCCTGGCCCTACAGCCCCTCCCCCGCCCCAGGCAGCTCCTCCCCTGCCCCAGACAGCCCCTCCCCAACCCAGGCAACCCCTCCCCCCCAGGCAGCCCCTCCCCTGCCCAGGCTGACTGCCCTTGGTTATCTGCTCCGTGCAGTGCCCTCCTTGGGCTGGACCACCTGGGCCTCCATCTTGTAGCCAGAGAAGTGCCCACCACCAGCCACCCCATCACTTTGGGGTGTGTCCCCTAACATGAAGCTGCTCTGTGCAGGGCTGCCTTCCCCGGCCACAGGACGTGCATCTGGTGACTAAAGCACAGTCCCTGCCAAGGGCTTGATCTCCCCAACTTGGACGTGCGTGGAGGACAGGAGGACGGGTGGGCTGAGAGTCCCTAGGCCCTGCCTGCTCAGGTGAGGGGAGCCAAGGCTGCATGGCCCGGAAGAATCAGATGCAAGGAGGTGGCTATTCTGGTCAAACCAGCCCCCAAACCTTGCAGCCAGACGCAGCTCCCCCCGGGCCCAGGCTGGGAGCCACTGGGGGAAGCCCCCTGCCTCCAGCCCTGCTGACCACCCAGCCTCCCTTCCACAGATGGAGAGAGACCCCAGGGAGCCTCACCTGCCCAGCCCAGACCCCAAGCTTGGGAGGGGGTGGAGGGCGGGGCAGGGAGGGGCTGCAGCAGCCTCATGGCCAGCCCGGCTGGGTGTCTCCCGGTGGCCCCTGGGGCTGCATCTTTCTCTATTGACAGTAAGTATTAATGCTGCGGCTCTGGCCAAGAGACAGCAGACGAGGGAAAACGCTCGGCTGAGAGCCAGGCAGCCCGTGCGGCATGAGATGCCCACAGATGGGCCGTGGGAGTCGAGCGTGGGTTGAGGCCGGGGCTCTTGCGGCTGGCTGTGCAACCCTTGAGGGTGGTACCCTCACCTGCCCTGCCAGCTGTGATCCCCAGGGAGGTCGTGAAGGGTAGAGCCGGTCCTGGACAGGGGTCCACGCTAAGCCTGCCCCTGCTCACTCTGATGCCTGGGCCTCATGGGGCTCCAGAGAGACCCCCAGCTGTGACCCCCTCCCCCATTGCCCACTCCTGTCCCACCCCCAAGACCAAGACCCTTTCGGTGGTCTCCCAGGGGCCTTGCCCTGCGGTCAGGGGCCCACCTTCTCCTGGACACCCCATCCAAGCCAGCCCCTGAGTTTCCTGACACTGTGAGCCCGTGGGGCCCCAGAGCCCTGTGTTGGGGACGGGTAGGGTCCCATCCAGGACACTCAGGGAGTCGTAGGGGGATCTGCCCGTGCACTCTGCAGGAGAAGCTCCCAGGCAAGCGACCTGCAGAGACCCCCGCCGTGAAGACAGCATCGAGAGGGGGCGGAGTGGGGGGCTCTTACCTGCCTGCGGCACCACGAGCATGGCCGCCAGAGCCAACACCAGCGTCCGGCACGCGCTCGGGGCACCCATCCTGGGGGCTGGCACGGGTGGGGGGACGGGGACGGGCAGGGAGGGAGCCGGGCCGGGTGCTTGCTCCCCTGGGGGCCCCAGCTTATGTAGCAGGGAGCCTTGGCCCCAAGCCAGGCCAGGCCACGCAGGGCACCATGCTCTTCCCCGCTCCAGCCACGTGTGTTTGCTCTCGGGGAGGGGCTGTGGCAGGGGAGAGGCCTGGATCAGGAAGGATTTGCAGCTCTGTGCCCTGAGGCCCAGGACGCCCCCACCCCCAGCAGCTTCTGAGAATCGGAAGGGAGAGAAGGGCCTACCCCACCTGGCACCCGTCCTAGATGGCAAAGCCGCTGGAAGGCAGGGCTGGCCTTGGACGCAGGGTCCATGGAAACAGTGGTCAGCCAGCCTGCCTCACACTCAGCCCCACTGCGGCTCCTGCTGGAAGGGAATCCCAGCCTCTGGGCAGCACCCCCAGCCACTGACCATGGGTCCCCGAGGCCCGGGGAGGGCCCACGAGGCTGGAGCTCCCCTCCCACCACTGCTTAGCCCACGGGGAGGCCGGGAGGCTCCTGCTGAGCTCAGGCATGCACATGGCCAGGATGCTCAGTCTGGGTGGCTTGTGGGGGTCCCTGGAGGAGGCTCTATTTCCAGAGACCCCAGCCCAGCTGACCAGAGCCCCTTGAAGACCGTGGGAGGTCTCTGGGCTGATCTGTTTCAAGGTTCACATTCAAGGGGAAACTGAGGCCCAGAGTGTCTCCTGGCCATGCACATCGGGAGTCAGCTGCGCTTGTCCAATGCCAGCCCTGATCCAGCCAGGCCAGAGGCTCCGGCCCTGAGTCCCATTTGGCCTCCACCTCACTCTGGGGCCTCCTCATTAACCCTGGCAGGGTTGAGGAAGCAGCTGCTCCGGGGGGTCCTGGACCTGCCCGGGGTCCTCCGCCTGCCCCAGGTGGGAGCCGCAGAAGCCTAGCACCTCCGGCTGGTGTCGGGTGGGCTTCCTGGGGGCTATGTGGTAAACCTCCTTGACGAGCGTCATCTACAGGACAGACAGCGTCATCTGCAGGACACTCCGTCCGCGCTGCAATACCTCTTGCAAACACCTCCTGCCCGTGTGACCTGCACCTCAGATGCTCCCACCTCCTGGCTCCCTGGTCACCAGCGTCCTGAATGCTCCGTGGCGCAGACGCCAGGCAGGAAGCACCAGGTCGGGTGGTGTGGCCTCGTCCGGCCCCATGGGGACCCTAGGGTGGTGTCCAGGTCTGTTGTTTTATTTACGTCACAGTCCCCGTCACGGGCCCTGCACCAGCTCCCCCGCGTTTGTCTTTCTGAAGTTAAATTCTTAGAGGTGGGATTTCTGGGACAAGACGAAAGCCCATCTTCAAAGCTTCTGACCTGTCTCACGCTCAATAGGATGGCGGGGATCAAGAAACACAGGAAGTAGGAAGTGTTGGCAGAGACGTGGGGACCCGGAGCCCTGTGCCCTGCTGGTGGGGGTGACCAGCAACTCCACTCTGGGTCTGTCCCCAGAAGAACTGAAGGCGGGTCCTGAGGGACATTTGCACACCCATGTCCACAGCAGCATCACTGACAAAGGGCAGAAGCTGCCCATGTGTCCCTGGGCGGAGGACTGGGTCAGCATCGTGAGGCTGATCCGTGCGGTGGAATACGGTTCAGCCGTGAAAAGGAGAGGCTGGCCCAGGCTGCTCCATGGGGGAAGCTGGGGACACTGTGCAGAGTGAGGCAGGTGGACACAGAGGACAAAGGCAGGAGGGGCCACTCGTGTGCTGCCCCTGGAGTCATGAAACCCGCAGAGACGGAGTGTGGACGGTGGGCGCCAGGGGCTGGCAGAGGGGATGGTGAGCTGGTGTTGCATGGGGACAGGGTTTCAGCTTGGGAATGTGAGAACGTTCTGGAGATGGAGGGCGGAGACAGCTGCACAGCGACGTGAACGGAGCTGGCCCGTTTTGCCACCTGTCACCC
Organism: Homo sapiens; assembly: GCF_000001405.40. Lineage (NCBI taxonomy): Eukaryota > Metazoa > Chordata > Mammalia > Primates > Hominidae > Homo > Homo sapiens. The sequence continues at coordinate 1,221,167 of NC_000011.10, read as the reverse complement.
CTCATGGCTGAGGCCCCCAGGTGGCTCCTCAGAGCGCGAGGGCTGTGGTGGAGGCTGGAACCCGCCTTCTCCCTTTGTTCTTTGTGACGGTTTCTTTAACTCAGGGCACACCTCGGGCTTCTGCCTGGCCCTGTACCTGGGTGGGGGCAGGGGGTCTCCCAGATCTCAGCGTAGCTCCCCGCTCACTTCCGGGACTCCAGAGCCTGTGCTCCCCCCACCCACCCCACCGACGTCACTTCCAAAGCTGAAGGTTCCGAGGTCTCTGGGGTCTCCAAGCTCTCTTTCACATCCAGGCCGGTAGACCCGCTGCAGCACGGCACGGTGGGAGGGGTGGGCGGGGATGCCTGGGCCAGTGGGCCTTGAGGATGGTCTGGAGGGTGGGCCAGAGTCCCCACCCCTGGGCTCGTGGCTGTGACTGCACCCAGGCCCCAGCCAGACCCCTCTCCCCGGCCTTCCTGCCTGCTCCAGGCCAGGCTGGGCAAATGGGGGGCTACCGGCCGCTGTGGCGCCTCGTTCCTCGCACTGGCAGGAGGGGTGTGCCTGCTGCCCGGGCCTCTGCTGCAGACGTCCCCCCGACGCACCCGCCCAGGTCTCCCACCTTAGCCAAGCCCTCGTGACATCCCCCCTCCCTGCCCGCGGCTCCAGCTCACAAGCCGATGCCCACCTGGGTGCTGGGGCCAAGCCTAGTGTCTCCCCTGCTGGCCCCCACTGCCTGTCCCCTGCCCTCCCTGACCACGGCCGGTGCCCGCGGCCTTCATGGGGGCTGGCGGCCCACTGGGGAGCAGCCCCCTCACCCCCAGCTCGAGTGGGCCGGGCACCTCTGCATCAGCGAGATAGCGTTTTCTCCATGGCAGAGCTGGGACCCTCAGGCAGCTCCTCTGTCCCCGCTCAGTGCCTGTGGTCCAACCCTCCCCGCCTCCACCCTGGAACAGCCTCGCCCGCCAGTGGCCGCTGGCACACAGTGACACCAAACAAGTGGGGGCCCCGACTTTGCCCTCGTCCCTCCCACTAGGCACCTCCCCGGGCAGAGGGCCCATTGGGAACTGGGCTGGGTCCGGGGCAGGGGTCCGAGGTGGACGTCAAGGCCACAGCTATTGAGACATCCCGGATGCGGCCCTGGGAGTCGGGCCTGTTTGCTCAGCGTGTTTGAAGAGTTCACCTCTTCACAGTTGAAGGCGCTGAAAACAGAAGATAAAGGAAGGAAAGGGACACAGCCGGTTCCTGCCGGGAAGGGGGGCCAGGCACAGCCTCCTGGAGCGCAGAGGAGCCTCCCACCTCGGACGTGCCAGGAACTTGCCCTGCGGCTCTGACGGAGTCTGAGCCAGGCCCAGCCCTGGGTGGGTCACTGTCCCTCATTCTGGCCAGGGGGCAGTGGAGACAAAGGGGCGGCCTAGACCACACAGAACCCGAGGGGGGTTAATCCTGCCATGAATGGGGACCCGTCCAGGACCCCACAGACCCCTTCAGAGGCCGTCCAGGCACCAGTGATCAGGGCCACCATCTGCTGTCACCAGCTGCCCCAAGCCCAGCCCCTCAGCCCTGGGGGACACCTGGAGGGCTTGGCCACCGCAAAGAGTCGTCACTGGGGCTGGGGTCCCCACGTGGCTCAGCCCTCCCCTCCCCCGACCACAGCGGTGCAGGTTTGAGCCAGGCCCCAGTGTCCATCAGCCACCAGGCACTGAGCCGGGCCCCAGGGTCCATCAGCTCCCAGGCACTGAGCTGGGCCCCAGCTCCACGCTGGACACCTGGGGTGTCAGGCACAGCCCAGGGGGTCACAAAGCAGGGATGGGCTCTTGGTCTGCTCAGAGCCAGGCCCCAGGATGTGTACTCAGAGCCAGGCCCCAGGCTGTGCTGGGGATAGGGAGTGGTAGCTGTGTGGGACCCTCCACCTCGGCAGCCTCCTGCTCCCTGGCACGGGGGCCCCCCAACTCCTGGGGTGGAGGCCTTACCAGGCCAGACGCACGCTCCTGGGGGCTCACCTGCTGATGGGCCGAGGGTCCCATCGTGTGACCAAGCGGGACAGGTCCAGGGCTGGGTGGGCCCAGCAGGAAGGTGTTCCAGGCCTCGGGGACCTGGGCAGGTGACGGGCTGCTTGCTCCTGGGTGTTGGGATGGCCAGGCCCCTGTCCCCTGGCCCAGTACACCTGGGGAGATGTCCAGCAAGGCCCGGGGGTCTCAGAGCCAGTGCCTGGTGTTCAGAAGTAGCAGGTGGGGGCATGTTGAGTCTTCACAGCCCTTAGACCCTGGCCCACTGAGCGACAGGCACAACCAGGGGTACCGAATCACCCGGCAGGAAGTGAAGCTGCAGGATGGCAGGTCACCTTCCACCTGGGCGTCCCGGTGCCCTGGGCTGCCCCTGCTCTGAGGATGCCCTGCACAGGGGCTGCAAGACAAGGAGAACCCCCCGGGGCGGCCCCTGCCCTGTGTGAAGGTCTCAGCCCCCGCCACGACCTGTCTCTGGTTTCTCCTGGTCTTTGCACAGACCCCCTTCTCTGCCTGTCTCCCCACCCGATTCCTTCCTGCCAGTTCCAAGGAGCCCCAACTGGGTCCTGGTGCTGCCATGGGCAGTGGGATTTGACAAAGACTAGAACAGAATCCCCCCTACTTCGAGGCTTCCAGTAGCATGGACTTTGCAGCAGCAGCACCAGCTTCCAAGGAACAAAAGAGGATGGTCCTCTGGGTGGGGTGGGAGGATGACGGTTGAGCTGTAAACCAGGGAACAGCAGGTGCAGAGACGCCGAGGCGGGGATGAACTCGGCGACCTGGAGGGTCCAAATGCACCTGGTGTGGCTGGGGCTGGGGCACAGGGGGCTGAGGGGAGCCAGAAGTGAGGGCAGGGTCAGGTGTGGGGAGGAGCCCGGGGGAGTGGGGCGAATTGATCCGATCATTTAAAGCAGGAAAACTATAGGGCATTTTTTCTAAAACAGTGGTGAAGTGTATGTGACATAACATTGATCATTTTAGTCTTGTTTGTTTGTTTGTTTGTTTTTGTAGAGACGAGGTCTCACTCTGTTGCCCAGGCTGTCATGAACTCCCAGCCTCAAGCGATCCTCCCACCTCAGCCTCCCAAAGTGCTGGGATGAGAGGAGTCAGCCACCACACCGCCCAATTTGCAATTTTTTTTTTTTTTTTTTTGAGATGGAGTCTTGTTCTGTCGCCAGGCTGGAGTGCAGTGGCTCGATCTCAGCTCACTGCAACCTCTGCTCCCTCAGTTCAAGCGAGTCTCCTGCCTCAGCCTCCCAAGTAGCTGGGACTACAGGTGTGCACCACCACGCCCAGCTAATTTTTGTATTTTTAGTAGAGACGGGGTTTCACCATGTTGGCCAGGATGGTCCCAATCTCTTGACCTCGTGATCCGCCTGCCTCAGCCTCCCAAAGTGCTGGGATGACAGGAGTGAGCCACCGCGCCACCCATTTTGCCATTTTTAAATTAATATAGGAGCATTAAGTCCACTTACACTGTTGTCCGACCATCCCCAGAGCTTTCCCATCGCCCTGCACTGAAACTCCGTCCCCATGAAACACCAGCTCCCACTCCCCTCCCCGAGCCCCACGCATCCACCAACCTCAACTCTCTCCGTAAGTTTGGTCCTCTAGAGGACCTCGTATAAATGGACTCATACAATACCCATTCTGATGTGACTGGCTTGTTTCACGGAGCACCATGTCCTCAAGTTTCGTCCGTGTTGTTGCCTATGTCTGGGTCTCCTTCCTTGTTTAAGGCAGAGTCATTTTCCACTGCGTGGATGGGCCCCGCTGGGTTCATCAATTCGCCCGTCGGTGGACCCTCGGGCTGCTTCTGCCTTTTGGTTTTGTGAATGAGGCTGCGATGGACATCGCAATGTGCCCAGGAATCTGAGTCCCTGTTTCCAGTTCCTCAGCTAGGAGTCCCTCTGGCTGGGAGCAGAATGGCTGGGTCACACGGTAAGTCTATGTTTGGCTTTCTGAGCAGCTGCTAGACTGCTCCACAGCGGCTGTGCCGTTTTATGCTCCCGCCAGCCATGCACGGCGGTTCCAATTTCTCTATATCTTCACCAACACTTGTTATCTTTAAAAAAAAAAATCACCACGTGATATTTCCCTGTGGTCTGGACTTGCATTTCCCTAATAGTGATGTCGAGTGTCTTTGTATGTGCTCATGGGCCATTCACACATTTCCTTTGGAAAAATGTCCATTCAGGCCAGGCGCAGTGGCTCATGCCTGTCATCCCAACACTTTGGGAGGCCGAGGCGGGTGGATTACTTGAGGTCAGGAGTTCGAGACCAGCCTGGTCAACATGGTGAAACCCCATCTCTACTAAAAATATAAAAATTAGCCAGGCGTAGTGATGAGCACCTGTAATCCCACCTACTCGGGAGGCTGAGGCAGGAGAATCTCTTGAACGCAGGAGGCGGAGGTTGCAGTGAGCCGAGATAGTGCCATTGCACTCCAGCCTGGGTGACAGAGAGAGACTCCATCTCAAAATGAAAGAAAGAAAGAAAGAAAGAAAGAGAGAGAGAGAGACAGAAGGAAGGAAGGAAGGAGAAAGAAGGAAGGAAGGTAAAGAAAGAAAGAGAGAGAAAGAAAGAAAAGAAAGAAAGAAAGGAAAGAAAGAGAAAGAAAAGAAAAAAGAAAAATGTCCATTCATGTCCTTTGTCAATTTTTTAGTTGGGTCTGTTGGGTTTTCTTGTTGTTGCTACATTTTAGGAGTTCTTTATATGTTCTAGATATTGATTCTTTATCAGGTATATTATTGGCAAATATTTTCTCCTGGGCTTATCTTTTCCCTCTCTTTTGATGCACAAGAGGTTTTAATTTTGATGAAGTCTTATTTATCTATTTTATTGCCTGTGCTTTTGCTGCATGTTCAAGAAATCCTTGCCAAATTCAATGTCATAAGATTTTCTCCTATGTTTTCTTCTAAGGGTTTTATAATTTTAGCTCGTATGTTCAGGTGTTTGATCTATTTCAAGGATTTTGAAAAATCTGTCATAAGGTAAGTGTTCAATTGCACTCTTTTGCATGTGGATATACAGTTTTCCCAGAGCCATTTGTCAAAAAGATTGCCCTTTCTCCATTAAGTGGTTTTGGCACACAAGTTGAAAATCAACTGACCAGGCCAGGCATGGTGGCTCACGTCCGTCATCCCAGGGCCAGGCACGGCGGCTCACGCCTGTCATCCCAGCACTTTGGGAGGCTGAGGCCAGTGGATCACCTGAGCTCAGGAGTTCGAGACCACCCTAGGCAACATGGTGAAACCCTGTCTCTACTAAAATACAAAAAATTAGCCACGTGTGGTGGCAGGTGCCTGTAATCCCAATTACTCAGGAGGCTGAGGCACGAGAATCACTTGAGCCTGGGAGGTGGAGGTTGCAGTGAACCAAGATTGTGCCACTGCACTCCAGCCTGGACAACTGAGCAAAACTCTGTCTCCAAAAAAAAAAAAAAAAATTCAATTGATCATATATGCCAAGGTTTATTCCTGGCTCTCTGTTCCAGTCCATTGCTCCATATATCTGTCCTTATGCCAGTACAGCAACTTGATGACTGCAGTGTTGTCATGCATTTTAAAAATAAGAAGTATGAGTCCTCCAATTTTGTTCGTTTGAAAGACTATTTTGGCTATTCAGGGTCCCTTGAGATTCTATACAAAGTTTAGCATGGATTTTCCTATTTCTACAAAAGTACCGTGAGAATTTTGATAAGGATTGCATGGAATCTGTATTACCTTTGGGTAGTATTGTTACCTTATCAATATTGTCTTCAAACCCATGAACACAGGATGTCTTTCCACTTTATGTCTTTAAATATTTTTTTCAACAATGTTCTGTAGTTTTCAGTGTACAGATGTTTTGCCTCTTCGGTTATGTTTATTTCCTAAGCATTTTATTCTTTTGGATGCTATGTAAATGGAATTGTTTTCTTAATATCCTTTTCCCATTGTTCATGGCTAGTGTGTATTGCTGAATGCTTTAATCAGCTTCAGTAGTACTGGGGTGGAATTTTGGGGGATTTCTATATATAATAGCATGTCATCTGTGAACATAGTAATGTTACATCGTCCTTACCAATTTTCGTTTCTGTTATTTCTCGTTCTTGCCTTATTGCTCTGGTTAGAACTTCGAACCCTATGTTGAATACAAATGGTGAATACAAGCCTTGTTGTCTTTTTCCCAATTTTAGAGGAAAAGGTTTCAGTCTTTCATCACTGAATATGAGGTTGGCTGTGGGCTTTTTACATATGGCCCTTATCATGTTGAAGTAGTTTCCTCCTATTTCTAGTTGGTTGTTTTGTTTTGTTTTTGTTTATTTTTAACCATGAAATGGTGTTGAATTTTGGCAAATGCTTCTTCTGCATCCATTGAAATGGTCATGGATTTTTTTTTTCCTGCTTCATTCTATTAATGTGGTGTGTTTAAATGGTTGATTTTCATATCTTGAACCACGCTTGCAGCCCAGGAAGAAAACCCATTTGATCATGGTGTAGAATCCCTTTAGGAAGCTGCTGAGTTCAGTTTGCTAGTATTTTGTGGAGGATTTTTTTCATCAATATTTTTAAAGGATATTGGTCTTTAGTTTTCTTGACTTGTTTTGTCTTTGTCTCCTTGGTTGTCAGTGTAATGCTAGCTTCATAGAATGAGTTAGGAAGTTGATATGGGTGCCGTTCTCAGGACAGTGAATAAGTCTCAAGAGATCTGGTGGTTTTATAAAGGGCAGTTCCCCTGCACACACTCTCTCCCCTGCTGCCATATAAGATGTGCCTTTGCTCCTTCTTTGCCTTCCACCATGATTGTGAGGCCTCCCCAGCCATGTGGAACTGTGAGTCCATTAAACCTCTTTTTCTTTATACATTACTCAGTCATGGGTATTTCTTTAGCAGGATGAAAATGGACTAATACAGAACGGTTGCCCTTTTTTTCCAATCTTTTGGAAGAATTTGATACATATTGGTGTTAATTCTTCTTTAAATGCCTGTTAGAATTAACCAGTAAAGCCATCAGGCCCTGTGATTTTCTTTATATAGGAGGGTTTTGATTACTGACTTAATCTCCTTTTCTACATCTACTCAGTTTGCCTATTTCTTCATGAGGCAGTTTTGCTACATAGAGTGCTTTTGAGGAATTTGCCTGTTTCTTCTAAGTTATCAAATTTGTTGGCAGACAATTGTTCATAGCATTCTCTTATAATTGTTTTTGTTCCTGTAAAATTTTTAGTAATATCCTTTTTATTTCTGATTTTAGTAATTTGAATCTTCTCTTTTTTCTTAGCCAATCTAGCTAAAAGTTTGTCAATTTGGTTGATCTTTTTAAAGAACCAACTTTTGGTTTCATTGAAGGCTTTTTTTCCTATGATTTTTTAAAATTCCTTGTTTTATTTATTTCTATTGTAACCTTTATTATGTCCTCCCTTTTGGTAGCTTTGGGTTTAGTTTTCTCTTCTTTTTCTAGTTCCTTAAGGTATACAATTAGGTTATTGATTTAAGATATTTCTTCTTTTTTGATTTAGTTGTTTCTAGCTATACATTTCCCTCTCATTACTACCTTTGTGTGTCTTATAAGTTTGGATACATTGTGGTTTTGTTTTCATTCAAGCTTTAAGAATGCCTAATATCTTTGGTGATTTCTTCTTTGACCTGTTTGTTATTTAAAGGTGTGATATTCAATTTCCTCATATTTGTACATTTTAGTTTTTCTTTTATTATTGATTTTTAGCTTCATTCCTTTGTAGAATACTTTGTGTGATTTCAATCTTTGAAAGTTTATTAAGACTTGTTTTGGATCCTATCATATAGTTTCTCCTGGAGAATATTTCATGTGCACTTGGAAAAAAATGTGTCTTCTGCTGTTGGTAGGTGAAGTGTTCTGTGCATGTACATTATGTCTAATTGGTCTATAGTGTTGTTCAAGTCCTCTGTTTCCTTATTGATCTGTCTGGTTGTTGTATTGATTATTGAAAGTGTGGTACTGAAGTCTTCAGCTATTGTTATAGAACTATTTATTTCTCCCTTCATTCTGACAATGTTTGCTTCATATACCTGGAGGCTCTGTTGTTTGGTTCATATATATTTATAGTTGTTATATCTTCTTGTTGAATTGACTTTTTTTTTTTTTTGAGACAGAGTCTCACTCTGTTGCCCAGGCTGGAGTGCAGTGGCATAATCTTGGTTCACTACAATCTCTGCCTCCCACGTTTACGCCATTCTCCTGCCTCAGCCTCCCAAGTAGCTGGGACTACAGGCACCCACCACCATGCCCGGCTAATTTTTTGTATTTTTAGTAGAGATGGGGTTTCACCATGTTAGCCAGGATGGTCTCAATCTCCTGACCTCATGATCCGCCTGCCTTGGCCTCCCAAAGTGCTGGAATTACAGGCGTGAGCCACCATGCCCAGCCAATCATGGTTTTTTAAAAATTGATTTTAACCAGTCTCTGCATTTTAAATGGAGAGTCTAAGTCTATTTGCATTTAAAGTAATTACTAATAAGGATGTACTTACCACTGCCATTTTACTATTTTTTTGTATGTCTTCTAATTTTTTGTTCCTCATTGTCTCCATCACTGCCTTCTTTTGTCTTCAGTTGATTTTTTGAAGTGACAAATTTTTATTCCCTTCTCATTTCTTTTTGTGTATATTCTATAGCATTTTCTTTGTGGTTACCCTCGGGATGACATATAACATCCTAAAGTTATAACAGTCTAGTTTGAATTGATACCAACATAACTTTAATTGCACACAAAACCCTCCTTCTACACAGCTCCACCCCCTCCCTTTATTTCATTGATGTCACAAATTACATCTTTATACCTTGTGTATTCAATAACATAGATTTATAGTTATTTTTATGCATTTGCCTTTTATATCCTGTAGAAAAGAAGAAGTGGATTAAAATCAAATTTACAGTAATACTGGATTTTTATATTTGGCCATGTATGTAGTTTCAGTGAAGATCTATTTCTTTTTACAGCTTTGAGTTACTGTCTAGTGTCCTTTTATTTCAGCCTGAAGGACTTTGTGTAGCATTTCTTGCAGGGCTTGGCTAGTGGCAACAAATCCCTTACCTTTTGTTTATCTGGTAATGTCCTAATTTCACCCTAAGTTTTGAAGGACAGTTTTGCCAGATATAGAATTCTTGGTTGACAGTGTTGTTGTTTTTTAATTTCAGCACTTTAAATGTTATCATCCACTACCTTGCTGGCCTTTAAGGTTTCTGATGGTAAATATGCTGCCAATCTTACTGAAGATCCCTTAAATACGACAAGTCACGTCTCTTCTTGCTTTTGAGATTCTTTCTTTGCTTTTATCCTTCAACTGTTTGATTATAATGTGTCTCAGTGTGGATCTCTTTGAGTTTATCCTACTTGGAGTTTCTTGAACTCCCTGGATTTGTAGATTCATGTTTTTCATCAATTTTAGAAAGCTTTTGGCCATTTTTGTTCCTTTGAATTTTTTTGAGTTTCTTTGAATAATTTCTCCCTTTCTCTCCTCCTGTAAGACCCACTTGGTGGTCAACAAGCACCTCAGATTCTATTCACTTTTCTTCAATCTTTTTTTCTTTCTGCTCCTCAGACTTGATCATTTCAATTGCCTTGTCTTCAAGTTTGGCTGAGCCTTTCTTATAACTGCTCAAATATGCTGTTGAACCCCTCTAGTGATTTTTTTTCATTTCAGTTATTATAATTTCCAAGTACAGAATATCTGTTTGGTTCTTTTTAAAAAGATTTCTGTCTCTTTGTGGGTATTCTCATTTTGTACGTGCATTGTCTTACTGACCTCCTTTGGTTCTTTGTCCGTCTTTTGCTTTAGTTCTTTGAGCAACTTAAGACAGTTGCTTTAAAATCACTGGCTAGTAAGACTGATGTCTGAATTTACTCAGGGATAACTTCTCCCAGTTTATTTTGTTCCTCTGGATGGGCTATATTGTTTCTTTGTAAGTCTTGTGATTTTTTTGTTGAAAATTGGGGATTTAACTATTATAATGTGGTAACTCTGGAAATCAGATTTCCCCCTTTTTCTAGTGTTGGCTGGGTTTTTCTCTTCTTTTTTATTATTGAAGGCTACAGTGATCCATTCGAGATGTTTTTAAGTGAACTTTGCAAAGGCTGTTTCTTGGTGTGTTTTTTTTTTCTTGACAGAGTCTTGTTCTGTTGCCCAGGCTGGAGTGCAATGGCACGCTCACTGCAACCTCTGCCTCCTGGGTTCAAGCAATTCTCCTGCCTCAGCCTTCCAAGTATCTGGGATTACAGGCACCCACCACTACACCTGACTAATTTTTTGTATTTTTAGTAGAGACTGGTTTTGCTATATTGGTCAGGCTGGTCTTGAGCTCCTGACCTCAGGTGATCTGCCCTCCTCGGCATCCCACAGTGCTGGGACTACAGGCGTGAGCCACCACACCTGGCTGCCAAAGACTATTTCTTGTCATGTGTGATCATGAAGTCTGTGTTCCTTTAGCTCATGTTCAACTGATGTTTTGACAGAGATTTCCTTGAATGCCGGGAGCTCTCCCAGTTTTTAGAGAGAAAGACTAAGAAAAGTGGGAGGAATTAGACTCATTAATGGATATTGACACTAGTTAACACACAGCAGCTAGGGAGGAATAGAATAATTATGTGGTCCTGAAGCACCTCCCACAAGAGACTCCTTAGCTCCAGGGGAGGAGATGGCAACTTTCTGCTGAGACCAACTTGGTCGGGGAGATCCTAACCCAGTGGCACTAGAGGAATTAAAGACACACACAGAAATATAGAGATGTGGAGTGGGAAATCAGGGGTCTCACAGCCTCCAGAGCTGAGAGCCTCGAACACAGATTTACCCACGTATGTATTAACAGCAAGCCAGTGATAAGCATTGTTTCTATAGATTATAGATTAACTAAAAGTATTCCTTATGGGAAATGAAAGGATGGGCTGAAATAAAGCGATGGGTTTGGCTAGTTATCTGCAGCAGGAGCATGTCCTTAAGGCTCAGATCACTCATGCTATTGTTTGTGGCTTAGGAACGCCTTTAAGCGGTTTTCCACCCTGGGTGGGCCAGGTGTTCCTTGCCCTCATTCCAGTAAACCCACAACCTTCAGCGTAGGCGTCATGGCCATCATGAACATGTCACAGTGCTGCAGAGATTTTGTTTATGGCCAGTTTTGGGGCCAGTTTATGGGCAGATTTTGGGGGGCCTGTTCCCAACAACTTTCCAGTGGAGAAAACCGGCAGACACCCCTGAACCAAGTGATGAAGGCTGGCGTCCCAGTGCTGGGTCCAATCGACATCACATCCTCTGGAGACACGCACAGCTTCCCCGTGGTGACCCTGCCAGGGTACAGCCCAGCTGGAGCACAAGCAAACCTCAGACAGACTTAGGGGTGCCACGCAACATAACCAGCCTACTCTCCTCAAAAGACCACGGTCAAGAAACAGAAAAGCTGAGGACAGATTCCAGATACAAGGAGACTGAAGAGCTGGCAGTGGTGGGACAGGTGGTCCTACGCCAAACCCTGGGGTGGGAAAGATGAAAGCTGTGATGGACGCGGGCAGGACAGCAGAGGGGTCTGCCTCTGGGCTGTGATGTCACGTCACCGACCCGTCTGGGTGTGACCCCTGCTGTTTCTAGGCGACACGTCTGCGTATATAAGGGTGAAGGGACATGCTTCTCAAACACCAGAGGTTCAGAAAAATATGTAGCTACAGACAGCAAATAGCACAAGTCCCTGGAACAAAACACAAGCCCCAGAGCCTGAGGAAGGGCATGGAGGAGGTCTCTGTTCCACTCATTCAACTTACCTGCAAGTTCAGAACCACAGCGAAGGAGGACTTTCCCCAGAGGCATGATGCCACCAGAATGCATCCCCTGCAGTAGCCCAGTGGGGCCTGGATGCAGGGGTGCAGTAGTGAAGGGGGACAAAAGGGAAAAGGGAGAAGTGGAGGGGACACGTGTGGAAGGAGGAGGAGGGGGACATGGCAGAGACAGCCTGAGCAGGCAACAGGGATGCAAGGGGCTGGCGTGCCATGGCCAGGTGCTGAGGCCGGTGTCGGGGCTGTCCTGGCCCTGGCACCGTGGATGCTTAGTGGCTCCCCAGCCCTGAGAGTCTCCTGGGGAAGCAGCACCCCCATGCAGGGCCAGAGTCTTGGGGTGCCTCACAGTGGCGGGCAGGCATGACCTCAGTGTGGCGGGCAGGCGTGACCTCAGTGTGGCGGGCAGACGTGACCTCAGTGTGGCGGGCAGGCGTGACCTCAGTGTGGCGGGCAGGCGTGACCTCAGTGTGGCGGGCAGGTGAGGATGCGGGCAGAGTGTGGACAGAGGACAAGGCCGAGGCAGGCCCCTTGGCCGCATTTGCTCAGGATTAAGACAACTCGAGTCAGAGCAAACAGGAGTGGGGCGCACGTTGTCCAGTTCCCTGCCAAGTGTCAGCGGCAAACAGGCCCTCCCTTCCCTCCAGGAACCCCGATGTTGACTTAGCGCCTGCGAGGCTGGCAGAGGGGCCAACGTGGCCCCGTGTGGCTGAGGCCACCTTCCCCAGTGGCCCGGTGCTGGGTTAGGCACCTGATACCAAGGCCAGCACCCACACCCAAGCCCTACAGGCTCCTGCTACCGCCGGCTCCTGCCCCACCTGGCCCCAGGGCCCCTGCAAGAACTGGGAAAGGGAGATCCAGGCCCAGCCCAAGGGACCCACCACAGTCCTGACTCCCGCGCCGTGATGGGGCAGGCCGAGCAGCAGAGGGGCAGCCCACTTGCAGGGCCCGACCCTCACGGGACACAGGCCCAGGCGTGATCCCCGCCCCTTTCACCTTTGGGCCCGGCCGCCCTGTCTGTGCACTCAGCCTCACCAGGGCCCTGCCTGCCCCACATCTGGGATGAGGCTGACGTTCTGAAAGCCTGTGTGGTCTGAGCAGATGGCGGCGAATGCGCCCACACCCCTGTGGGGTACAGAGTCAGAGCTGCTCCAAGGGCAGTGGTGAGTGAACTCTGAACTCTGACCTACGACCCCATTCAGAGGTCACGGTGGTCAGAACAGCTCAAGGGGCACAATGAGGACTTGTTTGTAGGGAAAAGGTTGGCGACCAGACCAAGGCCTCACGCCCAGTTCTACCCAGCCGCGGGGACATGAGGGGCAGCCTCGCCCATGGCCGGCCTGAGGCTTTGGCAGAGTTTGGTCGAGAGCTGCTGCCAGGCCCCTTTCTCAGAACTTAAGGTCACTCAGCACCGACCCTTTATCGCCCAGGAGGATGGTGGGACTGGCCTGGGGTCAGCAGGGGCCCTGCCCTGGCGTTGCTGAGCCTCTGGACGGACGGGCTTCTGCCCAGCTGAGCAGCCCCACGCTCTGCTTCCAGGGAAGGGGAGCAAAGCCCCAGGGCCAGCTCTTAGCAGGGCTGAAGAGGCATTTCCAAGCCTCTGTGTATCCACGTCCGTCTGCCTGCATGTTCGCCCGGGGCCTTGCAGCTCTGTCCATGCAGCACACACGTAGGCAAACAGGAGCCACCGCCCACGATTCTCCAGAGGCAGAGTCTGCAAACCAGCTCGGCCGGCGCTGCTGTGGAGACCCAAGTGAGGGGGGGACGTGGCCCCGGGGACAGCTGAGACGCCCCGGGAGAGGAGGCTGGTCTCAGTGGAGCTACCGGTGGCTTCCTGAGCTGCGCACAGGCGCACGGGTCCACGGCAGGTGGGGTCGGGTGCCGGGAGCAAGGCCATAGTGCCTCTTGGCTCTGGGGACCTAAGGCACATCCTACCACCAGGGTGTGGCCTGGTGACCTCCCTGCCCCCAGGGGCTTCTTCCTGAACCCTGTGAGCTGGAGCCAGCCTGCCAGGGCCCCTCCCAGCAGGACGTGGATTCTCAGTTTTCACTAAATTCTGAACCATCCTTTCGTGGGAGGGTAGAAGCTTGAGAGCCATCGGCCGGGGACATCAGCTTGGGGGCCCTTCCCTGGCACCCTCCTGCCAGCCCCCGCCCAGGCATCTGAGGCCTCCAGGGTGGGTGCTGGGCGAGGCAGCCTGAGCCCCCGGGGCCTGCAGGGGTGGTGCATCAGGGCTGATCTCCCTCTGGGTGGGACAGTCAGAGGAGCAGCCCCCCAACCCTGCCCGGGTGGGAATGAGCCTCTGGCTCAGCCCAGCCAGAGAGGAGCAGTGGGACGCTGGCCTGGGATGGGTCTGGATGGTTTGGGGTTCAGGACCTCTGCCTCTGGTTTGGTAAGCACCGCTCTCAGGGCCCCTGCAGGGTCTGGGACTAGGGTGGCACGTGGTGGGTCGTGAGCAGGGCGAGCTCCCGGAGGTGACAGAGCTGCCTCCACCATTGACAGGGGCCCAGCCAGCGGCCTCTGAGTCTCGCAGGCCCCACAGCTCAGGTGGCCCAGTCTTCATTGTCTACCTTCACCTGGTGAGGGTGGGGCCAGCACAGAAGCCCTCACCCCACAGTCCCAGCTAAGGCACCAAGGCTGGGGGACCCCAGGGGTGGGCTCCGAGGGCTGAGGAGCCCCCCATTTGGAGAAGTGGGCGGGCCGGGCAGGGATGGTTGTGCGAGGCAGGGAGTGGGGTGAGATTGCGGTGAGGGGTGCACGTCGCCTTCGGATAAACAGTCAGTCCGGACGACGATGGCGGGTGAGAGCAGAGAGTGCGGCGCCAGCACGTCCTTCCCGCTGGGCCTGTGTCGGGGCCGCCGGACGCACTGCGGCCTCCCAGCCACATAGTCCTGCCTGCAGGCGCCTTCTTTCTGACCTGAACTTGCTGCTCTCCATGTCCTCCGGGCCGCTGTGTCTACGCCTCCCAGAACCTCAGTCATAAAAATGTCTTTCTCCAGCGCCCAGGATGCACATACTTTGTCACCGTCACCCTCTGGGGTTTTATTTTTTATTCTATTCTGTAAAAATACAGCAGCCTGTGTGTGACCTCCAGGTGGGTTTTATGAGCATTGAGAAAGCCCCAGGGTGAGTGAGAAGCAGCAGGATTTGAGGCAGACTTCGAGGTGCCTCTACTGGGACCTCCAAAGCCCGCCGCACTCGGCCTGGCCTGGCCACCTCTGTATCCACCCCTCCTGGCCCACCTTGGTCCAGCCACCCTGGCTGGGGGCTCTCTTGCAGCCCTGCTCCCAGCGGGGCTCTCTGTCCCGCCACCCCCAACCCCACACGCACCCCAGGCTCCCGCAGGCTCTGGTCAGCACCCCCACAGTTCTAGCCCCAATATCTTGAATTCTCCTTTTCTGCTTATTTTGCCCTGTAGCTCCAGTTTGGGGTTCCTTCCACCCGGTGATCTCGTCTGCTCTGCTCACTGTGAGGGCCAGGCTCCACCCCTGGGCTCTGAGCTGTGAGCACTCAGCGACCAAACCTTGCAGGCCTTCCAGCAGATGCTCAGGAGCCGACAGCCCTGCGCACTGCTCCTGCAACACGGCGAGGCCCCAGGGACACGGGCACCTCACCGGGCCCTCAGTGGGTCCCTTTGGCCTGCGTGGGGCGGCCCACACAGCACGGCTGCTGGAAGCCACTGTGGCCCAGGGGGAGGGGCGCTTTCCCTGCGATGATTGCTGGGGAGCCCTCCTGGGTGGCAGGGCACTGCACTCTTTGCTCGTGCCTTTCAAAATCCACCTGGATATTTGAGGACCTTTTTCAGTCCGGGTAGATTCTACGAGTTTGCCAACTTCCTCCAAAGCTCTCACCAGCTGCCATCGGCCTGGGGGAGCCACGCCTGTGTGTGCAATGCCCCTTCCGTCTCTGAGTCCTCCTCTGCATCCCTCCAGCCTGCTGCTGGAGACATGGACATTCACTACGCAGCTTCACACAGCCAGAGACGTGGTCGTTTTCCGGTGGTGGTCCAGGGTGTGGAAGAACCACGCTGACTTTGGGCCGCTCTAGCCAAGGCTCTGTGGGGCTGTCCCGTCAGCACCCATGGCTCCTCTGTTGGTTCAGTCGGGTTCTCTACATAGGTGGTCACCTCTTCTGCAGTCTTTTGTCCCCCACGAGGCTGTCCCTCAGTCAAACACGTTCCGGGTCCTGCCTAGGGACATTCGAGCACACAGTCGGTGCCCGTCCTGAATACAGGCACACCTGGGGGCAGGAGCTGTGCCCAGGGTGAGTGGCCAGCCCCGGGCAGCTGCCCTGCTTCCCTACACTGGCCCCAGCCTCCTTAAAATCATCCTCAGGTCTCTCTGCTCCCAGGGCTTCAGCTGGCATCCATGCCACCGCAGCATCCATCTCTCTGCACCTGGGCCAGGCAGCTGCCCTGGATCTCTGGTTGCTCCAAGAAGTCACCCTGCTGCCCGGAGCTCAGAGCTGCTGCCAGGGACACCCCAAGACGTGGCCGATCGCGGGGACCCATCCTGCTGCCCAGGAGCTCAGAGCTGCTGCCGGGGATACCCCAAGACGTGGCCGACCGCGGGGACCTACCCTGCTGCCCGGGAGCTCAGAGCTGCTGCTGGGGACACCCCAAGATGTGGCCGATCACGGGGACCCATCCTGCTGCCCAGGAGCTCAGAGCTGCTGCCTGTGCACACCCCAAGACGTGGCCAATCGCGGGGACCCACCCTGCTGCCCGGGAGCTCAGAGCTGCTGCTGGGGACACCCCAAGATGTGGCCAACCATGGGGACCCACCCTGCTGCCCAGAGCTCGGAGCTGCTGCCTGTGCACACCCCAAGATGTGGCCGACTGCGGGGACCCAGCTCCTCAGGAGCCCTGGGTGCTGCCATGCTGGGGAGAGCTGGGAGGGGGCTGAGAGCACAGCCCACCCTCCATGGTCACAGACCCCTGAGCCCTGCGTCTCTGTCCATCTTGCTCCCCATGGCCAGGAGCCTCCCAGGTCCCCTTATCTGGGACCTGGCCCCAGTATGGGCCCCAATATGGACTCCCTGGGCACATGGTGGGACACCCCTTCTCCATCAGCCTGGGGGAAGTTTTGGCTCCTGGAGGGGTCCTAGAATCATGAGTGTCCAGCCTCGACGTGACGCCTCCGCCAAGGCCATACTCCAGGCAGCCTCCTGGCACGGGAGTGTGGGGGGTGGGGCAGGGGCCACCCAGGCCAGCCCTGGCCTCTTCCCGCTCACGTCCAGGAGGAGTGGGGAGCAGGGGCAGGCTGGCAGCCGCCAAGGTGTTTGGGGCCACACCCATCTCTGTGGCTCTTTCCGGAATGGCGACTTGCATAACCGGGGCCAGGGGCTGTGGCGACCCAGGTGGGCAGCCGGGAGGCGGCTGCTCCCTCCCAGGGACCTGCTATCTGGTTACCTCCGGCCACTCTGCCGTGTTCCAGGCAGGGAGCGCCGGGCAGGAGGCCGTGGGGCCAAGCTCACCCCAGGGGGTGGGGGATTAGTCAGCCGTTCCCACCCTACCCTGAGAGGAATTGGCAGCTTTCTAGGATACCTGATCCACCCCGGGCACACTGGTGCTGGTTAGGGTGCCCTGCGGCTGTGAGGTCAGGTGGTCAGCAGAGCGCTGGAGCCGACGGGTCTTAGAGCGGGAGTTCCCGGGCTGTGCTTCCGCCTGGCCGCCAAGAGGACATGGGTCGAGGCTGGGGAGCCTCCTCTGCCCCACCTGCTCACCCCAGCAGTCAGGCTCGGAGGCAGCCCCACTGCCCAGGTGTCTGGGAGCACACAGTGGGCCAGGGTGGGCAGGCAGTTGGAGAACTGGACCTGGGGGGTCCTGGGCACCCCAGCCCTGAGACCTGTCAAAGCAACCCCCAGATGTGAGCCAACGCTGGAGCCACGGAGGCCTCACTGCCTGCCATTGGGTCAAAAATCCTGGTGCAGGGACTGGGCCGGCCTTGCCTTCTGACCTCCCAGTGCCTGCAGACGTGGCTTGAGGGCAAGAGGGACTCTGGGACTGGCCGGGCCTCCTCACAGGGCCAGGCACACAGTAGCGGGAGGGGCCGCGGCCCTCCGGCCCAGCCCAAGCCCTCCAGGCTGCCATGTGCCTGTAAGCCGTGAGGGGTGTCCTCAGCCTCCCAGGGCCATGGGCAGGCCGTGAGGGATGTGGGCTGAGACCCGGGACTCCCCTGGCTCTGCGGTGCCTGGAGCCCAGGCCTGAGCCGACGGGTGCCGGGCCTGACTGTGCTGCCACCTCGTGGCAGCTGCAGGGAGCGCGGCTGCACGCCTGAGAATGGAAGGTCGGTTCCCCAGACCCCACCCCGCCGGGCCTGGCACCTGAAAAGGAGGCTGGGGGAGGTTGGAGCAATGGGCGCGGCCGAAGTCCAGGAGGGCTGGGAAAAGCGCCCACCCAGACAGGCACATGAGGCTGGGCCCCTACGTCCACCTTGCTGATGGAGAATCCCCCTGCCGGCCCCTCAGCTACTCCACACCACGCCCAGGGTACACAGGTCCCTGAGACCCTCTCTGGCCCAGAGGGACACTGGGGCCACCTGAAGCTGTGGGAGGCCCGGGCAGGACCCTGAGCCCCAGAAAGTCACCAGGGAGCTGGTGCCTGCCACGTCACCGCCTCCACTCTGGGCGCAGCTTCCCACCCACCTGTCCCACCATCAGGCGTGGGGGGCTCCAGATGTTCCTGGGCCTTCCTGTGTGGGCCACAGGCCTGGCCAGGGCCGACCACAGCCCTCCCTGTCTTTCCCCCGCCCTGCGCTGGCCCTGTCTAGGCAGTGGGCTCCCCAGCCCCACCCGGCTCAGCCTGGGCTCCTCCAGACCCCTCTGCCCACTCCTGGGATGCCGGGTCAGTGCCGCCCACTCTACTGGTGCTGCTATGTGGCTGAGGCAGGGCCCAGCCCGAGGCCGGTGTGTCCAAGGGAATCTGCAGACTCCCTGGAGCCCTCCAAGAGGAGAACACTGGGCATCAGGAACATGGAGGCTCCGGGGAGGGGTGGCGGTGGTCAGAGAGGACTAAGAGAGTGACAAGCTTCCAGGGCCCAGCCCACCCTCTGCAGAGCATCCAGCAGACGCTCCGTGGGGTTGCCGACCTCCCGCTTGCCTGCAGATACACTCAGGAGTGTGCACAGCCCAAGCTCAGCCCCAGTAACGGCGAGTCTAGGAGCTGCACAGAGCTGGAACCCCCCATCCCAGAACGCCTCCATCACCAGGGGCAGCCCTCCCATGTCAGAGGCCCTTGCCTGGGCCATGAGGTGCCCTGGATGCCTGGGCTGGTCCCATTCCCTGCTGACTCCCTCCCTCACGCATTCATTCATCACTCATTCACTCATTCACTCACTCATTCACTTATTCACTCACTCATTCACTCGCTCATTCACTCATTCACTCACTCATTCACTCATTCACTTATTCACTCATTCACTCATTCTCTCACTCATTCGCTCATTCACTTACCCATTCGCTCACTCACTCATTCACTTGTTCATTCACCCACTCATTTACTCATTCATTTATTCACTCACTCATTTGCTCACTCATTCACTCATTCACTCATTCACTTGTTCATTCACCCACTCATTTACTCATTCATTTATTCACTCACTTGCTCACTCATTCACTCATTCATTCACTCATTCACTCAATCTCTCACTCACATACTTATTCACTCACATGCACTCATTCACTCACACATTCACTTATTCACTCACTCATGCACTCACTTATTCACTCACATGCACTCATTCACTCACACATTCACTTATTCATTCACTCATGCATTCACTTATTCACTCACTCATTCACTTATTTGCTCACTCATTCACTCATTCATTCACTCATTCACTCAGTCACTCACTTATTCACTCACATTCATTCACTCACATTCACTCACTCACATGCACTCACTCACACATTCACTTATTCATTCACTCACTCATGCACTCACTTATTCACTCACCCATTTATTCACTCATTCATTCTCTCACTCTCATTCACTCACTCTCTGTGTTCTGAACAGATGCATCCTGGACTCTAGACTGCAGCCAAGCCCTCAAAGACCTCTGCAGGGTGGTGGTCTCTTCTTGGGGCAGATCCAAGCTCTGGCCTCTCCTCTCTGAGCAGAGAGACACTGTCCCAGCCAGCCCACAGAAGCAGCAGGGCTGCCCAGTACTGGGTGGCTGGCCTGAGGTGTGCACCCCACAGGGCCCGGGTTTGCCCCCACCCTATTCCTGGATTTTATGAACAATCTCAAAAAATGCACAGTCCACAAATTGCAAAATGCTCAAGTGTATTTATGCAACAGATTGGCCGTGTACTGAGGAGGGGAGCGCAGGCTGAGGGCTGAGGTAGGAGTGAGGTTCTTCCTCCTGCAGCCACCAGGCAGCTGATCACCATGTCCAAGCGTCATTCCTGAGACCCTCAGGTGATGCTCACGTCCCCAGAACAGCAGGCTGGATGCATGGCCAGAGGAGCTCGGCCAGCCCCGGGGCTGGTCCTGAGAGGTGGCTGCAGGCGGGGTGGGTAAGGGCCCCTCCTCCAGGCAGCAGGTGACCCATAGCCCACACCCTCCACAAGAAAGCGGGCGTGGACAGTGTGTTCAAAGCTGCAGCCGCCTGGACAGGGGCACAAGTTCCACTGGCCTTGGAAGCCGAGCTCAGAGGACATATGGGAGGTTCTCCTTGGAGGTCAGGAGGGCGGCAGTGCTGGTCAGTGCATGGGGGACACTGGGACGCCTCTCTCCCAGCTCCCACTCTCTGCCTCCTGGCTGGGCTCGGGTTCCGCCTCCTCCGAGTGCTGGGTGTCGCCCGGCGCAGGGCACCGCCGGCCCATGCAGCCGCACTCTTCCACCTCGGTGTAGCTGAAGGCCCGGCTGGAGCCGTCGGTGCAGTGCAGGGTCACATTCCTCAGCGAGGTCCGCAGCTCCTGGCAGCACTGGCACCTGTGCTCCACCGTGTTGCCCTCGAGCGAGTACCTGTGGGCAGGGGCTGCTCAGCACCAGCTGCTGCGCCACCCCAGCCTCCTGCCGTAAGCCGGCGCCGTGCCGAGCTCTGGGCGGCCTCATCGTGTTCCCTGCTCCTGGAGGCATGCTGCCAGTGTCTGACAACCAGCTCTCCTTTGCCAGTTCCCCAGGCGCCAACAGTCCCACCAGGGCCGACCCCGGCTCCGTGCTGATGGGAGGGAGGGAGACTCGGGGCGGCTGCGGCAAGTTCCTGGCGGAGCTCAGTAAACAGGAGAGCGTGATGCCGACACAGGCTCTGGGGATGTAGTTACCCCAGCCCCACCCTTGCCATCTCAGGACCCCTTTCCCGCCTCACCCTCAGAGCCCTTTGCCTGGCCCCTCATGGTCCTGCCCCTCGTCTATCTGGCACCTAGAGCCCTGGGGGCCCTGACTGCACCCCACAGCCAATCGCGTCTCCCTGCCTGCTGCCCAGGCACGTACATGGAAGAGCTGTCCCCACAGTTCCCCCGGCAGTAAGCCAGGCGCACGGGCTCCGAGGAGCTGCAGCCCTGCTGCTGGATGATCAGGCTCCTATGGTACACAGCACAGGTCGACTCTGGAGAGGAACACAGGGTTTAGGACCAGCCCAGCTGCTCCTAGACCTCTGAGGGTGGAGCCCGCCCCGCCCAGCAGGCTGGGTACTCACGGTTCTGGTACGGGGGCGGGGGCGGCGGGCAGAAGCGGCAGCAGCCGTCCTTGCTCATGCGGGCCTCGTCCTGTGCCGACAGAGGGGCGCCCTCAGTGCCGAGGCGCTCGGCGGCCCCCACAGAAGTGAGGGATGGGGACATGGGGCCAGGCTCAGGAGTGGACAGCCCCAAGCAGGAGGGGGTGTCTGCTGGCGCTGCAGGGATGATCACAGCCCCCCAAACCCATCTAGGGGTGAAGCCCCCCTTGGCTGGAGCGGGGATCCTGGACCTCACCAGAGAACAGCTGAGCGGGGGGCACGCCTTCTTCGTGGTGACCACCACGAGCCCATCCTGGTGCTTCTCACACTGGTGGGTCACACAGTGGTTCCCTGCGTCTGACCAGGTCTCGCCGGGCTGGAGGGAGGCCAGGCCCCGGGGTGAGTGACCCTCCCTCCGTCTGTCCCTCTGTCTGCACCCCAGCCCGTGGGCTTCCAGAGAGTCCCCAGCCTCTGCCAGACGCATGCCTGGCAACGACAGGTCCCCACATGCCCCAGTGCTCCCAGACCCTGCCCTTCCTCTTTGTGGCAGCCACTACTCACGTAGAAGAGGTGGGCGGGGCTCTTGCTGGTGTTGGTGACACAGGCGACCTGCACACAGGTGCCACAGCACTGCCCGCTCTGCTCCTGGTACTCGAAGCCCTGCGGGAGGGATGGACATGTGGCTGGAATCCAGGCGACCGCTGCCCCCCAAGAGCCAGGGCAGGGTCGGGGCAGGGTGGGAGCGCTCACCACAGGGCAGTGTGTGTTGCAGATCTGGGTCTCACAGCTGACCACAAACGCGTCCGATGGGGGGCCACCCGGCAGCTCACACCTGCAGGTTTCGCACAGGCTCGAGGAGACCACGGCGCCGGGCTGGGGAGAGCCAGGGCAGCAGACACTCATGAGCTTGGGCCCTGGGGAGACCCGCCCCTGCCTCCCCACTGGCTTGCTGCCCCCAACTTCCCAGACATCCCCCTCCAGGCCGCTTCCTACCAGGCCGAGTTGCACCCCTGGGGTGACTCGTGGTGGCACCTCTTGGTGCAGAGGCCACAGCCCAGGGTCCCCATCCCTAGAGCAGAGCCCCACGCTGCACCCCCTTGGATGGGGTGCCCAACAAGGCCACACACTCTGCAGGGCCACATACTCAGCCGGCTCAGGACAGAGCCGTGGGATCCAGGCCTGGCTGTGCTGTGGTGCCAGGAGAGGCAAAGTCCCCCGGAGCCCCCCGGAGCCAGGCAGGCCAGGGTGTAGATGTCCATATTTCCGGGACCTGGGGCCGACCTCGGGCCTCAGCCACACTTGATAGTGGGCTGTGTCTGCAGAGACTCGAGTCCCTGGCCTCGGCCGGAGTTGGCAGTTGCTCCAAAGTCTACCTGGGCCTCAGGGTCAGTGGGAAGCTCCGTCCCTATGGCTGAGGGGGTCTGAGCTCCGTGGCTCTTACCTGGTACAGGGTCCCGTTGATGCTGCACACTGTCCAGCCTGCCCACGAGAAGACAAGCAGCTGCACCCCCCGCCGCCCACTCTCCCCTCACCCTCAGCATTCCCGCCCCTGCAGCCTCCTGGGCGCCTCATTCCCGGGCTCGCCACTGGGGTTTGTCCAGCCTCATCTCTGCGGAAGGCTCAGTCCAGAGCCACAGACCCGCAGTGGACAAGCCGCACTGGCATCTGGTTATGGCCCCCCAAAATCCCAGGTGGAGACCCCAGCCCACGGCCCCTGACAGGGCCTGGTCCAGGCCACTCACTGCAGTTTTGGACTGGGCAGCAGGCCCCCTCCTGGTAGGTCGGGATCGCGCGGGCGCCCTCAGGACAGCCCACGGGCGCGGGGCAGCGGCTGGTGTTGCAGGCTGCGGGGGCGGGAGTGAGGCAATTAGGAGTCTGTCCCCCGCCCCCACCCGAAGGCCCACCCCCTGGGGTCTCTAGGATTGCGGACCGCCTAGACAGCCCGCTCGGGGGTCTCCAGATGAGGCTGTTGCGGAAGCGGAGGAGGGGACGCCCTCGTAGGCACTGTCCCCAGGTGCACGCCCCAAGGCAGCAGCAAAGTCCGGGCCGAGTGGGCTCCGGGTCACCTGCCTGCCACACCATGCCCCTCACCCAGCAAAGGGCTTACCGCAGCTGTACTGGGGGCAGCACTGGCCGGCCTGTGGGGCTGCAGGCACAGGCACGAAGCCGGGCAGGGGGCAGGCAGGGGGCAGCGGGCAGAGCTTGGGTCGGCAGGTCAGCGTCCACGTGGCCGCCTCACACGTGCACTCCTGGCAGTCCATGCCGACGGTGTGGCCCACCTGCAAGGAAGGGGACTGAGGTCCAGCGTCCGCAGCGGCTCCACCCAGGGGTGCAGCAGCCACCCCGGCTCATGCAGTGCCGGGGCAGCCAGGTGTGGAGGCCGTGTGGCCTGCACTGAGGACCCAGCAGGAGTAGGGCTTCAAAAGTGCAGGGTAGGGCCCAGGGATGGGCACAAAGCTCTGCAAGGTGGGCAGGCTGTGGGGTGACTGGCCTGCGCCCCCCACCTCACACCTCCACAGTCTTGGCTGGGCAGAAGGGGCGTCCCAAGGAAGGGAAGAGCACAGCCAGCCTCGGGGCCAGCACCCACCCACAGAGCAACACCAGGACAGACGCCCCGGCACCGTCCCCAATACGGACAGAGTGGGTACCTGGGAAGGGAGATCCCGAGTCTTTCTGGGAGCCCGGCTCCTCCCGCAGCCCTTTCTCTGGGCCTCTGACACAGAGAGGACACCCCGACCCCTGAGCCCCACCTGACCATTTCTGGGGCCGGTGTTTCAAGAGCCTCCCTCCTCGGGCTCTTGGACCCCAGTGCCCTCTTGGGCCATGCCTTCCACTCACCTTCACCGGCTCTCCGTGGGGCCCCAGACACCCTGGAAGGAGAGAGATCTGAGGTTACTGGGGGTCAGCCACCACAATAGGGGCGAGAGGCAGGGTCCCATATTGGGGCCAGGGTAGACCCCAGGACCTGGCCAACAGTCACAGGCCCAGTCCTGCCACACCCCCCAGCCCCGGCCTGGGGCACGTACTGGGGCAGCCCGTGGGCACGCAGACTTGGGCACTGGTGCTGAAGAGGGTCATGCCCTCCGGACAGAAGCAGCCTTCGGTGATGGGGCCGGCCTCCGGCAGAGCCCTGTAGAGAGCATAGGGTTGGTGGGTCTCCTTTTTCCCTCCGGTGAGAAGGACCCCAGCCTGGGAGTGGGAGATGCAGCGGGAGGCTGGGGACTGGGTGGCTCCAGCAGCCCATGGCAGGGCCAGGAGGGAGGGTGCCTACCCGAGGCTGGCGCTGTCATTCCCGTAGCAGTAGGAGGGGTTGCTCGGGCCGCAGGGCTGGTACACCTTGTCGGCTGGGCAGGTGAATGCTGTGGGGAGGGGAAGCCACACCTGAGAGGGTGGGAGGGCACCCACCCAGAGCAACGCGGGCCGCTGGGCACCAACATCTGCTCCGGAGCTGCCCGCAGCCACCTGTGGGCCTGGGCCTGGCTACGGCCTCCCACACCCCAGTGCCCCGCCACGGGCTCCCAGACGTGGACGCCCTCCCTTCTCTCCAGGGAACTGGGTGCACTCTGCCCTGGGGCTGCCCCCTCCTCCTCCAGGTCCCCCCCTGACTGCCCGAGCCCACCCTGTTGGTCCGTCCGGCGTGCCTGTGCCCCTCACAAGCGACTTGGGACCCTGAGGACAGTGGTGGCACTCACGGCACATGTGGCCGGTCCGGCCTCTCCAATCGATGCAGATGTCGTGGGACGCACAGAGTGCCGCGTACAGCTCCAGGCTGGAGCACACCACATCCAGGTCCGTCATGTGGCACCGGTCAAAGACGCAGCCCTCATAGAACAGCAGTGGGGGGATCACAGTGTGGCACGGCTCAAAGACCCTGTGGGAGGGATGGGCAGGGTGCTGGGTGCAGCCTCTCCGGCCACCTGCCTGCTCCACGTCAGGCTCCCAGGCTTCAGGGCAGTCTCCAGGCGAGGCGAGTCCCAGAGCAGCCACTGGTGTGTGGCCGCCCTCCTGTATCCCCGGACGGGCTCCTTCCACACATTCTGTGTGCTTGGGGGCGGGGGGTGGGGGTCCAGATGGCATCATCCATTTATTTCTGCAAGTTCTTCTTCCTGGCCCCCCCAGCCCCTGCCCTGCAAACCTGGAAGCTGCCTGGGGGTGGTGACCGATGCCCCCGTCCATACACCTGAGCCAGCAGAGAGCCTCAGAGACGGCCCAGCCGGCCAACCCTGGTGACCCCTTGGCAGCATTCCAGCCACAACCACCCCTTCCCGGCACCCGCCCCTCCCCACTGCCCACCCCTCCCCGGCACCCACTTCTCCCCAACACCCACCCCTCCTTGGTCTGTGGTACCAGCAGCTCTCGTTTCCTCTCAGGAGCCCCCTGAAAATGCGCTTCTTCCCCTCCAGCCCTTGGAAGGGTGGGAGGTGGGGCGGCCACACTGACCCTCCCTCCCTTGCACCCAAGTCTCACTTGCTCAGAATCAGCTGGCAGATGGGTGATGGCAGGCACGGAGCAGGCGGTGTGGTGGGCCCGACCGTGGTAGACCCAACTGTGGTGGGCCCGACCGTGGTAGACCCAACTGTGGTGGGCCCGACCGTGGTGGGCGTCGGGTGAGGCCGGTGGCAGGCTGGCTGGTCGGGTATGCTCACGTTCCAGAGGCCGGACATCTCGGAGCAGGAAGCGACCACCGTCCCCCTAGGCGTGCGGCACTCATCCTTCCTGTCGTTGGTGCAAGTGCCTGGGCAGACGCGGTGGGGGTCAGGCTGCTGGACAGCAGAGCCGGCTGGCCCCACCCCCAGCTGGGGGACAGGACCCTGGTGTCTCAGGGTCACAACTTGGTGAACTGCAGCGGGCCCTGCCTGTGCCTCACTGTCCCCCGAGAACAACCCTGGGACAGTCCCTATGGTACTGGGGAGCTGCAGGTACCGGCAGGCGTAAGCCTCATGCCTGTGGCCTGCACTCAGCAGAGCAGCCAGAAAGCAGAGACACCGGCACACGCGGCACGTGGTGGCCTCGCCCCTGCCCGGCACCCCCGCCCCCGCGAATGCCAGACGATGCCCGGGAGCCCTGTGGCCTCACCGCACTGGCCCTCGGTGTTGTTGGCAAACTTGCTGAAGGGCACCTCCACGGAGAAGATGAGGCCGGAGAACATGACCTGGACTCCCAGCTCCGGGATGGTCGCGTACATCTTGACGCCGATGCGCGAGACCACGATGCCGTTTTTCCGGAAGCCGGGGCTGACCACCTTGTTGTTGAAGATGATCTGGACGCAGGGCGTGGTCGACGGGAAGTCAGAAGGCAGGCGGGCGGGCGGTCAGCCGCTGCTCAGGCTCTTGCCGGGAAAGCCGCGTCCCCCACCCCCTCCGCGGCACACCGGGCGCGCCCCCACCTCGTTTGTCATCACCCCGTGGACTGGCTTGCGGGTCAGCACCACGCGGTCCTGGTGGTACTCCAGGATGATGGACCTCGGGCAGGAGAGCCCGTCCTCCGCACCGCAGAAGTAGTTGTCGACGAGCACGCGGAAGTGGCCATACACGGGCACAATCTGCTGCACCAGCACGTACGTGCAGTTGTCCAGGAAGGTGTAGTAGGTGCCGTCGAAGGTGATGTAGTGGGGGTCACCCCAGCCGCTGCACACACCTGCCAGGCCCCAGGGGCAGCCTTACGGGTGGCTCGGGTGGTGGCACCATGGCCCTGGGGCTTTCCTCCCAACAGGTCACATCTGTCCCTGACCCCCCACCGTCTCATCTCACAGGGCGCACAAGACCCTCACGTCATCAGAACACACGTGGCCAGCGTCCGCACAGAGCTCCATCCAGCGGGCGCTTGACAAGGCTGGAGCGAGGCAGGGACAGACTCCTCCACCTTCTCCAGCCAGGCTGCTCCGAGGCTCACAGGGATTCACTCAGCACCCCTAAGCGGGGAGGCTCGGCCCCATGCGGCCCCGCCTTGATGCTGGGAAGTCCTTCCTGCTGTCCCACCCAATTCTTTTCTGCTTCAGCCAAGCCCCCTCCTCTGCCCCGCCCATTTCCACCTGGGTGGGGAGTGGCTGCCCCGGCTGCCCTGGGTCCCGCTCGGCGCTCCACTCACACTGGCACTGGTAGTGATGGCAGCAGCCATCTTGGTCAGCCACCTTCACAGCCGGGTAGCCGTTGGCACAAGTGGGCTTCTCCACCCTCGGGCACGTGCGCGGGCGCAGGGAGATGACGTTGTTGCCCTCACAGGTGGCCTCGGAGCAGTTGGGTGTGGCCCAGGTCTCACCTTTCTGCAGAAGCACAGAGACCTGCAGGGTCCGGCCTCTCCCGATCTCCGGGGCACCCCTTGGTTCTCGGGGTCACAGTCCCGAGAGTCCCGTGTGGGGACAGGGGAGGGTGGCTGTGCCCCAGTTTCCTTCCTGCCCCACCCTCAGCACCCACCCCAGACACCGAGCTGGCCCGGGCAGGGGCCTCTGGTGTGGGAGTGGCTCCTCCCTGGCTCTGCCACACTCCCTGGCTGTGCAGCCTCATCCACCTGCTCTGGCCCTGGCTGTCCTCAGCACAGCCTCAGCCTTCGGCCCCACACACCCAGTGTCTGGAAAGCACGTGCCTGGGAAGCCCAGGGTGATCAGAGACGCCGGGCTACAGCATGGCCCTCTCCTGACGGCCGGGCTGCCTCCACTAGCGCCAGTGACCTTCTCAAGACTTTGCAGCTGAAGACTAATTGCAAAGACATTCAAGTTCCCTGTAGGAGCCCCTGAGCCTTCAGAAGGGTGAGAAGTAGGGGGTTACCTTTCTGGGGGGAACCGCATTTGGGCATCCCAGCTCAGTGACGGGCTCGGAGGTGGATATTGAAGGGGACGTGGCTGGGGCAGGAGGCAGCGTGGTGGACGGACAGTCACTGTCAACCCCTCTGACCACTTGGCAGTCCTGGCTACACAGGGCATAATAGCAATGGCCAGCGAGGTCTCTGTGGCGGTATATGGTGGATCCTGTAAGAGGAAGGGACATGGCAGCCTTTAGTGGAGTCCTGCTCAAAGGAGAAGCAAAAAACTCCCAGAGCCAGAGGGGCACTTTCTACCACCTGTGTAATGGGAAAAAATTTCAGAGAATGCCAGCAGCCACTCTGTGACAATGAGCCTGTGCCACAAAGAGCAGAGACTCCTATCATCATCACAGCTTGGCGTTCCTGGATAAAAAACTGACCAGGGTGAGCTCAGAAACAATTGCACCAGAAACACTCACGAACCTGCAGGGTAGAGCCGGTCAGCCACGTTGCAGAAGCAGGTTTGGGTGGAGTAAGCCACAGAGCTGGATGCCACAGAGCTGGATGCCACAGAGGTGGATGCCACGGAGGCGGATACCATGGAAGTAGACAGGGAAGGATACAGAGCATTGGTAGGAGAAGTCCCATATGGGGTCACAGAGGTCACCGGGCAGCCTCTGGGGGTCTCGCAGCAGAGCACGCGCACCTCGTAGTTGAGGCACATCTTGAAGGGTCCCTGCTGGTCCTGGTTCCGGCACACCAGGCCCTCTTCACGGCTGCACTGCACCACCTGACCCAGGTGTTCAATGTTCACCTCCGGGTGGCTCTCGGCTCGGCACTGGAGCCTGGTGATCTCCTCAGGTCGGCGGCAGATTTTTTCCCCACTCCTGATGATGTTGTTGTAGGTTTCCTTGTCCCCGCCGTGGGGTCCAGGGGATGGGAAGTCCACGTCGAACCACTTTGTCCAGGCGCACAGAGGATGACAGTCACTGGTGACTGGTTGGGAGTGGGTTGTCTTGGATACAGAAAGATGGCTTGTGCTGGTCTTTGAAACAGGGGTTGTGCTGGTGGTGGGAACGGGGCTGGGAGTAGTTCCAGGACCAGAGGTCGTGCTGGTTGTAGGAGCAGAGGTTGTGCTGGTGGTGGGAACAGGGCTGGGAGTAGTTCCAGGACCAGAGGTTGTGCTAGTTGTAGGAGCAGAGGTTGTGCTCGTGGTGGGAACAGGGCTGAGAGAAGTTCCAGGACCAGAGGTTGTGCTGGCTGTAGAGGCAGAGGTTGTGCTGGTTGTAGGAGCAGAGGTTGTGCTGGTGGTGGGAACAGGGCTGGGAGTAGTTCCAGGACCAGAGGTTGTGCTGGCTGTAGAGGCAGAGGTTGTGCTGGTTGTAGGAGCAGAGGTTGTGCTGGTGGTGGGAACAGGGCTGGGAGTAGTTCCAGGACCAGAGGTCATGCTGGTTATAGGAGCAGAGGTTGTGCTGGTTGTAGGGAGAGAGATTGTGCTGGTTGTAGAAGCAGAGGTTGTGCTTGTGGTGGGAACAGGGCTGGGAGTAGTTCCAGGACCAGAGGTTGTGCTGGCTGTAGAGGCAGGGGTTGTTCTGGTTGTAGGAGCAGAGGTTGTGCTGGTGGTGGGAACAGGGCTGGGAGTACTTCCAGGACCAGAGGTTGTGCTGGCTGTAGAGGCAGAGGTTGTTCTGGTTGTAGGAGCAGAGGTTGTGCTGGTGGTGGGAACAGGGCTGGGAGTAGTTCCAGGACCAGAGGTTGTGCTGGCTGTAGAGGCAGAGGTTGTGCTGGTTGTAGGAGCAGAGGTTGTGCTGGTGGTGGGAACAGGGCTGGGAGTACTTCCAGGACCAGAGGTTGTGCTGGTTATAGGAGCAGAGGTTGTGCTGGTGGTGGGAACAGGGCTGGGAGTAGTTCCAGGACCAGAGGTTGTGCTAGTTGTAGGAGCAGAGGTTGTGCTGGTGGTGGGAACAGGGCTGGGAGTAGTTCCAGGACCAGAGGTCATGCTGCTTGTAGGAGCAGATGTTGTTCTGGTTGTAGGAGCAGAGGTTGTGCTGGTTGTAGCAGCAGAGGTTGTACTGGTGCTGGGAACAGGGCTTGGAGTAGTTCCAGGACCAGAGGTTGTGCTGGTTGTAGGAGCAGAAGTTGTGCTGGTTGTAGAGGCAGAGGTTGTGCTGGTGGTGGGAACAGGGCTTGGAGTAGTTCCAGAACCGGAGGTTGTGCTGCTTGTAGCAGCTGAGGTTTTGCTGGTCTGTGGAGTGGAGGTTGTGCTGCTTGTAGGGGAAGAGATTGTGCTGGTTGTAGGGGCAGAGATTGTGCTGGTTGTAGAGGCAGAGATTGTGCTGGTTGTAGGAGCAGAGTTTGTGCTGGTTGTTGGAGCAGAGGTTGTGCTGGTTGTAGGAGCCAAGGTTGTGCTGGTTGTAGGACCAGAAGTCGTTCTGTGTGTAGGAGCTGAGGTCGTGCTGGTTGTAGGGGCAGAGGTTGTGCTGGTTGTAGGGGCAGAGGTTGTGCTGGGTGTAGAAGCAGGGATTGTGCTGGTTGTAGGGGCAGAGGTTGTGCTGGTCTGTGGAGTGGAGGTTGTGCTGGTTGTCACCAAAGTGGTTGTCCTGGATTTCTGCCAAGAGGAAGTGCTCTGAGTTGGGCTGGTGGCTCTCCCACTAGGGGTGCTAGGAGCTGTCACAGGTGTGGAGGTCACGGGGCAGCCTTTGGGGGTCTCGCAGCAGAGCACACGCACCTCGTAGTTGAGGCACATCTTGAAGGGTCCCTGCTGGTCCTGGTTCCGGCACACCAGGCCCTCTTCCCGGCTGCACTGCACCACCTGGCCCAGGTGTTCGATGCTCACCTCCGGGTGGCTCTCGGCTCGGCACTGGAGCCTGGTGATCTCCTCAGGTCGGCGGCAGATTTTTTCCCCACTCCTGATGATGTTGTTGTAGGTTTCCTTGTCCCCACCGTGGGGTCCAGGGGATGGAAAGTCCACGTCAAACCACTTGGTCCAGGTGCACCGGGGATGACAGTCTCTGGTGACTGGTTGGGAGTGGGTTGTCTTGGATACAGAAACATGGCTTGTGCTGGTCTTTGAAACAGAGGCTGTGCTGGTGGTGGGAACGGGGCTGGGAGTAGTTCCAGAACCGGAGGTTGTGCTGCTTGTAGCAGCTGAGGTTTTGCTGGTCTGTGGAGTGGAGCTTGTGCTGCTTGTAGGGGGAGAGGTTGTGCTGGTTGTATGGAAAGAGGTTGTGCTGGTTGTAGGGGCAGAGATTGTGCTGGCTGTAGGAGCAGAGGTTGTGCTGCTTGTAGGGGCAGAGGATATGCTGGTCTGTGGAGTGGAGGTTGTGCTGGTTGTAGGGGCAGAAGTTGTGCTGGTTGTAGGAGCTGAGGTTGTGCTAGTTGTAGGGGAAGAGGTTGTGCTGGTCTGCGGAGTGGAGGTTGTGCTGGTTGTAGGGGAAGAGATTGTGCTGGTCTGTGGAGTGGAGGTTGTGCTGGTTGTAGGGGCAGAGATTGTGCTGGTTATGGGAGCAGAGGTAGTGCTAGTTGTAGGGGCAGAGGTTGTGTTGGTTGTAGGAGCCGAGGAAGTGCTCGTAGGAGCTGACGTTGTGCTGGCTGTGGGAGCAGAGGTTGTGCTGGTTGTAGGGGCAGAGATTGTGCTGGTTGTAGGGGCAGAGATTGTGCTGGTGGTAGGAGCCGAGGTTGTGCTGCTTGTAGGGGCAGAGGATGTGGTGGTCTGTGGAGTGGAGGTTGTGCTGGTTGTAGGGGCAGAAGTTGTGCTCGTTGTGGGAGCAGAGGTTGTGCTGGTTGTTGGGGCAGAGGTTGTGCTGGGTATAGAAGCAGGGGTTGTGCTAGTTGTAGGGGCAGAGGTTGTGCTGGTCTGTGTAGTGGAGGTTATGCTGCTTGTCACCAAAGTGGTTGTCCTGGATTTCTGCCAAGAGGAGGTGCTCTGAGTTGGGCTGGTGGCTCTCCCACTAGGGGTGCTAGGAGCTGTCACAGATGTGGAGGTCACGGGGCAGCCTTTGGGGGTCTCGCAGCAAAGCACACGCACCTCGTAGTTGAGGCACATCTTGAAGGGTCCCTGCTGGTCCTGGTTCCGGCACACCAGGCCCTCTTCGCGGCTGCACTGCACCACCTGGCCCAGGTGTTCGATGCTCACCTCCGGGTGGCTCTTGGCTCGGCACTGGAGCCTGGTGATCTCCTCAGGTCGGCGGCAGATTTTTTCCCCACTCCTGATGATGTTGTTGTAGGTTTCCTTGTCCCCACCGTGGGGTCCAGGGGATGGAAAGTCCACATCAAACCATTTGGTCCAGGTGCACCGGGGATGACAGTCTCTGGTGACTGGTTGGGAGTGGGTTGTCTTGGATACAGAAACATGGCTTGTGCTGGTCTTTGAAACAGAGGCTGTGCTGGTGGTGGTAACAGGGCTGGGAGTAGTTCCAGAACCGGAGGTTGTGCTGCTTGTAGCAGCTGAGGTTTTGCTGGTCTGTGGAGTGGAGGTTGTGCTGCTTGTAGGGGCAGAGGTTGTGCTGGTTGTAGTAGCAGAGGTTGTGCTGGTTGTAGGGGAAGAGGTTGTGCTGGTTGTAGGGGCAGAGATTATGCTGGTTGTACGAGCAGAGATTGTGCTGCTTGTAGGAGCCGAGGTTGTGCTGCTTGTAGGGGCAGAGGATATGCTGGTCTGTGGAGTGGAGGTTGTGCTGGTTGTAGGGGCAGAAGTTGTGCTGGTTGTGGGAGCAGAGGTTGTGCTGGTTGTAGGAGCAGAGGTTGTGCTGGTCTGTGGAGTGGAGGTTGTGCTGGTTGTCACCAAAGTGGTTGTCCTGGATTTCTGCCAAGAGGAAGTGCTCTGAGTTGGGCTGGTGGCTCTCCCACTAGGGGTGCTAGGAGCTGTCACAGGTGTGGAGGTCACGGGGCAACCTTTAGGGGTCTCGCAGCAGAGCACACGCACCTCGTAGTTGAGGCACATCTTGAAGGGTCCCTGCTGGTCCTGGTTCCGGCACACCAGGCCCTCTTCACGGCTGCACTGCACCACCTGGCCCAGGTGTTCAATGCTCACCTCCGGGTGGCTCTCGGCTCGGCACTGGAGCCTGGTGATCTCCTCAGGTCGGCGGCAGATTTTTTCCCCACTCCTGATGATGTTGTTGTAGGTTTCCTTGTCCCCGCCGTGGGGTCCAGGGGATGGGAAGTCTATGTCAAACCACTTGGTCCAGGTGCACCGGAGATGACAGTCTCTGGTGACTGGTTGGGAGTGGGTTGTCTTGGATATGGAAACATGGCTTGTGCTGGTCTTTGAAACAGAGGCTGTGCTGGTGGTGGGAACGGGGCTGGGAGTGGTTCCAGGACCAGGGGTTGTGCTGGTTGTAGAGGCAGAAGTGGTGCTGGTTCTAGGAGCAAAGATTGTGCTGGTGGTGGGAACAGGGCTGGGAGTGGTTCCAGGACCAGAGGTTTTGCTGGCTGTAGAGGCAGAAGTTGTGCTGGTTGTAGGAGGAGAGGTTGTGCTGGTGGTAGGAATAGGGCTGGGAGTAGTTCCAAGACCAGAGGTTTTGCTGGCTGTAGAGGCAGAGGTTGTGCTGGTTGTAGGAGCAGACGTTGTGCTGGTTGTTGGGGCCGAGATTGTGCTGGTTGTAGCGGCAGAGGTTGTGCTGGTTGTAGGAGCAGAGGTTGTGCTGGTGGTGGGAACAGGGCTTGGGGTAGTTCCAGGACCAGAAGTTATGCTGGTGGTAGAAGCCGAGGTTGTGCTGGTCTGTGGAGAGGAGGTTGTGCTGCTTGTAGGGGTAGAGGTTGTGCTGGTTGTAGGGGCAGAGGTTGTGCTGGTTGTAGGAGCTAAGGTTGTGCTGGTTGTAGGGGCAGAGGGTGTGCTGGTTGTTGGGGCCGAGATTGTGCTGGTTGTAGGGGCAGAGGTTGTGCTTGTTGTGGGAGCAGAGGTTGTGCTGGTGGTGGGAACAGGGCTGGGAGTAGTTCCAGGACCAGAGGTTGTGCTGGTTGTAGAAGCAGAAGTTGTGCTGGTGGTAGGAACAGAGATTGTGCTGGTGGTAGGAACAGGGCTGGGAGTAGTTCCAGGAACAGAAGTTGTGCTGGTTGTAGGAACAGAGATTGTGCTGGTTGTAGTAGCTGAGGTTGTGCTGCTTGTAGGGGCAGAGGTTGTGCTGGTTGTAGGGGCAGAGGTTGTGCTGGTTGTAGGAGCAGAGGTTGTTCTGGTTGTAGGAGCAGAGGTTGTACTGGTGGTGGGAACAGGGCTGGGAGTAGTTCCAGGGCCAGAGGTTGTGCTGGTTGTAGCAGTGGAGGTTGTGCTGCTTGTAGGGACAGAGGTTGTTCTGGTTGTAGGGGCAGAGGTTGTGCTGGTTGTAGGGGCAGAGGTTGTGCTGGTGGTGGGAACAGGGCTTGAAGTAGTTCCAGGACCAGAAGTTGTGCTGGTTGTAGGAGCCGAAGTTGTGCTGGTCTGTGGTGTGGAAGTTGTGCTGCTTATAGGGGCAGAAGTTGTGCTGGTTATAGTAGTAGAGGTTGTGCTGGTTGTAGGAGACAAAGTTGTGCTGGTTGTAGGGGCAGAGATTGTGCTGGTTGTAGTAGCAGAGGTTGTGCTGGTTGTAGTCGCAGAGGTTGTGCTGGTGGTAGAGGCAGAGATTGTGCTGGTTGTAGGGGCTGAGGTTCTTCTGGGTGTAGGAGCAGAGGTCGTGCTGGTTGTAGTGGCAGAGGTTGTGCTGGTTGTTGGGGCCGAGATTGTGCTGGTTGTAGGGGCAGAGGTTGTGCTTGTTGTGGGAGCAGAGGTTGTGCTGGTGGTGGGAACAGGGCTGGGAGTAGTTCCAGGACCAGAGGTTGTGCTGGTTGTAGAAGCAGAGGTTGTGCTGGTTGTAGAAGCAGAAGTTGTGCTGGTGGTAGGAACAGAGATTGTGCTGGTGGTAGGAACAGGGCTGGGAGTAGTTCCAGGACCAGAGGTTGTGCTAGTTGTAGAAGCAGAGGTTGTGCTGGCGGTAGGAACAGGGCTGGGAGTAGTTTCAGGACCAGAGATTCTGCTGGTTGTAGTGGCAGAGGTTGTGCTGCTTATAGGGGCAGAGTTTGTGCTGGTTGTAGGTGCAGAGGTTATGCTGGTGGTGGGAACAGCACTGGGAGTAGTTCCAGGACCAGAGGTTGTGCTGGTTGTAGGAGCAGAGGTTGTGCTCGTGGTAGGAACAGGGCTGGGAGTAGTTCCAGGACCAGAGGTTGTGCTGGTTGTAGTGGCAGAGGTTGTGCTGCTTATAGGGGCAGAGGTTGTGCTGGTTGTAGGAGCAGAGGTTGTGCTGGTGGTGGGAACAGGGCTGGGAGTAGTTCCAGCACCAGAGGTTGTGCTGGTTGTAGAAGCAGAGGTTGTGCTGGTTGTAGGAGCAGAGGTTGTGCTGGTTGTAGGAGAAGAGGTTGTGCTGGTGGTAGGAACAGGTCTAGGAGTAGTTTCAGGACCAGAGGTTGTGCTGGTTGTAGCGGCAGAGGTTGTGCTGCTTTTAGGAGCAGAAGTTGTTCTTGTTGTAGGGGCAGAGGTTGTGCTGGTCGTGGGAACAGGGCTTGGGGTAGTTCCAGGACCAGAAGTTGTGCTGGTTGTAGGAGCCGAGGTTGTGCTGGTCTGTGGACTGGAGGTTGTGCTGCTTGTAGGGGCAGAGGTTGTGCTGGTTGTAGGAGCTGAGGTTGTGCTGGTTGTAGTGGCAGAGGTTGTGCTGGTGGTAGGAACAGGGCTGGGAGTAGTTTCAGGACCAGAGATTCTGCTGGTGGTAGTGGCAGAGGTTGTGCTGCTTGTACGGGCAGAGGTTGTGCTGGTTGTAGGAGCAGAGGTTGTGCTGGTTGTAGGGGCAGAGGTTATGCTGGTGGTAGGAACAGGGCTGGGAGTAGTTCCAGGACCAGAGGTTGTGCTGCTTGTAGGGGCAGAGGTTGTGCTGGTTGTAGGGGCAGAGGTTATGCTAGTTGTAGGAGCAGAGATTGTGCTGGTGGTAGGAACAGGGCTGGGAGTATTTCCAGGACCAGAGGTTGTGCTGGCTGGAGAGGCAGAGGTTGTTCTGGTTGTAGGAGCAGAGGTTGTTCTGGCTGTAGGAGCAGAGGTTGTGCTGGTTGTATGGGCATAGGTTGTACTGGTCTGTGGAGTGGAGGTTGTGCTGGTTGTCACCAAAGTGGTTGTCCTGGATTTCTGCCAAGAGGAGGTGCTCTGAGTTGGGCTGGTGGCTCTCCCACTAGGGGTGCTAGGAGCTGTCACAGGTGTGGAGGTCACGGGGCAGCCTTTGGGGGTCTCGCAGCAGAGCACACGCACCTCGTAGTTGAGGCACATCTTGAAGGGTCCCTGCTGGTCCTGGTTCCGGCACACCAGGCCCTCTTCCCGGCTGCACTGCACCACCTGGCCCAGGTGTTCGATGCTCACCTCTGGGTGGCTCTTGGCTCGGCACTGGAGCCTGGTGATCTCCTCAGGTCGGCGGCAGATTTTTTCCCCACTCCTGATGATGTTGTTGTAGGTTTCCTTGTCTCCACCATGGGGTCCGGGGGACGGGAAGTCCACGTCGAACCACGTTGTCCAGGTGCACCGGGGATGACAGTTTCTGGTGACTGGTGTGGTGTGGGTGCCCTGTGTGACGCTGGTTGCTGTGGGCCCACCCCTGGAGGTTGCCGTGGGTTGCTCTGTGGAGGCCGAGGGCATGTGTGTGGTGAAGGTGGTCTGGGTCTGAGCTCCGGTTGGATGTGGAGTCGGCCGTGTCGTTGCGACGGTCTTTGGCGGTCTGGTGATGTCTCTGCACACGTTCACCGTCTCGCAACACTGGATGCGGATCTCATAGTTGTAGCAGATGGGTGGGAGCTGGTTCTTGTTCAGGCAAATCAGCCCCTCTGTGTGGCTGCAGATGACGTCCTGCCCCAGGTCTGCCAGCGGCGTGTTGGGGAAGCTCTCTGCCCGGCACTGCACGCTTCGAGGACTTTCACAGAATGTGTATCCTTCGTCTCTCAAATTTTGAAATGTGTCAAAATCTCCACCATTTATTCCAGGAGCAGGGTAGCTGCCATCAATCCACTCGGTCCAGGTGCAAAGCTCCTGCAGGCAGGAGGATGTGCTGGGCTCCGTGGGGGTGGGCTTGCTGGAGACCACAGAGGTCCCCGGGGCCGTGGTCGACATGGATGATGTTGATGTTGCCGGCACTGGCGGAGGGCTGGGAGTTGAGAAAGTTTTTTTGACAGAGGTAGCGGTACCTGGGGCAGGTGTCGTCCTGGCTGTAGAGAGAGACACGGTGCCAGGTGTGCTGCTGGGGGCTGAGGAGCCTGAGGCCTGGGTTTCAGTGGTCTTGGAGGTTGTTGAAGGAGTGGTCTGGGCTGGACTGCTAGAGGTGGAGCCAGGTGTGGAGGTCATGTGGCAGCCTCTGGGGGTCTCGCAGCAGAGCACACGCACCTCGTAGTTGAGGCACATCTTGAAGGGTCCCTGCTGGTCCTGGTTCCGGCACACCAGGCCCTCTTCCCGGCTGCACTGCACCACCTGGCCCAGGTGTTCGATGCTCACCTCTGGGTGGCTCTTGGCTCGGCACTGGAGCCTGGTGATCTCCTCAGGTCGGCGGCAGATTTTTTCCCCACTCCTGATGATGTTGTTGTAGGTTTCCTTGTCTCCACCATGGGGTCCGGGGGACGGGAAGTCCACGTCGAACCACTTTGTCCAGGTGCACCGGGGATGACAGTTTCTGGTGACTAGTGTGGTGTGGGTGCCCTGTGTGACGCTGGTTGCTGTGGGCCCACCCCTGGAGGTTGCCGTGGGTTGCTCTGTGGAGGCCGAGGGCATGTGTGTGGTGAAGGTGGTCTGGGTCTGAGCTCCGGTTGGATGTGGAGTCGGCCGTGTCGTTGCGACGGTCTTTGGCAGTCTGGTGATGTCTCTGCACACGTTCACCGTCTCGCAACACTGGATGCGGATCTCATAGTTGTAGCAGATGGGTGGGAGCTGGTTCTTGTTCAGGCAAATCAGCCCCTCTGTGTGGCTGCAGATGACGTCCTGCCCCAGGTCTGCCAGCGGCGTGTTGGGGAAGCTCTCTGCCCGGCACTGCACGCTTCGAGGACTTTCACAGAATGTGTATCCTTCGTCTCTCAAATTTTGAAATGTGTCAAAATCTCCACCATTTATTCCAGGAGCAGGGTAGCTGCCATCGATCCACTCGGTCCAGGTGCAAAGCTCCTGCAGGCAGGAGGATGTGCTGGGCTCCGTGGGGGTGGGCTTGCTGGAGACCACAGAGGTCCCCGGGGCCGTGGTCGACATGGATGATGTTGATGTTGCCGGCACTGGCGGAGGGCTGGGAGTTGAGAAAGTTTTTTTGACAGAGGTAGCGGTACCTGGGGCAGGTGTCGTCCTGGCTGTAGAGAGAGACACGGTGCCAGGTGTGCTGCTGGGAGCTGAGGAGCCTGAGGCCCGGGTTTCAGTGGTCTTGGAGGTAGTTGGAGGAGTGGTCTGGGCTGGACTGCTAGAGGTGGAGCAGGGTAGGGGCGTGCAGCACTGGACCCTGATCTGGTAGTTGTAGCAGAGCCCCGATGCCTGCTCCCTGTTACGACAGGTCAGCCCCACATCCGGGCTGCACTGCACACGCTGCCCCAGGGCTCGGAGCGGCACTCCGGGGGCGTCCTCAGCTCGGCACTCCACCGACCTGGGTGATTCGCACACCCGGTACCCATGGGCGCGGAGGTTCTCCAGTGTGTCGAAGTCACCGCTGTCCGTGCCCCGTCCAGGGCGGCTGACATCCATCCATGGCGACCACAGGCACTTTTCCCCACAGACCGGCGGCAGTGAGGCAGAGGCTGTGGGCAGCCTCGTCCTGGGAGAAGTGCCTGCTGTGGTGGGCCAGGCGCTGCTCGGAGGGCCTGTGTGCGCGCTGCTTGGGCCATTGCTGGGGGTGTGCGTGGAGCTCACGACTGTGGGCAGAAGAGAAGGCAGCTGAGCATGAGAGGCCCGCACTTGGGGGCCGCCCGCCCCTCCCTGCGGCTCTGTCACCGGTCTGGAGCTGCGCCAGCAGGTCTGTCTTCCTGTCCCCACCCGCGGTCCCTGCTCAGAACCCACATGAGCGGCACAGGTTCTGAAGAGCCAGGCGAACCGACTGAGTTTTAGGGAAGTGGCTCCCAGGCCATGCCCTGAGCAGGGTCCACACATCTGTGCCCCAGAACACGTGAGTTCCAGAGCTTTCTACTCTCAGAGAAGCTCAGATGATGCCTTGGGGCCCTGAGACATCCCCCAGAAGAGGGCGAGGACATGGGGGTACCTGAGCCCTGAGCATTGTGAGGCAAGTGATAGCCATGCATCCCCGGGGCCAGCCTGGGCTGCCAGACCCCTGACACCCCAATGAGGCCAGGCCCGGGGGCTGCTGAGGGCAGGACTTGGACGCCAGGCCTGCTGGGGTGACTTGGAGGCCAGGCCCTCCCCACTGCAGGTGGCTGGTGGGGAAACAGCAGGTCATCCCCGAGCCCGACTCCCTGCTCCTCGATCCCTTCTTGATCCTCAGGGGCTGCCGCCCATGCCCAGAGCTGCTGTGACCTCAGCGTCCAGCAAGGGCAGCTGTGCCAGGCAGTGGGAGGGGGCTCACCCTGGGGCTCCTCGGCCACATTTGCCTTACCAAGCGGGGGTGTGGAGAAGGAGAAGGTGGTTGGGGGGACAGGGGTGGTGGGGCTGCAGGGGTAGACCCTCCTCTCAATGGTGCCGTTGGCCCCGCAGCGGGCGGAGATGCAGCCACCCGTGCCATCCGTCGTGTGGTAGATGACGTCCCCTGGGTGGAAGCGCTGTCCATTGTAGGTGCAGACACAGGCTATGGGGACGGAGGGCCCAGGCCCGTCAGAGGCTGGGCGCAGACAGAGACCCCCGGACCCCAGCCCCAGGGGCTGCCGGCCGCTCACCCTCAGCTTTGTAGGTGCACTCCACGCCGCGCTCCGTACAAAGGCTGGAGACAAGGAAGAAGGGCAGGCCGATGCGTGGGGGCGGCCGTGTGCCTTCCACGGGCATCCCATGCTACCAACGGCGGGCAGGGAGCAGCTCCGACAGGGGTGGAGTTCCCTGGGAACTGCATTGCACCCCCAGACTGGGGGACAGGAGGCCGGCCCCACCTGGGTCCCAGCAGTTGTCTCTCCAGCGTCAGCCCAAGGTCCCTCCCTCGTGGGGCCCCTCCAGTCGGGGGTCAGGGGAGGTGGGTGCCAGAGTGGAGCCATTACTTTCCAGGGGTGATTTTAATGGGCATCCTTCCGGTGGGGACCCTAGGGCTCCATCTCGGCCCAGCTTCCCCCTGCCGCCCCCTGAGCCCCTCGAGCCTGCTCCCCAGAGGTTGTGCTGGTTTTCTGCCCAGAGGAGCCCTACACCCAGTCCCGCCTCTGGGACTCAGGACATGGGGGTGCTGGTCCCTGAGAAGCTGATGTCACAGATGCCTGGGCCAGGACAGGACCCAAGCTTCAACTCCAGTAACGGGGAGGTCCCCAGCCCTGCCGCTCCCAGCCCCACCCAAAGCCCAGGCCGTGGTCAAATTCCCCTGCATGCTGCAGGCTCCATATTCCTCCCCCCAAAGGACTCACCAGGACTGGCAGTTCTTGTCCGAGGGCACCACTGCACCTGGCCGGTAGGACTTCCCATGGACGTGGCACCGTGGTGGCAGAGGCGGGGTTGGGCAGGTGGCCACACACTGCATCTTGTCCTCATCAAAGATGGGAGCCTCTGGTGGGCACTTGGGGTAGCAGCCTGTGGGCCAAAGAGGCCAGAGTCACAACCAGACCGAGTGTCGTCCACCTCGCTCTGGAGGGCTCCGCCCAGCCCCCAAGCAGCGGGCCTCGCCGACAGCACCAGAATGTGCTGGAAGCTGGGGCCACAGAGGCTCCTCGAGGGGCCAGGAGAAGGCCACAGGCGGCGGAGCCCAGGCCACCCTCCGACCGGCCCCAGCCCACCTTCCAGGCCCCGGACGTCCCGCAGGCAGTCTCCACGGGGGTTCCGGCAGGTGCGCAGGCAGGGCACCCCGCAGGGCTGGTAGTGCCACTCGCACTGGCCTTCGGGGTTGTAGTAGTCGCAGAACAGAGCTGCAGGGAGGAAGGAAGGGCTCGGTGGGGTCCCAGGAACTCACTCGCAGAGGCCCCGCACCCCAGGGCTGTTCTAAAGCCGCTTCCCTCCCCTGCACCTCCCGGCCATCACAAGATGGGGACAGGGGAGGGTGGGCCAGATCGGGACCCCCCAATTATCAGGGTGCCACGGAGGCTGCCACCAGAGTGGGGTCTCCAGTCAGAGCAGATCCAGCAGTGCCCGTTCCCGGCAAGGCTCCGTGTGGGCTAGAGCTGGGCAGCTCTGCTGACCCCACTGCCCAGAACGTTCTACCACGCCAGCGACCCGTCAGCCACGCCCTCCTCCCTAGAGCTGGGCAGCTCTGCTGAACCCTCTGCCCAACCATGCCAGGGACCCCTCCGTCAGCCACGCCCTCCTCCCTAGAGCTGGGCAGCTCTGCTGAACCCTCTGCCCAACCATGCCAGGGACCCCTCCATCAGCCACGCCCTCCTCTCTAGAGCTGGGCAACTCTGCTGACCCCTCTGCCCAGAATGTTCTACCATGCCAGCGACCCCTCTGTCAGCCACGCCCTCCTCTCTAGAGCTGGGCAGCTCTGCTGACCCCTCTGCCCAGAACGTTCTACCATGCCAGGGACCCCTCTGTCAGCCACGCCCTCCTCTCTGGGCCCAGGTGTTTCTGTTTATTTGGAAACCTTCCCCACCCGCCCCACACACCCCACGCATCAGCGGCGAGTGTGGTGGGGCACACGCTGCCGGCGCTTCCTGTTCTTCCCCAGGTGCCCACTCGCACTCACGGCAGATGCTCGGGGTCCGCCAGGACACACACAGGCCTACTTCATGGCAGGCCTGGGCGTAGGCGGCCACAGCCGTGCAGAAGCACTCGCAGTCACCCCCGGAGTCGCAGGCGCACGCGTCGTTCACGCAGGCCTCGTAGTACCTGGCCGGCTCCACCTGAGGGAGACGGGGCTTCAGGTTCCAGGGACCCCCCCACCACCCCGCGGGCTCTTGGGGACCGGGCCCATGCTGGCACATTGACCGGGGCCGAGTTCCAGTGGAGCTCAGGGAGGGCGAATGCCCATCCCCAAGTGGCCGGCTGGGCCCATCTGGATATCCACAGTGCCTGGGGCTTCCTCGGCAGCCCTTGGGGTTAACACCCCCCAGGGCCCCGAAACCATAGCTGACAGGTGTCAGAGCTGGAAGCCCAGCCCCTCTAGGCGAGTCCATACCAGCGCCAGTCCCAGCAGCCCACACCCTTGGTTGGCAGCTGTCTCCCAGACCCCATTCCCTTCTCCCTTCTGGGGGCTCCTTGGGTCACCATGACCCCCTTGGGCCCAGAGAAACGCCCCCCGGCCAGCATACGTGTGCGTGGCAGGCGGCGAAGGTGGGGCCGTGGAGGATGCTGCACTGCTTCTGGGCCCAGGACTTGCGGAAGGGGTTGGCCGTGCAGGGGTCCTTGGGCGCCAGGGCATCTGGGCAGGAGGGGGAGAGCTTCCAGCTGTTCCCAAACTCCAGCACGTCCCCCACCACAGACCGGCTCCGCGTGGCAAAGTCATTAACGGCGATGTCGTCGAAGTTCCCACACAGGCCGCAGACCCTGCCCTGCAGAGGCACCGGGAGAGGTGGAGGTGGGTGCAGCAAACCGAGAAGGCCAGAGCCACCCTGCCCCTAGGCCGCCTCCTCCCACCCAGGGCCACCCTGCCCTGCGGCCGCCTCCTCCCACCCAGGTGGCCAACAGCGACCACAGGTGCTGCTTCCTCCTTCCCACCTCCAGCTACACCTGGGGAGGCCCCGGGCAGTGCAGCTGAGCACCGAGGGCCGGAGCCAGAGGCAAGCCCCTCCTGGAGAAAAAGAAGCTGACGTGGCCTCGAAGGACCCGCCTAAGTCCTGACCCCGGCGCCTATGCATGGCACCTCACTGGGAGATGGGGTCTTGCAGACTGAGGTAATGAGTGGGTCCTGAATCCAATGCCTGGTGTCCTTATAAAAGAGGGAAACTTAGACCCAGTCACAGGGAGGAGGCTGCGTGAAGACGGGGCGGCGATCCAAGTGATGTGGCCACAGCCAAGGAGCGCTGGGGACCCCGGCAGATGCAAGGGGCCAAAAGGAGCCCCCCAGAGCCTTCTGAAAGAGTTCGGCCCTGTGGATGCCCTGCTGGACTTCCAGTGTCCAGGCTGCGGGCAAATCCGCCAGGGTGCGGGCCTTTGCTCTAGCCCCAGAACACTGACACCCAGCCAAGGAGTCTCCTGACCCGCTGCCCTTGCCAAGGCTCCGTCCCCCCCACTTCCCACCCCGCTTCCATCTCTGTGTTTCTCTCTGTGTCTCTGTGCCTCTCGTCTCTGCCCACCTGTTCCACGCTCCCCACCTCCAGGTTTCCAGCCGGCCCTGGCCTGGACGAGGGGCGTGGTCTCACCTTGAACTCGGGGCTGAGGTTGATGAAGATGCTGGTCTTCTTGTCCCACAGCAGCACCAGGCCAATGTCGGTGTCCACCACCAGGTAGATGCCCATCTGCCGGATGGTGTATGGCACCTCCTGGCTCTCGTCCGTCCCGATCACCTCCACCTTCCCATGGCTTAGCTTCAGCTCGAAGCCCTGCATGGCAAGGGGTCACTCAGGGCCCCCAGCAAGAACCCCAGCCCACCTGACCAGACGCTGCCATGGGAGCCTCCTGGAGGGCATGCGACCACCCAGCCTCGCTCACCCCCAGGAAAATCTTGATGGCCTTGGAGCAGGTGGTCCCTGTGGTGCCGCAGGGGACGTTCTCGGTGACAACACGAAAGGAGTCCTGGGTGCTGTCTTTCCCGCCACAGTGGTTCTGGGGAAGCAGAGGCCATCAAGGACCAGGCAGGCCCTGCCCTCCTTCCCGCAAGGAGGATGAGGCGGGGACAACCTGTGTGCACCCTGGGGCAGCCGCAGAGAGGCAGTGAGCAGCTTCGGGCCACGGGGGCCGCCGTGAGGACCCCAAACGCGCCGGCTCACCTGCACCAGCGTGTACTCGCAGTC
The DNA here is from genome assembly GCF_000001405.40 of Homo sapiens. Lineage (NCBI taxonomy): Eukaryota > Metazoa > Chordata > Mammalia > Primates > Hominidae > Homo > Homo sapiens. The sequence continues at coordinate 1,177,042 of NC_000011.10, read as the reverse complement.
TCCGTTGAAGCTGTAGCTCTGTCCGTCGAAGGTGAGGTAGTGGCCGTCCCCGTACACGGCGCAGGTGGCCAGGCAGGGGTCATCTGTGCACCGCCACATCCTGCTGTCACAGGTGCTGGGGGACATCTGGGGGTCAGGCTAGAGCACACACAGGGTGCCTGCCTGACTGGGTGCAGCCTTCCTACCCCTGGGGGGACCTGGCACCATAGACACGCGCCCACTGGGCCTCCCTGGCTGGGGCTGCTGGTGGCGTCCAGCCCTGAGTCTGTGCCCTGCGTTTTCCCGGGACCCCTGTGCTGGGGGCTCGCCCGTCTTTAAGGAGGGCCTCTGGTTTCCTGGGCCTGACACCCCCCATGGGCTTTGAGCCCCCGGCATACCAGGTGTTGCAGCCCACCCGGATGGTCTGGCCGGCCCGGTAGCTGGCCTCATTGTGCACGCAGGGGCAGTCCTCCGCAGTGATGCAGCCGCCCTCGCCGTCCGCCACCAGCCCGTCGGGGCACACGCAGCCAGGCACACACTGGGGGCTGTACTGCAGGGCCAGCAGACACCACTGAGTGATGGGGCAGGGCACGGGGCCTGCCAGGTCCTCCCAGGGACAGCTCACCCACACCACAGTGGAGGGACCACAGGACCAGGGAGTCCGGGAGCGCATGGGCAGGGGTCCTCTGGGACGTGGGGCAGCCCATGGCCTAATGTGTCAGAGGCTCACCACTGCCCACCCTGGGGACAGGCGCCCTTAGCAGGCAGGGGCAGATGGAGGGTCTGTCATTGGGGAGTCCTCAGGGACTTACACAGGTCATGTCCAGTGTGTGGCAGCTCTTCTGACAGCCAGCCCCTGTGTCCCCGGGCGTGGCATTTCGGCAGTCAAAGAACACCATGGGCGCAGCACACACTGGGGAGGGAGGGGCCGTCAGGGGGCCAGCCACAGGCTGCTGCGGTGCCTCAAACATGTGTTCAGGGAGGACGTGTCTGTGCCATGTGCGTGCACATTGAGTGGGTGCGTGTGCATGAGTGGGTGTGAGTGCATGTGCATGAGTGGGTGTGTGAGCGTGTCCATGAGTGGGTGTGAGCGTTGCATAACTGGGTGTGAGTGTGTGTGCATGAGTATGAGTGTGTGTGCATGAGTGGGTGTGTGTGCATGTGTGGGTGTGTGTGCATGTGCATGAGTGGATGTGTGAGCGTGTCCATAAGTGGGTGTGTGAGTGCGTGTGCATGAGTGGGTGTGGTGTGCATGAGTGGGTGGGTGTGAGTGCGTGTGCATGTGGGTGTGTGAGCGTGTGCATGAGTGTGGGTGCATGACGGTGTGTGTGCATGAGTGGGTGTGTGAGCGTGTGCATGAGTATGAATGGGTGTGTGTGCATGAGTGGGTGTGAGTGCGTGTGTATGAGTGGGTGTGTGAGTGTTGCATAAGTGGGTGTGAGTGCGTGTGCATGAGGGTGTGAATGCGTGTGCATGAGTGGGTGTGTGAGCATGTGCATGAGTGTGAGTGTGTGCATGAATGGGTGTGTGTGCATGAGTGGGCGTGTCAGCGTGTGCATGAGTGGGTGTGTGAGCATGTGCATGAGTGGGTGTGAGTGTCATATGTGCGCCCCACACCCTCCCTTCTTCCCCCTTGCTGCCTAGAGGGCACAAACCATGCCTGACACTGAGCAGCTGATGGACAACCACCAGCCCCGCTGACTTGTGGTGGGGCTAACCCTGAAGCCATTTTTCAGGATTTCTTATAGAGATGAGGAGGCTGGGGGCCACAGTGCCTCCTTTCTGGCACTCACCTGGGGCGGGGGCTTGGCCTCCGATGCAGCTCAGCTTCCCATGTGTGCAGGTGCTGTGAGGAGATGGTGGTCAGAGCCTCAGCCTGGGCCAGGAGACACGAGGGACCCCCCAGTCCACAGCGGGAGCTCTTACCAGATAGCCCCGCTGTCGTGCACCGACTCCCCATTGGGGATCATGGAGCCTCTGTGGTAGCAGGGACAGTTGCTGGCCTGCACACACTTGCCCGTGTCGTCCAGGAAGGTGCCCTTGGGACAGATGCAGCCATCCACGGGGATGAAGCCAACACTGCAGGTGATGTCCCCCTCGCTCAGGGAGCGGCAGGTGGGCTGGCAGGTGCTGACATGGTAGTGGTACGTCATTGACTTGGGGCAAGTGGTCATAGGCTTCGCTGCGGGATGCCAGGAAGAGGGGATTCTCAGGACACACAGCCCGGCAGTGGGCAGCCAGCAGTGAGTGAGCCCAGCCCTCTCGGCTACCCTCCCCTCCCCTCCTCGGCCGGGTCCAAGGCCACACTGACCTGGGCGCTCCTTGCCCTCAAGCCCAGCACAGAGGACGGGGGCCCTTAGAGCAACCTGTGCACACTGGGGGCACCCCAAGACCCGCGGCCACCCAGCGAGGGAAAGGGGCTGGGCTTGGCAGGCACTCACTGCAGACGCCGTCCCTCCAGCCGCCGAGCTGCACGCCCTTGGCGGCACAGGCGTGCACGTAGGAGGACAGCGCGGCGCACAGGCAGTCCTCGCTCCGCTCACAGTTGCAGGTGTCAAACATGCAGTTCTGCAGGGAAGGGGGTCATCGGGGCATCAGAGACCCCAGCCCACACCTGGTGGCCCCCCACGCCCTGCAGGCCACACATCCAGCAGCCAGGGTCCTCCCATCCCAGGTCTTCCTGCCCCCAGGACCCCTCTGTGAGTCCTCACAGGCATCCTGCCCCCTCAGCAGAATTGCTTGGCATGTCATGGAGCAGAACCACTGTGCAGAGCAGGGGTTACTGGGAGAACCAGATCCTTCATCTCTGTGACCCAACAGGTCCAGCCAAGACCAGCTTGCCTCAGACACAGCACATCAGCTCAGCCTTGGCCTAATTCTCATTTGGCCCCTGGGGCCAGGTGGGCAACAAACCCCTGAAGTTTAGCCCCTGGGCCTAGTGTAGGGCTGGAAGTGCAAGAAAAATGCCATAAACATGGTTAACCAATGAGTGAAGGAACGAATGAGGGAATAAGTGAGTGAGTGGATGAGTGAGTGAGTGAATGAGTGGATGAATGAGTGAGTGAATGAGTAGGTGAAGGAATTAGTGAGTAAATGAGTGAATGAGTGAGTGAAGGAATGAATGAGGGAATCAGTGAGTGGATGAGTAAGTGAGTGGATGAGTAATGAGTGGATGAGTGAGTGGGTGAGTGAGTGGATGAATGAGTAGGTGAAGGAATTAGTGAGTCAGTAAATGAGTGAATGAGTGAGTGAAGGAATGAATGAGGGAATGAGCGAGTGAGTGGATGAGTGAGTGAGTGGATGAGTGAGTGGATGAGTGAGTGAGTGAGTGGATGAGTGCGTGAATGAATGAGTAGGTGAAGGAATTAGTGAGTGAGTAAATGAGTGAATGAGTAAAGGAATGAATGAGGGAATCAGTGAGTGGATGAGTGAGTGGATGAGTAATGAGTGGATGAGTGAGTGAGTGGATGAGTGAGTGGGTGAGTGAGTGGATGAATGAGTAGGTGAAGGAATTAGTGAGTCAGTAAATGAGTGAATGAGTGAGTGAAGGAATGAATGAGGGAATGAGCGAGTGAGTGGATGAGTGAGTGGATGAGTGAGTGGATGAGTGAGTGAGTGGATGAGTGGATGAATGAATGAGTAGGTGAAGGAATTAGTGAGTGAGTAAATGAGTGAATGAGTGAGTGAAGGAATGAATGAAGGAATGAGTGAGTGAGTGGGTGAGTGGATGAGTGAGTGAGTGGATGAGTGAGTGAGTGGGTGAGTGAGTGGATGAGTGAGTGAGTAATGAATAAGTGAAGGAATTAGTGAGTGAGTAAATGAGTAAATGAGTGAAGAAATTCGTGAATGAGTGAGTAAATGAGTGAGCGGATGAGTGAATGAGTAAGTAGATGAGTAGGTGAAGGAATTAGTGAGTGGGTAAATGAGTGAATGAGTCAGTGAAGATATGAGTGAATGAATGAGTGAGTGAGTGAGTGAAAGAGCTAGTGGGTGAGTGAGTGAGTGAGTAAGTTAGTGAATGAGTGAGTGAATGGGTGAGTGGGGGGGCGAATGGGTGAACGGGTGAGTGAGTGGGTGAATGGGTGGGTGAGTGGATGAGTGAGTGAATGGGTGAGTGGGCGAGTGAGAGAATGGGTGAGTGGGTAAATGGGTGAATAGGTGAGTGAGTGGGGGGGCAAATGGGTGAATGGGTGAGTGAGTGGGTGAATGGGTGGATGAGTGGGTGAGTGAGTGAATGGGTGAGTGGGTAAATGGGTGAATGGGTGAGTGAGTGGGTGAGTGAATGGGTGAACGGGTGAGTGAGTAGGTGAATGGGTGAGTGTGTGGGTGAGTGGTGAATGTGTGAATGAGTGAATGGGTGGGTGGGGATGTGGGGAATGGAGCTGGACAGACAGACTGGGTTCCAGCCCCTGGTGCCCATCACAGCCTAGAAAGGTTAGTCCTGCCTGCTGAGCCCACCAGTGCCCTCCCAGCCCTCCTGGAGGCAGCCGTGAGGCTCAGTGGCTGGAGCCCCACCGGGCCAAGAGGCGGCAGATGTTACCGAGTAGTAGGTTCCCGGCTTCACGGCAGCATGGCACCGGCCGAAGGGGCCGTCGGCATCGGTCAGCTGCGAGCACCAGTGCTGAGCATACTTCTCTGTGGACAGAGGAGGGATAGGGTTAGGATTAAGATCAGGCAGCACACTCATCCCACCCAGCTTGGCCTCTGGTGTGGGGTTTGGGTGGCCAGCTTCTCTGGGCAGTCTGATGTTGGGCCCTTCATCCTGCTACACACTCAGCCTGGGTGGTGTGGCGCCCTCCCCGAGGAAAAGCTCCCCCAAACGCAGGGTACAACATCCAGAACCGAGGCTTCTCTCGTTTCCTGCATGTCCCACCCAGCCCCTCACAGCCTCTCACAGTGCCGCCTTCCAGGGACGCTAGTGACCACCACTGTGGACAGACAAACCAAGGCCCTTCTGGCCCCTCCACTGGGCTCACTGGACCCTGGCTTCCCAGGCTGCAGGAAGAAGGCCAGAACCAGCAAATGGGATCCCACCTCCCCACGGCTGGCGCCCAAGCTCTGAAGGCGAAGTGAATGACTGAGTGAGTGAGTGAGTGAGTGAGTGAGTGAGTGAGTGAGTGAATGAGTGGATGAGTGAGTGAGTGAGTAGGTGAGTGGGTGAATGGGTGAGCGAGTGGGTGAGTGGGTGAATGGGTGAGTGAGTGAATGGGTGAGTGGGTGAGTGAGTGTTGAGTGGGTGAGTGGGTGAGTGAGTGAATGGATGAGTGGGTGAGTGGGTGAATGGGTGAGTGGGTGAGTGAGTGTTGAGTGGGTGAGTGGGTGAATGGGTGAGTTAGTGAATGGATGAGTGGGTGAGTGAGTGGGTGAGTGGGTGAATGGGTGAGTGAGTGGGTGAGTGGGTGAATGGGTGAGTGAGTGAGTGGGTGAGTGGGTGAGTGAGTTCGTGAGTGGGTGAATGGGTGAGTGAGTGGGTGAGTGGGTGAATGGGTAAGTGAGTGGGTGAGTGGGTGGTTGAGTAGGTGAGTGAGTGGGTGAGTGGGTGAGTGAGTGGGTGAATGGGTGAATGGGTGAGTGAGTGGGTGAGTGGGTGAGTGAGGGGGTGAATGGGTGAATGGGTGAGTGGGTGAGTAAGTTGAGTGAGTGAGTGAGGTGAGTGAGTGGATGAATGGGTGAATGGGTGAGTGAATGGGTGAGTGGGTGAGTGGGTGAGTGAGTGAGTGAATGCGTGAGTGAGTGAGTGAGGTGACTGAGTGAGTAGGTGAGTGAGTGGGTGAATGGGTGAGTGAGTGGGTGAGTGAGTGGGTGAGTGGATGAGTGGGTGAATGAGTGAATGGGTGAGTGGGTGAGTGAGTAAGTTGAGTGAGTGAGTAAGTGAGTGAGTGTGTGAATGGGTGAATGGATGAGTGAGTGGGTGAGTGGGTGAGTGAGTGAGGTGAATGAGTGGGCGAATGGGTGAGTGAATGGTTGAGTCGGTGAGTGTGTGAATGGGTGAGTCGGTGAGTGGGTGAATGGGTGAGTCGGTGAGTGGGTGAGTGAGTGGGTGAATGGGTGAATGGGTGAGTGGGTGAGTGAGTAGGTGAGTGGGGTGAATGGGTGAGTGGGTGAGTGAGTAGGTGAGTGGGTGAATGGGTGAGTGGGTGAGTGAGTGAGGTGAGTGAGTGGGTGAGTGAGTGAGGTGAGTGAGTGGGCGAATAGGCGAGTGAATGGTTGAGTCAGTCAGTGGGTGAGTGAGTGGGTGAATGGGTGAATGGGTGAGTGGGTGAGTGAGTGAGTGAATAGGTGAGTGGGTGAGTGGGTGAGTGGGCGAGTGAGTGAATGGGTGAATGGGTGAGTGAATGGTTGAGTCAGTGAGTGGGTGAGTGAGTGGGTGAGTGGGTGAATGGGTGAGTTGGTGAGTGGGTGAGTGAGTGGGTGAATGGGTGAATGGGTGAGTGGGTGAGTGAGTAGGTGAGTGGGTGAATGGGTGAGTGAGTGAGTGAGTAGGTGAGTGGGTGAGTGGGTGAGTGGGTGAGTGGGCGAGTGAGTGAATGGGTGAATGGGTGAGTGAATGGTTGAGTCGGTGAGTGGGTGAGTGAGTGGGTGAGTGGGTGAATGGGTGAGTCGGTGAGTGGGTGAGTGAGTGGGTGAATGGGTGAATGGGTGAGTGGGTGAGTAGGTGAGTGGGTGAATGGGTGAGTGGGTGAGTGGGCGCGTGAGTGAGGTGAGTGAGTGGGCAAATGGGTGAGTGAATGGTTGAGTCAGTGAGTGAGGTGAGTGAGTGGGTGAATGGGTGAATGGGTGAGTGAGTGGGTGAGTGGGTGAGTGAGTGAATGGGTGAATGGGTGAGTGGGTGAGTGAGTGAATGGGTGAATGGGTGAGTGGGTGAGTGAGTGAATGGGTGAATGGGTGAGTGGGTGAGTGAGTGAATGGGTGAATGGGTGAGTGGGTGAGTGAGTGAATGGGTGAATGGGTGAGTGGGTGAGTGAGTGAGGTGAGTGAGTGAGTGGGTGAGTGAGTGAGGTGAGTGAGTGGGCAATGGGTGAGTGAATGGTTGAGTCGGTGAGTGGGTGAGTGAGTGGGTGAATGGGTGAATGGGTGAGTGGGTGAGTGAGTAGGTGAGTGGGTGAATGGGTGAGTGGGTGAGTGGGCGAGTGAGTGAATGGGTGAATGGGTGAGTGAATGGTTGAGTCGGTGAGTGGGTGAGTGAGTGGGTGAGTGGGTGAATGGGTGAGTCGGTGAGTGGGTGAGTGAGTGGGTGAATGGGTGAGTGGGTGAGTGAGTAGGTGAGTGGGTGAAAGCGTGAGTGGGTGAGTGGGCGAGTGAGTGAGGTGAGTGAGTGAGCGAATGGGTGAGTGAATAGTTGAGTCAGTGAGTGAGGTGAGTGAGTGGGTGAATGGGTGAATGGGTGAGTGAGTGGGTGAGTGGGTGAGTGAGTGAATGGGTGAATGGGTGAGTGAGTGAGGTGAGTGAGTGAGTGGGTGAGTGAGTGAGGTGAGTGAGTGGGCGAATGGGTGAGTGAATGGTTGAGTCGGCGAGTGAGGTGGGTGAGTGGGTGAGTGGGTGAGTGAGTGAATGGGTGAATGGGTGAGTGAGTGAGGTGAGTGAGTGAGTGGGTGAGTGAGTGAGGTGAGTGAGTGAGTGGGTGAGTGAGTGAGGTGAGTGGGCGAATGGGTGAGTGAATGGTTGAGTCGGCGAGTGAGGTGGGTGAGTGGGTGAGTGGGTGAGTGAGTGAATGGGTGAACGGGTGGGTGAGTGGGTGAATCCATTCCCCACGTCCCCACCACTCCACCCTGTGCAGGGGTAGGCGGTCAGGGCGGATGTTGACCAACAGAGACTTGTACCCTTTCTTTGACCCTGAAGCAGATGCCCCACATTCCTGAAGCTCCACATAAGCTGGGTTGGGCGCCCACCATGAGCCTGTCCTTGGGCCCCTTCGTGAGCCACCCCACCCGGCTCACAGGCACACGCAGGGCCGGCCTCGCTGCCTGCAGTGCCAAATGGAAGCGGGTGAACCAGCGCCAGGCGGCCAGCACAGAGGCGAGCCGTGGACACCCGTACCATTCTCCACGCTCAGAGAGCAGGGGTCCTCGAAGCTGTTCCTGATGTTGGGGCAGGCGGCCTGGGTCTTGAAGGTGTTGAAGAAGGCCGCAGCGGTGGCCTCCACCACCCCACTGAGGGTCCGGAAGTCATCGGCCTGGATGCTGTTGAAGTTCCCACAGAGACCTGGGGGCGGGTTAGGCAGGTTGAGGACCATGCGCCCTGGCCAGAGTGGGTGGGCTCCAAGCCCAGAAGGCAGCCCTCTTACCGCAGGTCTGCCCACGGAGCTTGGGCGCCAGCTGCATGAACAGCTGCATGGTGGGCACCAGCTGCAGGTTCAGCTGCAGGCCCAGGCTGGTCTGGGCGATGATGAAGAAGGTTGAGGGTCTGAAGATGGTGACGTTGGCTGGGGACACAAAGGACAAGGGTTTTGCTGGGGGCTGTGGGGCGGGACCCCAGGCAGCCCCGGGGTGGGGAAGAAGCCACTGCCCTCACCTGCAGAGATGGGCAGCTGGGTGTAGATCTGGTTCAGGAACACTTCCCCACTGGCCTTGATCACCACCACCTGAGGGCAGCCAGACAGATGTGTGAGCGCGGGGCAGGCTTGCGGCACCTCAGCCCCGCGGAGGCTGTGAAATGTGCCTGCAGGTGCCTAGGAGGCCTTTCCCTGCAGCTGCGGCTCCTACAAGGTGGCCTTGTGCTCGCCTGATTTTCTGAATTTTCTGCGAGGACCATGCCTTTCATTCTTCAGTGAAAACCAAGGTTATTAACTAAACATAAATTGACTTCAGTGGAGAAGCCATGCTGGCCGCAGGTGCGCCCAGTCCCTCCTTCCTGGGGCCCCTTGGGTCAGGTATGGCGGCCCGGGAGGCCCGGCCCTGAGCTTCTCCCTTTAGGGACAGTCACGTGGACCCATAAGTAATGGACACAGCCAGTGTTGCCAGAGGGTCCCCGCCTCTCGCTGTTCATGCCAGGGATGAAGGGCTTGGGCAGAGGTGACTTGCAGAAGAGACAGGCCCCTTCCCTCTTCCCGGGGTTTGCCCTGCCAGGCTCCACTCACCGTCTGCGCCCCATCCAGGCTCAGTGTCACGCTCTTCAGGCAGGTCTCGCTGTCCGTCAGCCCGCACCTGCGCAGCTCAGCCAGTACAGTGAAGGCACTGCTGTCACAGGGCTGCGGAACACGACACACCAGGGGTCCTCACACTCCATCCAACGCCCAGCCCACCTGGCCCTGCCAGTCCACCCGGCTGTGCTCCTCTCCCTCACTAGAAAACCCCACTCCACCATCCCAGTCCCCGAGAGGGAGGTGTGCTAGGAGGCCCCCAGGTGTGGACACCCAGGCACACACAGAAATCTGCATGCACCCTGAGGAGGCCACACTCTGCAACGCCAACTATAGGACCCTCTGGGAAAGACAGCACTCAGAAGGTGCAAATGCCAGCAGCTGCCAGGGGCTGGGCGAGAGAGGGGTGAGGAGCTCCAAGGGGTTTCAGGGCAGTGGAGCTGTCTGCGTGAAACTTCCTGGCAGGAACAAGACACTGCACATCTGTCTTAAACGTGGAATTTCACCACCACGAGGGTCGCTGATGTCAACCATGACCTGGGAGGTGAGGGTACCAGTGCAGCCTCCACCCCAGCGCAGGGTATCATCATAGGGAAACTGTGTATTGGGTGCAGGGTCTCATTGTGGGAGACTGTGTGTTGGGTGCAGGGTCTCATCGGGGGAGACTATGTGTTGAGTGCAAGGTCTCATCTTGGGGAGACTGTGTTGGGTGCAGAGTCTCATCTGGGAGAGACTGTGTGTTGGGTGCAGGGTCTCATCTTGGGGAGACTGTGTGTTGGGTGCAGGGTCTCATCGTGCAGAGACTGTGTGTTGGGTGCAGGGTCTCACCATAGGGAGACTGTGTGTTGGGTGCAGGGTCTCATCGTGGGAGACTGTGTGTTGGGTGCAGGGTCTCATCTTGGGGAGACTGTGTGTTGGGTGCAGGGTCTCATCTTGGGGAGACTGTGTGTTGGGTGCAGGGTCTCATCGTGCAGAGACTGTGTGTCGGGTGCAGGGTCTCATCTTGGGGAGACTGTGTGTTGGGTGCAGGGTCTCATCTTGGGGAGACTGTGTGTTGGGTGCAGGGTCTCATCGTGCAGAGACTGTGTGTCGGGTGCAGGGTCTCATCTTGGGGAGACTGTGTGTTGGGTGCAGGGTCTCATCGTGGAGAAACTGTGTGTTGGGTGCAGGGTCTCATCGTGGGAGACTGTGTGTTGGGTGCAGGGTCTCATCTTGGGGAGACTGTGTGTTGGGTGCAGGGTCTCATCTTGGGGAGACTGTGTGTTGGGTGCAGGGTCTCATCGTGCAGAGACTGTGTGTCGGGTGCAGGGTCTCATCTTGGGGAGACTGTGTGTTGGGTGCAGGGTCTCATCTTGGGGAGACTGTGTGTTGGGTGCAGGGTCTCATCGTGCAGAGACTGTGTGTCGGGTGCAGGGTCTCATCTTGGGGAGACTGTGTGTTGGGTGCAGGGTCTCATCGTGGAGAGACTGTGTGTTGGGTGCAGGGTCTCATCGTGGAGAGACTGTGTGTTGGGTGTAGGGTCTCATCGTGGGAGACTGTGTGTTGGGTGCAGGCTCTCATCGTGCAGAGACTGTGTGTCGGGTGCAGGGTCTCATTGTGGAGAGACTGTGTGTCGGGTGCAGGGTCTCACCATAGGGAGACTGTGTGTTGGGTGCAGGGTCTCATCGTGGGAGACTGTGTGTTGGGTGCAGGGTCTCATCGTGCAGAGACTGTATGTTGGGTGCAGGGTCTCACCATAGGGAGACTGTGTGTTGGGTGCAGGGTCTCATCTTGGGTAGACTGTGTGTTGGGTGCAGGGTCTCACCATAGGGAGACTGTGTGTTGGGTGCAGGGTCTCCTCTGGGAGAGACTGTGTGTTTGGTGCAGGGTCTCATCGTGGGGACACTGTGTGTTGGGGCAGGAGTACTTTGTGCTCAATTTCCTTGTTAACCTAAAACTATTCTCAAGAGTAAAGTCTGTTAAATAAACAGCCCAAGGTGCAGAGGGCCCAGTGCTGGGTGAGGCCCAATGCTGGGTGGGTGCTGGAGGCTCTGATCTGCAGCCTTCATGGCCCTGTGAGGACTAGCGCTGGGGAGCTGGAGTGCTTCCTTGAGGTCTCAACATCGGGGACCCCCAAGGGTGACCCCAGGGGCAGCAGTGACATGCAGCCAAGCTGGGGGAGCCTGTGGGAGGCTGGCCATGGGCCCCCTCTGTCCGGCGAGCACCCCAGGCAGCCAGGCCGTACCTTGGTCAGCACATAGCTGCAGTCGCCGTGCACCGTGTATTGCTTCCCGTCAAACGTTGAGAAGTGGGCACCTCCAAGCACAGAGCAGGTACCCGGGCATGGAACCTCCTGGCAGCTCCACCGGCCTCCGGAGCAGGTGCTGAGAGCAAGAGATGGTGCCACGTGGGTGCCGGCCCCAGGAGACCAGCCTCCAGCCTCCGCGTCAGGAGGCTGACCGGGTCTCACCCCAGGCCTGCCTACACCGTAGCCCAGACGAGGGAGCCTGCCGGCCTGGGTTGCAACCCCCAGCAGGTCTGTCCCATAGCACATCCTTGGTGGCCTGGAGGGGGGCTGGGACCTACCAGTTGGTGCAGTCTGTGGAGTAGGTGGCCCCTGGGGCATAGGCAGCCCCGTTGTAGACGCAGGCACACTTTGACACAGGGACACAGCCGGTCTGGCCGATGTCGTCAAGCACCGTCCCTGCAGGGGTCAGGCAGGCCTATGACGGGCGCCTGCTGTGTCCACGCAGTGGGCGTTGCAGGGGAACAACATGGCGGCCCCACAGCGAGCTGGGGCCTCAGCCAGCTCCAGGGGCCCAGGACGGGGGCCTCAGCCAGCCTCAGGGGCCCGGGACAGGGGCATCAGCCAGCCTCAGGGGCCCGGGACAGGGGCCTCAGCCAGCCTCAGGGGGCCAGGACAGGGGCCTCAGCCAGCCTCAGGGGCCCAGGACAGGGGCCTCAGCCAGCCTCAGGGGGCCCAGGACAGGATCCTCAGCCAGCCTCAGGGGCCCGGGACAGGGGCCTCAGCCAGCCTCAGGGGCCCGGGACAGGGGCATCAGCCAGCCTCAGGGGGCTCAGGACAGGATCCTCAGCCAGCCTCAGGGGCCCGGGACAGGGGCATCAGCCAGCCTCAGGGGGCCCAGGACAGGATCCTCAGCCAGCCTCAGGGGCCCAGGACAGGGGCCTCAGCCAGCCTCAGGGGCCCGGGACAGGGGCATCAGCCAGCCTCAGGAGGCTCAGGACAGGATTCTCAACCAGCCTTAGGGGCCCAGGAGAGGGGCCTCAGCCAGCCTCAGGGGGCCCAGGACAGGATCCTCAGCCAGCCTCAGCGGCCCAGGACAGGGGCCTCAGTCAGCCTCAGGGGCCCGGGACACTAGGACTGGGGTCCTTCTTCCGAGGCTTGGCCATGGGAGCACAGCCCCCTAGTTGTCGGGGTGCACCTGTGTTTCCCAGGGGCGGGGGAGCCTCACCCTCAGGGCAGAAGCAGCCGGCCACACAGTGGTCCTCACAGGCCCGGGAGTGCTCCTGGTTGGAGCAGGTGTCTGCGCAGGGGGAGCGGCACTCGTGGTACTGCATGTTGTTGGGGCACTTCTGGGCTGCGGGAGGCAGAGAGAGGGCTCACGTCTGCCTGCCCCTGCCCTCCCTGCCAAAGGGGTTGGGGGACAGGGGGCTGGGACACTCACGGCAGAAGTCAGGGCCCCGCCAGTCCTGGGGCAACCCCCCTGCATGGGTGCACTGCCGGGAGTACTCGGCAAGGGTGTGGCAGACGCAGCTGAGCAGGTCGGTGTCTTCACAGAAGCAGAGGTCTTGCCTGCAAGCCTCCAGGTAGCTGCCGACGTCCACCAGGGCCACGCAGCCAGAGAACAGCTGGCCGTGCAGGAGCTCCTCACAGATGCCCTAGGACAAAGGCCACAGCCCGTCTGAGTCCTCGGTGGGGGATCTGGACCGGTTCCCAGGCTCACAACCCCTCCTGCTCAACCTGCTGGGCCCTCTGTTCCCTCCAAGGCTTACAAAGCCAGTGGAGCAGTTCCTCGGGGGTTCAGGGACAGGGTCCTGACACTGGTCCGTGGGGTCGTCCATCTTCTGCAGGTTCCCGAATTCCATGGGTGTCAGCTTGGTGTCTGCGGCAAGCACAGAGGCGGGCTCTGCCTGCAGGTCCCGGTACCCGTCAGCCCAGCACCCGAGCAGCAGAGCCCCCAGGGCCGGGTCCCTGGGGTGGGGTTAGAAGGGCCATCGGTGGCTCCTGCCCCATCTGGATGCCTGAGTTGTCCTGACTGCACCCGCTTGGCCACCCCATGCATGCTGCTGGGACCCTCAGGGGGTCTGGAATGATGGGGAGAAACAGCCCAGGAGGTTGGTGTCCGGGCCACAGGGTGCCGCCGGCTGAGGCCTCAACTGACCCAGGACCCTGGTCTCCTCCTGCCAGGCTGGCTGGAGCCTGAACACCTCCCAGTCCACAGAACCCAGCCCCCCCAGCACTGAGCCTGCCTTGCCAAGGGCTGCTGGACACCCAGGCAGACTCAGTTCCCCACAGAGGGACACCCTGTACTCGGGGCTTGTATGGGGCTTCATGGGCCTGGCAGGGGGAGGCAGGGAGTGGGGCCTTGGCTGGTGCAGGTCACATTTGCAAGGCCACTGCCTGGTGGCAGAGACTCAAAGACCAAGAAGGAGGCAGGTCTGTCATTTCAGGAGAGGGCGTGCAGTCAGGGGTCGCCACCCAGAGCAGCCACACAGAGCAAGGGGCCCAATGGGCGATTTGCTCCCTGCCTGCACTCCTGAGACAGGCCGGCGTTGCGGGATCGCGTGTGTGCACGTGTGTGCTGTGCTAGGAGGGAGGGCAGCTGCATCCGTGTATCTGTGCATGTGTGTGCCCGGAGTGTCAGAGGGTGTGTGTGCACACAACACTGAGCCCCCAGGGGACACTGAGGAAGGGGCTGAGGGCGATGTGGGGCCTTACTGTGGGAGAGGAGCTCGCTGACCACGGGCATCCCGTTGAAGTCCCCACAGAGCCCACAGGTCTTGTTGGCGTATTTGGTGTCCAGCTCCAGCTGCAAAGGGAGAGACATCAGACACCCATCCCCACCAGGGGCAGATGGACAGATGAGGCTCGAGCCTGAGATTTCCGAGGAGGGGCCGAGGCCCACGGAAGAGACACCCCCGAAAGCAGTCTCCATCCTGGGGGCACAGACCCCGGGACACCATTGGTGTCTGGGCACCTGTTCTTGCCTGCTGTGTGGGGTGGAGTCTGACCCTGACTGGGCCCAGGGCACCTTCTACCCTCTCCGGAGAGGCTGTGGGAGCAGGCCGGCCCTCGAGGGCTGGAGTTGCACACCGGGACACCCCCACCCAGCCTCACCAGCAGGCTGTCATCGTGGTTCCACATGAGGACAAGGCCCAGCCTGGCCTCCACCTTGGTGTAGCTGCTGCTCTGCTGAATGAGGACCCCAGACTGGCTGAAGGGCAGCAGGACCCTGTGGAGGAAGGCAGGGCTGAGGGGCTGGGAGCGCAGTGAGGAGAGACCCCAGGCAGGGCAGATGCCTGCGGTCGCAAATGTGACACGGTCATCGTGACCGTGAAGTCGCGTCTGGGATGGGGACATTGACCTCTGGAGCTCGGGGGTCACGAGGAGCTAGGAAGGGGCAGAATAAGAGCCTGGGGATCCCAGGAGGGGCAGGTGGGCCACTCGGGGGACGAGGGAGGGCCCATGTCCAGCTCTGCTCTCAGGGGCTTCCTGAGAAATCCACATCCCTCCCAGGACCGCGAAACCCCGCAACCACCCGGAAATGCCACCCCACACGCCGCGTGGCCCCCACCATCCCAGAACCCAGACTCACGGGTGGCCGTTGACCAGGACGGAGCCCTTGGTCAGCTGGATGACCACGCCATCCACCTTCATGAGGACCCTGCTCAGCGTGGGGGCCGCTGACTCCTGGCTGCGGCGTAGCTGGATGTTAAAATCCTCGTAGGCGGCACCGCAGTGCTCGGAGAACACGTAGTTGCAGAGGCCGGGGAAGCGGAAGACGTCGCCGTCGAAGGTCTTGTAGTGGAAGCTGCCCCAGGTGCTGCACACCCGCCCGTTGTGCGCCGGGTTGGAGGCTGCGGTGGAAGCAGCATGGTGTTTGGGGGCGTCGCCCTCATCCTCGCCCTGCACCCCCTGCCTCTGCCCTGTACCTCCTGCCCCTCCCCAGGGTCCTGCAGGAAGTGCTGCTGCCCTGGACGGGGCACCCAGGGGTCCTTCCTGCATCTGGGAAGTCCCAGAAACGTGTGCAGGGAGATGCTGGGCCCTCTGGCTCCAATACCCACCCAGTGTTCACCCGGAAAGCTGGGGCCCCTCTCCACCCGGCACCTCCAGGCCTGAGCGGGGAGCTCAGCAAAGCTATGACCCTTCCCCACCCAGGCCTCCGGGCTCCACTCACCTCGTACCACAGGGATGGTCCTCAGAGATGGGAAGACAGTCGCCCCACGGAGCGGGACCCCTGCGGAGACAGGGGCTGGTAGGATTCACGCACGGCCCCACGTGGGGCGGGGGCTCCGCAGCCAGAGGAGACGTTCCAGAGTCAGCAGGTCCCAGCTCCTGGCTCCGAAGCCAACTCCGGATTCTGCTGCGTGTTGGGCCCCCTCCCACCCACCCACCATCTGCACGTTGTGTACTTGTGACCACACACCCTGCGTTCGGTGACTTTTTCATTCCTCCCGGCTGTCACCAGGAAGAAGTCCCCAGGGGCTGCCAGCTCTCACATGCCCATGGGCCTCAGAACCTGAGTCTGCATCAGCGGCTCAAGACAATCTCTCAGGTGCTGAGATTAGGCCTGTCTGGCCCGATTTGGAGAAATGCAATCTGAGAGTTTGCCTGAAGCCCCCTGCCCTGGCTGCCCTTGCCTGCCCTGCCTCTGCCAGGGCTGCTGGGCCTCCACGGGCTCCCGCTAGCACGAGCCACATGGGGACGGCCGGCGCCAAGGGAGATGCCCGTGTTGCTGAAGCGTCAGGAGGTGAACGGGGGGGACACCAAGGCAGGACCCAGCTCCAGATCCCCGGAGGGTGACCGGCTCCCACGGGACATGGGCACAGCAAATCTGCCCCGCCCTGCAGCTCCTTCAGAGCCTAAGCGCTGCAGGGGGCTGGCCCAAGGAGAGGCAGGTAGTGTGACCGACCAGGGCCATGGATGTGGGGGTGTCCTCCTGTCCCCCCAGGTTTGGTCCTCAGCAGTGGCCAGCTGGGGAGCCACCCTAAGACCAGTGGCCCTAGGGGCCGTGCCACACGGTGGAGGGTGGAATCTGACAGGCTTAGGGTGGGGGCCGGACACTCAGACTCACCGCTGGGCCCCCGGGCGATAGGAGAGAGGGCAGGGTGGTGCTTGTAGCTGGATTCGGAGGAGCCATCCTGGGCATGGCCTGCAGAAAGAGGAGGGGGGCTGAGCCCAGATGCAGGGTGGCTGAGGGGGCTCAGGCTGCGGCCACAGATGCAGCATGGACACCAGAGGGACGGGAGGCCACAGTGCGTGGGGGTGGCCCGTGGCAAGGGCTCTCTCTGTGCTGGGTTGGGGGGGTCCTAGGAGGCCTCTGTCCATGTGAGTCTGAAGTCTGAGCCCAGACCCTCCAGGAGCATCTCCTCAGCCTGGCCCCATGGAGCAGGTGGCGTCAGGACCCTTCGCCCCGATCTGGCATCCCTATCTATTCATTCCCACTCACTGCCAAGCGTGCCAGGCCCTGGCCCCCACGCTGCCACGCTTGGGACCCCTGTCCAGTACAGTGATCCCACTGAGGGGCTGGAGCAGTCAAAGGCATGGGAGGGGTCGGCCCCAAGACCACCTGGAGGACCCTGCCTCCCTACAAGCAGCAGACCCTGCAGGAGGCTGATCTTCAGGGTCCATAGAGACTGTGCTAATGTGCAGAATGTCACCAGATTTCAGCCCGGCCCAGCCCCGCACAGCCCTGCACAGAGCCAGCATAGTGGGACCAGACCACAGCCTCGCACAGCCCTGCACAGAGCCAGCATGGTGGGACCAGACCCCAGCCCCGCACAGCCCTGCACAGAGCCAGCATGGTGGGACCAGCCCCAGCCCCACACAGCCCCGCACAGCCCGTCGCAGAGCCAGCATGGTGGGACCAGCCCCAGCCCCACACAGCCCCACACAGCCCCACACAGCCCCGCACAGAACCAGCATGGTGGGGCCAGACGCCAGCCCTGCACAGCCCTGCACAGAGCCAGCATGGTGGGACCAGACCCCAGCCCCGCACAGCCCTGCATAGAGCCAGCATGGTGGGACCAGACCCCAGCCCCGCACAGCCCCACACAGCCCCACACAGCCCCGCACAGAACCAGCATGGTGGGGCCAGACGCCAGCCCCGCACAGCCCTGCACAGAGCCAGCATGGTGGGACCAGACCCCAGCCCCGCACAGCCCCGCACAGCCCCGCACAGCCCCGCACAGCCCCGCACAGCCCCGCACAGCCCCGCACAGCCCCGCACAGAACCAGCATGGTGGGACCAGACCCCAGCCTCGCACAGCCCCTCACAGCCTCGTACAGCCCCGCACAGCACCCCAGCATGGGGGGACCAGACCCCCCACACAACCCCGCACAGCCCCGCCCAGCACCATCATCGTGGGACTGGACCCCAGCCCCGCACAGCCCCGCACAGCCCCGCACAGCACCAGCATGGTGGGAGGGGCGCCCGGCCCAGCCCAGGACCTGCAGAGAGGGGTCTTAGGGAAAGCTGTGATTCGCCTGCACCCCAGCCCCAGCTTTCCAGTTCCCGCAACTGGCATAGGGGTCCTCAGGCCAGGCTGGGAGACCCCCCTCGCCCTCACACCCTCTGGCCCCAGTGGGGCCCACTGCATCAAATCCGTCAGTGGGCGGAGGGGTGTTAGCATCTGCAAGCCCCGTGGGGGAGACGGAGATGACGGCCTGAGCCTCACTTATCTAGTCCCAGCCCAGGCCTGCCCCCACCTTCTAAGCCCCCGCAGACCCCAGCCCCAGCTCCGCCCTCTCCTGGGAGCAGCCCCGGGACAGAATTCCTGCTTCTGAGATGAGGGTGGTACAGACGAGGGACGGCGGGGCAGAGTCCGACTAGGCCACAGTGGAGGGTGGCACGGAGACACCGGGAGAGGGTTCTTCTTGCTCTGAGACTGCCTGGCAGAGGGCCAGAGGCTGGGGACAGGGCTGGGCGAGGGACCTGGGTGGGCCATGTGGCGGTCTCGGCAGTGCTGAGGTCCCTGCCCTGCTGTTCCAGGAGCCCAGGAGCACCCACCCCCCTCCAAACCCCGGCATTACCCCATGGGGGCACATGGTCACCAGCAGACCCGGTCCCAGGTGTCCCTCAGAAGCAGAGGAAGGGAACTGCTGGCCCAGCAAGGGGCAGTCCAGACCACAGGACCTGGAGCCTCCCCCATCACCCTCTTAGCCTCAGGGCGGGGGTGAAACAGTTCCCTTGTGGGCCTCACCATCACATCCCAGCTCAGAGGCTGAGACCTCCCCCCGCAGGAGATCCCCATCGAGGCCCAGACAGGGAACGTGAGCTGGTGAACTGGGCATGTGTGGGGTGTGCAAGGGCAGGTGCCTGGGGCTAATGCCCCGACCAGGCCCAGCAGGGGCCATGAGCAGCTGGAGATACTGTGGGCCAGGTGCTGTCGGCTTCTGGGGACAGGTGCAGGGATCCGGGCCGGGAGGGAAAGCCCGAGATCTGAGCTCCTACTTCCCTGCCTCAGGGAATGGCCCAGCCTCAGAGGTCCGCGAAGCCCAGAGATCCCTTCCCAACCCCACAAGGGGAAACTGCTCGTTCGTGGCCAGGCCACAGTCAGGGGCTATGCTGCTGGGAGCCGTTCATGGCACATGCAGCCTGCCCGGAACCCAGGGCAAAGACTGAGCTGCCTGAGGCCCACTCAGTACCGCACCACCCAGGACCAGTAGAGCGGCCAGGGGCCAAGCCGTACCTGTATGCCGGGTGCAGGCCAGAGCGAGAGCCAGGGCCCAGAGCAGGGCCAGCTTCCTCCGGCCAACACTCATTGTGTGGACGGCGGGGAAGAGTGCCCTGTCCCTCAGCAGCCTCTGAGGAGGGACCCAAGGTGGCAGGAGCTTTTTGTAGCCCCAGAGCTGGCTCCAGCCCCGTGCTTCACGTGGGTGGGCAGGGCGGGGCCTGTGGTTCCCCCTCACCCAAGTAAACAGTGGGTGCTCACTGCGGGCTGGCCAGCGGCCGGTGGCAGGCGGAGATGGGTGTGTCTGCCGGATAGAGCCCAGTTTCCGAGGGCCCCCCCAAGCCCTGGCCTGCAGGGGTCCTCCCCACATACCCCACCCTAGACTCTCCCTGGGCACCGTGCCATGCCCAGCAGCCTGTGAGTTCCTGGTGCCCAGAAGTGAGTGCTCAGAACAGCCTTAAGGCACCTCTTTGACACTAATCCCTCTGCAGCAGGACAGGGGGCCCAGCCCAGCCTTTCCCTTTCCTGCCATTCCTCCCATGGCCGACCTCCTGGTTGGACCCTCCACATGGGCAGTGGAGCTGCCGACCTTGGCTGGGGAATGTGTGGCTGCCTGGGAGGGAGAGGCCAGCCCCAGCCCCATCCAAAGCTCCTTATGGTCACCTATTTCTCCATTTCTGTGCCTTTTACTCCCCATGTCTTGTCTTACCCGGATGCCTAGAGAGAGAGCACATGCGGCAGGAGTGTGGCGAAAGGAAAAATGATTGAGTGAGTGAATGAATGAGTAAATGAGTGATTGAGGAGTGAGTGAGCCAAGGCGTCCCTCAGGCCAGCCACATGCTGCCACTGAAGTAGCGCCAGCCAGCCTCACCCTCCCTGGAGAGGGGCTCCTGGCAGCAGCCTCCAGGCAAATGATAGAACCCCTCCCTCACCATGCAGCCCCCTCCCAGCATTGCCCAGGAGTCCACCTGTGCTTCTGTCTCCTGACCCCAGGCGGGCAGGGCCAGTTCAAGTCACTTGATGGTCTCTGGCCACCAAGATCCAGAAATGCTCAGTACCCTCTGGACAGGAAGCTGTTGACTGGTCCGAGCAGTCCCAGCACAGAAAGGTCCCAGTGAGTCTTTGGCCTGAAGGGCTCTGGCTGAGAAGGTGCTGTTGTGTGATGAACACTTGCCCAGACCACAGGTGTGTGGCTGGACACTGTGGCTAGACTCTCCCTCCCAGGCAGCCACACACTCCCCAGCCAAGGTCGGCTGCTCCACTGCCCATGTGGAGCGTCCAACCAGAAGGTCTCCCATGGGAGGAATGGCAGGAAAGGGAGAGGCTGGGCTGGGCCCTTTGTCCTGCTGCAGAGGGGTTAGGGTTGAAGAGGTGCCTCAAGGCTGTTCTGAGCACTTGCTTCCAGCTCTCTAGGGACCCGTCCCAAGCTCTTTATGATTGCCTACTTCTCCATTTCTGTGCCTTTCCCTCCCCATGTCCTGTCTTAGCCCAGGTGCCTAGAGAAAGAGCACTTCACATGTGGCAGGAGTGTGGGGAAAGGGAAAATGATTGAGTGAGTGAATGAATGAGGTAATGAATAAGTAAGTGGATAAATGAGTGAGTCTATGAGTAAATGAGTGAGTTAAAATGAATGTGAATGAGTGAGCGAGTGAGTGAACAGGTGAGTGAGTGAGTAAATGAGTGAGTAAATGAGTAAGTGAATGAGAGAGTGAATGAGTAAATGAGTGAGTAAATGAGTAAGTGAATGAGAGAGTGAATGAGTGAGTGACTGAGTTAATGAATAAATGTGAATGAGAGAGATAGTGAAAGAGTGAATAAGCAAGCAGTGAATGAGTGAATGAGTCAGTGAGTGAGTGAATGAGTGAATAAGTGAATGAGTGAGTCAATGAGTGGGTGAGTGAGTGAATGAGTGAGTGAATGAGTGAATGAGTCAGTGAGTGAGTGAAAGAGTGAATGAGTTAATGAGTCAATGAATGAGTGAGTGAATGAGTGAGTAAATAAGTTAGTGAGTAAGTGAAGGGGGAATGAGTGAGTGAATGAGTCAATGAGTTAGTGAGTGAGTGAATGAGTGAGTGAATGGGTGAATGAATGAGTAAATGAGTGAGTGAGTGAATAAATGGGTGAGTGAATGAATAAGTGAATGGGTGAATGAGTGAGGGAATGAGTCAATGAGTCAGTGAGTGAGTGAATGAATGATTGAGTGAATGGGTGAATGAATGAGTGAGTGAGTGAGTAAATGAGTGAGTGAATGAGTGGATGCATGAGTGAATGAGTGAGTGAGTCAATGAGTGAGTGAGTGTATGAGTCTATGAGTGAATAAGTGAGTGAGTGAATGGGTGAATGAATGAGTGAATGGGTGAATGAATGAGTGAGTGAATGAGTGAATGAATAGATGAGTGAATGAGTGAATGAGTAAGTGAATGAGTGAGAGTGAATGAGTGAGTGACTGAGTTAATGAATGAATGTGAATGAAAGAGATAGTGAAAGAGTGAATAAGTGAGCAGTGAATGAGTGAGTGAATGAGTCAGTGAGTGAGTGAATGAGTGAATAACCAAATGAGTGAGTCAATGAGTGAGTGAATGAGTGAGTCAGTGAGTGAGTGAATGAGTGGATGCATGAGAGAGTGAATGAGTTAATGAGTCAGTGAGTGAGTGAATGAGAGAGTGAATGAGTTAATGAGTCAATGAATGAATGAGTGAGTAAATGAGTGAGTGAGTAAGTGAATGGGTGAATGAGTGAATGAGTCAATGAGTCAGTGAGTGAGTGAATGGGTGAATGAATGAGTAAATGAGTGAGTGAGTGAATAAATGGGTGAGTGAATGAGTAAGTGAATGGGTGAATGAGTGAGGGAATGAGTCAATGAGTCAGTGAGTGAGTGAATGAATGAGTGAGTGAATGGGTGAATAAATGAGTGAGTGAGTGAATGAGTGAATGAGTGGGTAAATGAGTGAGTGAATGAGTGGATGCGTGAGTGAATGAGTGAGTGTATGAGTCTATGAGTGAATAAGTGAGTGAGTGAATGGGTGAATTAATGAGTGAGTGAATGAGTGAGTAAATAAGTGAATGAGTGTATGAGTGAATAAGTGAGTGAGTGAAAGTGTGAGTGAATGGGCGAATTAATGAATGAGTGAGAGAGTGAGTGAATAAGTGAGTGAGTGAATGGGTGAATGAATGAGTGAATGGGTGAATAAGTGAGTGGGTGAGTGAGTGAATAAGTGAGTGGGTGAGTGAGTGAGTGGGTAAATGAGTGAGTGAATGAGTGGATGCGTGAGTGAATGAGTGAGTGTATGAGTCTATGAGTGAATAAGTGAGTGAGTGAATGGGTGAATTAATGAGTGAGTGAATGAGTGAGTAAATAAGTGAATGAGTGTATGAGTGAATAAGTGAGTGAGTGAAAGTGTGAGTGAATGGGCGAATTAATGAATGAGTGAGAGAGTGAGTGAATAAGTGAGTGAGTGAATGGGTGAATGAATGAGTGAATGGGTGAATAAGTGAGTGGGTGAGTGAGTGAATAAGTGAGTGGGTGAGTGAGTGAGTGGGTGGCGACTGACTGAGCGAGTGATCACATTTAAGGCTGAGCGGCTGACAGGGTTAGGGTGGACCACCCCAGCCACTGGTGCTTCAGGAGGTCTGACTCGACCAGGTGTAGCCAGGGTTCCCCTGCCCTGGCCCAGGAGTGGACACCAGGTCGCCTGGTGCTGATGAAGGCAGAGGAGGGTCCTGGTAGTGGACAATGGGCCCCGCGGTGGGACCAGATCCCAGGGCCAGGTGGTTATGTCAGTGGGGCATAGGGAAGGGCTTGAGGGTCTGCAGGTGTGACCGGGACCCTGGCCAGGGCCGCATGTGAGTGCCTGAAGGCCTGCCCTCCTTACGCCCTCAGATAGACAGGAGGCAGTGGGTGAGTCAGTGTCCAGCCCCCAACAGAGGACAGGCCTGAGTCACTGGCCCAGTCCATACCGTGACCTCTGAACAGTCTGAGTCACCAGCGTGGCCCTCAGAGGGGAGTGCCCCCTGCGTGTCTGAGGCTGGGCCAAGCCCCGGGGCACCTGGCCAACTGGCCACCCAGGCCTTGCCGCCCCAGCCACAGCTTTCTCCTCCCTCAGCCAGACGTCACCCAGGGCCGCTGCTGGGGTCCAGCTGGGGTGACTTCCCCCCACCAGTGTTGGTGACCCCTGGCTGTGCTGGGCTTCCTCTTGGGGCCTGGGCTCAGGCACCCAAAACCCCTGGGCATGGGCCACGGGCTGACCACCTGGTCCCATGAAAACCCCACCAGGCCGAGGCCTCAGGAGGCCTGAAGCCAGTGCCTACAGTTCCAGAGCCTACAGCCCCAGGCTCCACACACCCAGAACTTTCCAGAAAACCCACTGGGCCTTGTTTCTGAGCCCTGTGGGCATTTTCTGTGTGTCCCCAGGGGCAGTGAGGTCCCGGCCACGCCACAGGCCTCAGAGGGGAATCTGAGGTGGTCACTGCAGCCTTGCTGGGGGCTCTCAGAGGGTGCAGGCAGGGCTGGCCGAGCCGTGGCGCAGCCACCTGCCTCCTGGGAACCCTCCCTGAGGCCTAAAGCTCTCAGCATATGCCCGGGAGTCCCACCCACCGGAGGGCTCCATGCCATCTCCAGTCCCCTCAGCTCCCAACCCCCATCCAGCACAATAACTCCTCCTGCTGCCTCCCAGCAGGGGCCCTGGCCAGGCCGGCTGGATACCTTCCCCCAGCCTGGGGCCGGTGTCAGCTCTGAGACCGGCAGCCAGGACAGGTGTAAGACCAGCGACTTGGCCTCAAAATCAGGATCACTCTTCCCCCGTGAGCTCCCGACCCCCCGTGGTAGCCAAGCCCAGCACTTGCATCTCGGAACCCTGATGCCCCGGCCACCCTGCCCGCAGCGCCGACCACTTAGCGGGCACGGCTGCGCATGCGGTCCGGGTGGGGCTGCAGCAGGGGCCTGGGGGCCGGTGTCTGAAAAGCAGGCGCAACCCCTAAAGCAGACCCTGCCTCAGCCCCTGAGAAGGGTGATGACCCCACCGGGCAGGAGTCCACCCTCCTGACTTGAACCTGCACCCTCAGGTGAGAGGCACCTTCAGGGAAGGTGTGTGCCTGGGACCAGCAGCTGCCTGTCATCTGGAAAGTGTTTGCAGGAGGGTCCCCAGGGCGGGGACAGTGCCGGGCAGGTGGGAGCTTTTGCTTCTGTGGGATGTGCAGGAGGAAAGCTGTGCATGGGGGTGGCACGTGGGCTCCGCCGGGACCGCAGCCCACAAACCTTCACTGCACTCTGGTGCGGGAGGCCCCACAGCTCTGGTCCTGGGCGGCCGCCAGTGCCCCTCTCTCCTCGGGATCTGACAGGTGAATGCAGACAGGAGGGCACTGGAGAAAGGGCGGGGGTCACGGGCCTGATAGGAGCTCCCAGCCAGGTATTGCCACAGAGACAACAGGATTGGGAATGGAGGGAGGCCCGGCCACATCCCAGGGCAGCACTGTCTCCTGCCGCCAGGTGCTGACCCCGCCTCCGGCCCCCTGGACTTGGGAGGAATTGTGTCGGTTAGCTGTTTGTCCTGGGTGACTAACTCAAGTGAGATTAACCACGGCCCGCACCACATCCGGTGGGGAAAGCCCCCTGTGGATGGCTTCGGCCCCACAGAGCTGGGGGAACAGCCTGGGGTGCCCCAGGGCCACTTCCCCTGGAGGAGGGAGTGAAGAGGGTCCTGCTCCCCAGGACCCCCCAGAACTCCCTGGGAGCCCCTTAGACACCCCCACAGGTGTGTATGTTCCAGGTTTCTCAGCCCCACCAGGCCGAGCGCACACTGTTGGGGGCACCTGGCCCAGTCTGCCCTCCAGCAGCATCAGGAGAGGCCCCCAGCCCGGCCTGAGCCCAGCCAGGACACCCCAGCCCGGTGGTTACTGGCCAGGTGAGCAGGGGAGGGAAGCACTGGTTTCAACATCGCAAGCCCTGGGCTGGGCTCACACTCTGCCCCCAGCCTGTCGCTTCCATCCCAGTTTCCGGGCACAGCCCCTAGGAGGTGACCTGCAGGGCCGCTGGGGTCAGCCTGGCTCTGGCTGGCAGGACCTGGGGAGGCCACGCCTACCCTAAGGCACCTGGGGTGGAGGGTGGGGGTCTGTCCTGGGGAGACCAGGGGAGGGCAGCTCCACACACCCTGCCCACAGGAGACCCCAGGGCTCTGTGGAGCAGACATCTTCCCTTCCAGGCGGGGGGTGGCGTAGGACTCCAGCAGCTCCCGCTGTGGGGCCCTGAGCCCGTGCATTACCCTCCTGTACCATCTGTTAAATGGCTCATTTAAAGCCCGCTGCTCAGAGCCCTGCTGCCCTAGGAGGAACCCAGCCATGCACCCCCACAGCGTCCAGGCATGCTAGGTCCCCTAGGAGGAACCCAGCCATGCATCTCCACAGTGCCCAGGCATGCTGGGTCCAGAGGTGAGCTCAGTGCCAGCCCGCCCCACCCTCCTCCTAGACTTGGGACCACTGGGGGCCTGCAAAGTGCCTGTGTCCTCATCCACAAAACGGGGTGGAGCCACCATGTTCTGCCATTTCTGCCACTTCCATGCTCTGAACATAGCCTCTCTCATGCCTGGTGGTTCAGAAAATGATGGTAGCTTAGCACCTGTGACCCTCAGTCTCGCCAAGGCCGGGGTGGGCCGTGGGGTCCAGGACAGCCCCTGGCCGGGCCTCTGACAGCCCATGTTCTGGGGGACGTGGCAGAATCAGGAAGCCTGATTAGGGCTTCGTGTGGGAATTGGAGAATGATTTCACAGAAAGACAATAGAGTTTCTCAGCGCTGGGACCAGGATACGCTCCGGCTTTGGAAGGGGAGGCACCCTGGGTGGGACTGGGAAACTGACACATGAATTATCAGCGGCTGTTGACAGAAAGAGCAGGCTTCGGCAGCAGATTTTTACCAAGCCAGGAACTTACACAATAAGGAGGAAGGAGGCTTAAATTTCTTCCCGACTTTACCAGGGGGCCCGAGGGAGAGCTGTGGCGGACGTACCCATGGCGGGGTTGGGTGGCCCTTGCCCAGAGGGAGCTGAGACCCTGCTGGGCCCTCTGGGCAGGGAGGGGGCAGAGTAAATTTGATTTTGTGGCAGGGCTGCGTGATCTGGAGCCTTCCTACGTTTATTTATTTTCTCTGAATCACTGGACAAACAGAATTCCTCCCAAGATGTGGCCTGGGCTACTGGAGCTCTGGCCCCCAAGGCCCACGGTTCTGGCCAAAGCGTCAGTTCCTTGCACCCGTGTCCACAGCAAGGGCCACACTGACCCCCAGGAGTGGCTGTCGGCTCCATGGGCCTCCCATGTGGCAGAGCCGTTCATCTGCACCTGCTTCCATCTTCATCTTCCCGGGCGGGCGGGCGGGTGGCGATGCTCCATGCTGGGGGCTCCCCTGTGCCTGGGTCCAGTTCAGCTCCTGGGAGCCCCGGCCTCCTCATCCCCCTCCCCCCACCCCTCGGCCCCCATGCCTCTGGTTCCCCTATTGCCCTCACATCTCCTGAACCCCAGGCACCTTCAGCAGGGCCCCTGAGTGCACATGCACCTGTGAGTAATTTGGGGCTGGAGACTCAGGGGATCACAGATTCTGGGGCAGATCTGTGGACCCCAGATCCCCTTCAGTCCATCGCCCAGCCAGTTTCCTGGGCCCCTCCCCTGACCTTGGTAGCCCCAAAGGCCCATGAGAGTCAGGGGATGCTGCCGGCTAGTCCCCTGCCCCCCTGCTCCACTGTGCACATGCTGCCCCTCCCTGATGGGGGGCCCTGCCAGGCCATGTGCACCATGGATCCCCATCCGGGTCGGCCTCGGGGAGAGGACCAGCCAGAGCGTGCTGCCCTCGCTGTGGTTTCCAGGGGCCCAGACCAACCAGGGCATTGGGGCACAGGTTAGCACCTCTGACCCCTGGGAGGACAGAGGGGCATCAACACAGGGTGGGGCGTCATCCACCAAATGCATACGCAGGGTGGGGCGTCCACCAAATGCATGCGCAGGGTGGGGCGTCCACCAAATGCATACGCAGGGTGGGGTGTCGTCCACCAAATTCTGACCGTGCATTTAAAAGGTATTTTTCTCAGTGCAAAATCACAAAGAATTGAAAGCAGGGTCAGCAGTCTTGTTGACCACAGCCAAGAGGTGGAAGCAGCCTGGTGTCTGTCCACGAATCTGGGGGAAAACAAGGTGAGGCCCATTGTGCCGGGGAGCACCAAGCAGCCCCCAAAAGGAAGGAGGCCCTGGCATAGGCGGCAGTGTAGGCGGATCCAAGGACATTGGCTTGGAGAGACAAGCCATCCACGGAAGGGCAAACGCCACGTGGTTCCACTACACCAGCGGCTGGGGCCGCCAAATCCACACACACAGAAAGCAGATGGTGGCCGCCAGGGCTGGGCAGGGGCTGGGCACGGGGAGTGGGGACCTGGTGTTTAACAAGACAGAGCTTCAGTTCTGCAAGACGAAGATGTTCTGGAGATGGTGGCTCTGCGGGCCGCACGGCAGTGTGAATGTCCTAACAGCACTGCACTGTGCACCCAGCAGTGGCAAAAAACGTCAACTTTATGTTATGTGTTTTTTACAACAATAAAAAATTGGAACAAAATGTAAAGCGAAAATTGCCCCCCTCGTCTTGAGAAGACACCCACGAATATTTTGATGGGGTCTTTTCAGATCTTCTGTGGACATGCGCCTGCTCCTCCTGTAAGGAGGCATTGGGTGCCTTTCTTGCTGGAGGCCCTGGGGAACTCGAGCTCAGCCTGGCCCCCTCACCCAGGGGGCCTCTTCAGGTCCAGCCTTCCGGGTTCATATAAAATACAAATATACTGGCCATGTCTCCAGGGATGTCTCGAAATACATGTCTCGAAAGTATTGGCTGAGGGAAGCTGAGCCACGAGGCATGGGCTGGGCCCAGCGTCCCCAAAATGCCCAGGGGAGGCTGTCTTCCCAGGGTCAGTGCGAGCCCAGCTCCAGGAGCAGGTGGGCCCAGAGACACCCACTTTTGGGGGCTGGAAACCCAGAGGTGCTGGGGGCCACCCCGTCCAGGGCCCCACCTGGCAGACACACCCCCGGTGTGTTCACAGCCTCACACTCACACCTGGACTGTTTGAAGAATGCACAGGTGAATAAGCCCTGTGTGCACCTGCTCTGAGCCACGCCCCTAGGCCAGGTGGGTTCGGGCCATGGGGCCAGCCAAGCTCCATCACCCTCAAAGGGCTCTGCTCGCCTCACCTCCCCTCGGCAGGCCTGGCCCACCCACCTGCATCTCAGAGCCCCCACAGTGCGCCCCAGGTGCCTGTCCCACAGTCTGGGGAGAGGGAGTAAGTAGGACAAGGGACACAGGATTAAAGGCCCTGGCACCTGAATGTGGTCCTGGGAGAGAGAGAGAGGGCAACGCGTGCCAGGCTAAACGGTGCAAGAAAGGCCCCACACTCACCCCACACACAGCCTGGGACTCACCCAAGGAAACCCCAATAGCCCATTCAGCTCTGTGGGCAGGACCGTGTGATCACAACGCACAAACCCATTGAACTGCAGCGACATGGCAGCAGTAGCAGTCCACACACACACACCATGCAAACACACACACACTCCATGCAAACAACACACACAAGCGCACACACACCATGCAAACACACACACACCATGCAAACACACACACACTCCATGCAAACACACACACACAAACACACACACACCATGCAAACACACACACACAAGCACACACACCATGCAAACACACACACACAAGCACACACACACCATGCAAGCACACACACACCATGCAAACACACACACACAAGCGCACACACACCATGCAAACACACACACACACCATGCAAGCACACACACACAAGCACACACGCCATGCAAGCACACACACACCATGCAAACACACACACGCCATGCAAGCACACACACACAAGCACACACACACGCCATGCAAACACACACACACCACGCAAGCACACACACACAGGCACACACACACCATGCAAGCACACACACACAAGCACACACACATGCCATGCAAACACACACACACGCACATACACACCATGCAAACACACACACACACCATGCAAGCACACACACAAAGCACACACACACCATGTAAGCACACACACAAAGCACACACACACAATGCAAGCACACACACACTATGCAAGCACACACACATACCATGCAAACACACACACAAGCACACACACGTACCATGCAAACACACACACACAAGCGCACACACACATCAAGCACACACACCATGCAAGCACACACACAAAGCACACACAACATGCAAGCACACACACAAACACGCACACAACCATGCAAACACACAAGCCCACACACACCTGCATACACATACATGCAAACACACACAGAACCTTGCAAACACACAAACATGGAAACACACATACATAACTCTGCAAACACACACATGCAAACAGACACACACACAACCCTGCAAATACATACACAAACACACACACATGCAAACAGAGACACAACCCTGCAAACACACATGCAAACAAGCAGATGTGCACACACAGAACCCTGCAAACACACGCACATGCAAACACATGCAACCATTCAAACACACAAACACGCAAGCACATACTCACAACCTGCATACACACACATGCAAACACATATAGAACCCTGCAAACACACAAACACAGAAACACATACACAAGCCTACAAATACATACACATACAGACACATAACCCTGTGAACACACACACACACACACACACACACACACACTGGCACTCTTGGTTTTCCTCGGTGTGTTTGCCCGGTACAGGTGACAGCCTATTTCTGTGCTCTCAGTTCGTCTCATTAATCTGAATGTCTAAGTTTATATCAATGTCACTCCGTCTCGACTAAGAGCTTCATTCTAAGTCTTGGAAATGTTTTTTTCTGCTTCGTCAAGATCGTCATGGCTATCCCAGGTCTTTTCCATGGCCGTATAAATTTTAGAAGGCGCTTGTCAATGTCCACCCAAAAAAAACTGGATTTTTTATTGGGATTGAATTTACCGATCAGTTTGGAGGAAAATGACATTTTAACAATATTGAGTCTTCAACTATATTAATACATCTCCACATATTTTGGTCCTTTTGAATTTCTGCAATTCTTTGCAGTTTTTAGTGTAGAGGTCATGGGGACATTTTGTTAAATTTATTTCTAGGCAGTAGCAGTTTTTTGATGCTCTTTTCTACTAGTTTGTTGCTAGCATATAGAAATGCAGTTTTTAATATACTGACAGCATTAGCCTGAATGATGGCCCCAGAGATGCCCGCATTCTAAACCCTGGAGCCATGGGGGAAGGGACCTGGTGGACAGAGTGATGGGCCTTGGGTGGGGAGGTTGTCCTGGATTATCTGGATGGGCCCGAAGTAACCACAAGGGCTCTTGTGAAAGAAGCAAGAGGGTCAGAGAAAGAGGTCAGGCAGACAGAGACAGCGGGAGGAGAGGGAGGCAGTCGGGGAGAGCAGAGGCTCCCGATGGCTCTGCAGGTAGAGGACGGTCCGCCGGGGAAGAGACGCGGCCTCCAGAGCGGGAAGAGGCGAGGACGTGAACCCTCCCCTGGAGCCTCTGGAAGGAACGCAGTCCTGCGAGCTCCCTGGAGACTTGGCACCCCCGGACCGCACGGCGTGAGCGTGCTGTGCTCAGCCACAGGGCTGTGATCCTTTGCCACGGCAGCAGCCCGGCTCCACACAGCCAGGATGGTCTTGGTGGCAATTGCGGACCACACGTGACTGTAACAGGTTTACCACTCTGCACCTTAATGGCAGCTTAAACACATAACATCCCTTAGGGAAAACCTAAGTGGCAAACACTTTATGCAAAGTAACATCTCTTAAGGGGTCCTGGATCTGCAAACACGGTTTGAGCAAAGTGACGTTTCCCAGAAAGTGCCCATGGCCCGTTTTGCAGAATAAGGAGGGTCCAGGGGAGGGGAGAGGAGAGACGCCAGAGACAGGAAAGAGGCCAGAGACAGCCCTGCCGTGTCCACCCCCAGCCGCTTAGGCTGTTTGTCTTTTTTTTTTTTTTTTTTTTTGAGACGGAGTCTCGCTCTGTCGCCCAGGCTGGAGTGCAGTGGCCCGATCTCGGCTCACTGCAACCTCTGCCTCCCGAGTTCATGCCATTCTCCTTCCTCAGCCTCCCGAGTAGCTGGGACTACAGGCGCCCACCACCGCGCCCACCTAATTTTTTGTATTTTTAGTAGAGACAGGGTTTCACCGTGTTAGCCAGGATGGTCTCGATCTCCTGACCTCGTGATCCGCCCGCCTCGGCCTCCCGAAGTGCTGGGATTACAGGCGTGAACCACTGTGCCCAGCCTCTTTTGTCTTATTCACATGTTTGTTATCAATTTTCAGTTGTATTTTGTTAGAGACCATAGCCACAAAAATTAATCTCACATTAGGCCCCAGAGAAAACTGCAGCCAATTCCGTAGACAACAAATTGGACAGAATTACACACTAACAAGAGTGAATTTTACTGTATGCAAATTATACCTTGAAAATAAAAAATACATGTAAAAAAGATTAATTTTTGTAACTATTCTATGGATGCCTAAGATGAAGGAGTATTATCTGTATTAGAGAACAAAGTTTGAAATAAATGTGTAAATAAATCTTATTAATTACATAATTCAAATCTTCTCTCCACCTCTTGCCTACTCTATCTGTCATGGAGTAAGATACTATAACTGAACTTTTTAAAATTTCTCTGCACTTTTTCCGACATCAACTTTACATATATCTTTCATTTTTTATTAAGATATAATTTGCATACAGTAAGATCCACTCCTGTTAGGGTTACAGTTCTGGGAGCTGTGATGAACACACAGTCAGGTAACCATCACCACACTCAGAGACAGTCGCTCGGTCACCCCACGAGGTCCCCCGTGCCCTGTACAGCCAACCCCGTCCCCTCTCCCAGTCTCCAGCCACCACATATCTGTTTTGCACCCCTACAGGTTTACCTGCTCTGTGATGGTATATAGATATAGATATAGGTATAGATATACATATAGATATAGATCTGATGGAATACTACTCAGTCATAAAATGGAATGAATTAACAGCTTTTGCAGTGACCTGGATGAGATTGGAGACTATTATTCTAAGTGAAGTCACTCAGGAATGGAAAACCAAACATCATATGTTCTCACTGATATGCGGGAGCTAAGCTATGAGGATGCAAAGGCATAAGAATGATATAATGGACTTTGGGGACTTGGGGGGAAGAGTGGGAGGGGGTGAGGGATAAAAGACAAAAAATATGGTGCAGTGTATACTGCTCAGGTAATGGGTGCACCAAAATCTCACAAATCACCACTAAAGAACTTACTCATATACCCAAATACAACCCAGTAACTTATGGAAAAATAAAATAAAAATAATAAAATTATTTAAGCAAAAAAAAAGAAAAAAGGAAAATCAATGGGTTTTTTTTTTCCATTCATGGTAAACCATTTGCCAATTCTAATATTTTTCAGAACTGTTTGTGGGAATAAAAATGGATTCTAAATGAAAAAAAAGAAAGATTTCTTTCATCGGCATTTTGTAGTTTTAAGCACACAAGTCCTCCACGTTTGGTTAGATTTACGCCTACATGTTTCAAGTTATTTGCGTGATTGAGAATGGTGGTATATTTTTAAAGTCGATGAAGTCATGGTCATTGCTACTAAATAGAAATACTATTCATTGTTGTGTGTTTATCCTGTATCCTTTGACCTTTCTGCACAGACATTAGTCTTGGATTTTTTTAAATTTCAGTATCTTTGGAATTTTCTATATAGACAATCATGTCACTTAAAAATAGGGACGGCTTTATTTCTTCCAAACGAATTGCCTTTTATTTCCTTTTCTTGCTTTATTGCACTGGCAGAACTCCCAGCAGTACGTTGAATAAGAGCGATGAGAGGGGACACCCTCACCGTGCTCCCAGTGTCAGACAGGAAGAACTCAGCCTTCACCATTAGGTACAATGTTAGCAGGAGTGGTTTTTGCTTTTTGGTTTCCTTTTTTTGTAGCTGTTCTCTATCTCATTGAGGAAATTCCCTGTATTCTTATTTTTTGAGAATTTATAAGAATGAATGTTGAGTCTTTTCAAATGTTTTTGCTGCTCTGATTGATAGGCTTGTGCAATTTTTCTTCTTTGGCCTGTTAATATGGCTGGTTGCATTAATTTTTTAAATATTGACCTGGCCACCTTGCATTTCTGGAATAGATCCCTCTTGGTTAAGATGGATAATGCTCCATATAGCACTGAATTCTCTTTGCTGTTATTTTGTTAGAGTCTGTATCCATCTTCATGAGGGGTGTTGGTCCATAGTTCTGGTTTGGATTTGCTTTGTTTTTCTCCTGCCTGTATGATTTCAGTATCTGGGTCATACAGACGCCCTCCTCTTCTACATTCTGGAAGAATTATGTATGATTGGTGTTAATTCTTCTTTAAAGTTTTTACAGAATTCACCGCTGAACTCATCTGAGCCCGGAATTTCTTCTTTTGGAGTTTAAAATTATAAATTCAATGTTCTCAACCATTTATTGGGCTGCCCAGTTATCTATTTGTGTTAGCTGAGTTGTGATCACTTGTGCTTTTTGAGGAACTGGCATATTTCATCTAAGGTGCCAAAGTTCTGTGTGCAGAGTTGTGTGCCACAGCCCCTTGTCACCCTCATGATATCTGCAGGGTCTGTAGTGATTGCTCCTGTTTTAGTCCTGTCCTTGGTCATTTGTGTCTTTGCTCTTGTTTCTTGCTGTAATGCTAGAGCCTTGTCCGTGTTATTGGTATTTTTCTTTCTGCCACTGTCTCCCTGCTTTCGGTTTCACTGAGGTCTTTACTCTTTCCTTCCTTCAGTTTGCTCTGTGTGCAACCTGTGCTTCTTTTTCTCATTTCTTCAGTGGGTGGCATAGATTACTGACTTGACTCATCCTTTTTTCTAGTGTGTTCTGTTACTGCTACAAATTTCCCTCAGCACTGCTTTGACTGTATCTCTCTAATTTTTTTTATTTTTATTTTTCAGAGATAGGGTCTTGCTATGTTGCCCAGGCTAGATTCAAACTCCTAGCCTCTAGTGATGCTCCCACCTCAACCTCCTGAGAAGCTGGGACCCCAGTTGCATGTCTCCATGCCTGGCTATGTCCCTCAATTTTTGATATGTTGCATTTTCGTTTTCATTGAGTTCAATGTTGTTGTTTTTTAAAACTTCCCTTGAGACTTCCTCATTGGCCCACAGATTATTTGGAGGTCTGTTCTCTAGTTTCTGAATGTTTGGAGATTTTCCTGTTAACTTTCTGTTGTTCATTTCTAATTTGATGTCATTGTTGTCAGAGAACATGCTGGAGTGTGATGTCAGTATGTGAAATGTGCTAAAGTTTGTGTTCAGGCCCAGGACACGGCCTCTCCTGGAATGTGTTCCGTGCACATTTGAAAAGAATGTGTGTTCTGTGGTTGGGTGGAGCTCTACAAATGTTGGTCCTGTTGGTTGATGGTGTTAAGTTTTTCCACATCTTTGTTGATTTTCTGCCTAGTTGTTCTATTAATTGTTTAGACAGGGGTGTTGATGTCTCTAGCTATAATTAGAAATGGGTGCATTTCTCCTTTCAGTTTTATCAGATTTGGTTCAACTATTTTGAAGCTTTCAGGGTACATCTTCTGGTGGAAATTTCTCTTACTTTTCCTTCATCTGAAAATGCCTTAACTTCCTCTTCCTTCTTCGGGGATACTTTCACTGAATATAGCATTCTGGGCTGACAGTTCCTTTCTGTCAGCATTTGAAAAATGTTGTGCTCTTTTTGGCCTTTGGGGTTTCTGATGAGGAATCAAATGCCACTCAAACTGTCTTTCCCTTATATGTAAAATGTTGTTTCTCTCCTGCTACTTCCAAAATTTTTTGTTTTTATAGTTTTCAAAAGTTTGACTACGAGATGTTTTGCTGTGGATTTTCTTGGGTTTATCCTGTTAGGGGTTCATCGAGCTTCTTGAATCTGTGGGTGTTTTGGCAAGTTTGGGGAGTTTTCAACCTTAGGTCTTTGAGCTCTTTTCCATCCCCATCCTCTTTCTCTCCTCCCATGACCCCAACACCTGGAATGCTGGGTCTCTTGTTCTAGCCCTATGGTTCCTGAGGCTCTGTGTGTTTCTCTCATCCTGTTCAGTCTGTTTTCTCTTCGCTGATGGGTCTGATAACGTCTATTATTGTACCTCCCTGCTCACTGTTTCTTCCTCTCACTGGACTCTCCCTCTACTCTGTGTTGAGCCCATTCATTGAAGTCTTGTTTTTGTTTTTTATCTCTTCAATTATTGTAATTTTCAGTTCTACCATTTCCATTCAGTTCGTCTTTGTGTGTTCTGTTTCTGTGCTGGGATTTTCTATTATCTGTTGAGACTTTCTATTTTTAAATTGGTTTCAATTTGTTCACAAATGAAGCACTTTATGGGCTTCTCAAAAACCCTTTCCAGATCATTCTAACACCTCTTTGTCTCAGGGTCAGCCTCTGCTGATTGTCCTTTTGAATTCAGTCTGAGATCTTCCTGGGTCTTGGGATGATGAGCAATTTGTTATTGAAACCTGGGCATTTTGGAGATTGCTACGAGACTCTGGATCTTATTTAAACCTTTCTCGTTGACTTCCTCTGGCACAGATTAATGAAGGGAAGGGGCAGCTTGTGGTGTGGAAGTGCTCATTCCCCACCGGCCCTCTCTTAACACCCCAGGGGTTTTGTCCATGCCTGCCGGGCAGGGTGGAGCCCTCACCGATGCCTTCTGGCTGGGAGGGGCATGGCGCCTCGTTGCTGCTCTCATTCCCTCCACGGGCATGATGGAGGGGGCCCTGTTACACTGAGCAGTGGTCAAAGTCATGACTCTCGGCTCAGCCTCCTCTGACACTCCTCATGGGGAAGAGGAGGAGTGTTTCAACACCAGGGATGGGGTGGAAATCCAAGCTCCCTAACCCCGTGTGGTCTCCACCATCCCCATCACTGGTCACAGAGAAAGCGGTTCAGAACCACCCACTGGGATGACCCCAGCCTCCTGCTGTGCCCACTTGGACACCAGCCCTGGGGCCACCTGGGGCGCCTCATTCCAGCCACCAGGGTGGGTGCCCAGCCCTGCCCAGCCCTGCCCAGACTTTGCTCCAGTGGAGTGCAGGTTTTCCGTGGTGTTCAGCTGGAGCAGGGCAGTTATCACCTAAAAGCC
This sequence comes from Homo sapiens, assembly GCF_000001405.40. NCBI lineage: Eukaryota > Metazoa > Chordata > Mammalia > Primates > Hominidae > Homo > Homo sapiens. The sequence goes on along the minus strand of NC_000011.10, from coordinate 1,140,895 downwards.
TTCTGCTTTGCCGGGCAGCTACTTTCCTGATCACGCTGGCTCCAGGAGGCGGGGACTGGTGGGGCCTTTTTTTGGTGTACATGTGTTGAAGTGTCCACACTGCCAGCTTCTCCAGCTCCAGGCCTGGGATCCATGAGGCAAAAGCAAAACCCAGGGAACTTGCAATGGGTCTTTCCTGGGGCCCGAGGTCCCCGACTGGTCTGCCCTCTCCTCTCCACCTTCCGGAGCCTTCCTACATTTCTTTCATGTCTAATATTCAGGATTCTTCTTTGTACTTAGGAGGAAGACAGGGAAAAGAAGAGCTATGCCATCATCTGGGAGCAGCAGCACTATGTTTTTTAATGAGTAAAAATCAAAATAAATCACCATTGTTTCTTCTGCTTCTTCTATAAACTCAAACTGATCCTCTTTGTCGTGTTCGGTGTTCATATCTTAACCCCGCCTTTCGATTTATTAATACTACGGCCACAGCTCTGCCTCTGCTGGCTTTTGTCTCATATCCTGTTGCTTTTTGTTGTTGTTGTTGTTGATGGAGTTGTGCTCTTGTCACCCAGGCTGGAGTGCAGTGGCACTCAGCTCACTGCAATCTCAGCTCACTGCAACCTCCACCTCCCAGGTTCAAGCAATTCTCCTGCCCGAGTAGCTGGGATTATAGGCACGCGCCACCACGCCCGGCTAATTCTTGTATTTTTAGTAGAGACGGGGTTTCACCATGTTGGCCGGGCTGGTCGCAAACTCCTGACCTCAAACCCACCTTGGCCTCCCAAAGTGCTGGAATTACAGGCGTGAGCCACTGTGCCCGGCCATGTTGCCTTTCGATTTTAACTTTGCTGGGGCATTCGTTTTAGCTGTGTCTCTTTCAAACAACGTGCAGTGAGGCTGTGGGCGTGCTCTTTTCTTTTCAGCCCCATCTCCAGCCTCCTTTTCATAGGGGCATTCAGTCAGCCTTTACTGCCATGGCTTATCGCTGGCTCCTCAGTCCCTGGCCTGAGAGTCCTGACCTTTCTCCGGTCTGTTCTTGTGCAGCCGGGTTTGTGCTCCCTTTGCCGTTTCCTCTTGCAGGTCTTCACTCTGTTTTCATGACTATAGAGGTCATCCTTTTAACCCTGGGATCTGTGTTTCTATGAGTGACCCTGATTTGCTTGTGCGTGTGGAAGAGACGTCACTACCCCTTCCCTTCCTCCTGCTGGCCCCTCCTTTCCAGGTCTCAGTTCTGGGCTGTGCACTCTGGATTGTAAACATGACACCTCCCCTTGTCCTCCTCCAAGAATTGACTGTGCTCTTTGCAATCTGTGGCAGCCATTGCAGCAAATGGCCGGGATGACCCCTAAACCCAGTCATTCCAGACCTTCTGAATGTACAACTTTGCCTTTCTTGAGGTTTGGTTTTGTCTGCCGCTTTTGTGGTTTTTTGCTGAGATTGTATCTTGATGGGCTGATGTATGTCTTCCAGTCCTTTCTGTTTGCAGGAAAAATGCATGGGAAATATTCTTTCTAATTGATTGCCTTAGCAGTTTTCCAGGGCCTGTTCCCCCACCCCAGGGCTTCCCTGCAGCTGCTTCTGTCTGAGCACCCCGCCTCCTCCCACCACCCCCGCCTCCCCCAGCTACCCCCTCCCTCCCCCAGCCACCCCCCGCCTCCCCCAGCCACCCCGTGCAAGGCCATCTCCCCTGCCTACACCCCGCTCAGCTCCCCGTATTGAATTTCCCCACAGAAATGTGTTCCCTTCTGCAGTTACCCATTGATTGATGAGATTATACAACTGAAATATTATGATCCCACTAAACTCTTATCCCACTGACAAGAAGGATCTTGTCTGGTTTTGTGCACCTTGATGAATGACACGTGAGAGACTCTCAACTAGCCGAATAAATGAAGTCTTGCTTTGACTCAGACATGTTTTATTTTATCATCGCTTCAATATTGCTGTTTTACAGGTAGGGCAAGTTCAGCCCACCGTCTTGCACTTTGCTTTATGTGTAACCCATGCATTCTTTGTTCCTTCGATCTTCTTTGCCTGCTTTCCTTTCAGTGAATCGATATTCTTGTTTTCTTTTGAAATAAAATTTGTTGAGATATAATTTACCCATAATAAAATCAACTCTTTTTTTTTTTTTTTTTGAGATGGAGTCTCGCTCTGTCATGAGGCTGGAATGCAGTGGCATAATCTCAGCTCACTGCAACCTCTGCCTCCCAGGTTCAAGTGATTCTCCTGCCTCAGCCTCCTGAGTAGCTGGGACTACAGGCACGCGCCACCACGCCTGGCTAATTTTTGTATTTTTATTGGAAACGGGGTTTCGCCATGGTCACCAGGCTGGTCTTGAACTCGTGACCTCAAGTGATCCACCCATCTCAGCCTCCCGAAGTGCTGGGATTACAGGCATGAGCCTGGCTTATAATAAGTGCTGTAATCCCAGCACTTATTATCCCGAAGTGCTGGGATTACAGGCATAAGCCATGCCTGGCTTAAGATGAATTCATTTTAAGTTAATACAGCCAGCCATGCATGTCTGTGGCTTCTGCATCTGTTGACTCAACCAACGGCTGATCAAAAATATTCAGGAAAAAAAAAGTCACAATGTTCCAAAAAAGCAAAACCTGAATCTGCCACTGAGGTCACACGTTGAGGTCACACAGCCGAGCTCCACGCTGAATCCACGGGAATGAAGGGGTGTGTGGGTGTTGTCTTTGGTGTTATGAGTAATCCAGCGATGACTTACAGTGCAGTCAACCCTTGAATGACAGGGGTTGTAACTGTGTGTGTCCTCTTATGCATGGAGTTTTTTCCACGAAAGTTGCACCAAGTGTGCCTGCCTCTCCCGACTCCCCTTCCACCTCCTCCATCTCTTCCACCTCTGCCACCTTTGAAACCAACCCCTCCTCCTCCTTCTCCTCCTCCTCAGCCTACTCAACAAGAAGACAACCAGGATGAAGACGTTTGGGATGACCCACTTCCACTTTATACATAGTCAATATATTTTCTCTTCCTTATGATTTTCATAATAACATTTTCTTTCCTCTAGCTTACTTTATTATAAGAATACAGTCTATGATACATATAACAGACAAAATATGTGTTAACCAACTGTTTATGTTGTTAGTAAGGTTTCCAGCCAACAGGAGGCTATTAGTAGTTAAGTTTGGGGGAAATCAAAAGTTATACTTGGATTTTCACCTGCATGAGGGGCTGGCACTCTTGGCCCCCATGTTGTTCAAGGGCCAACTGTACACAGGACGGTGTGCACAGTTTTTATGCAAATACTGTCTAGGTATTCCAGGAGGTCCTGGAACCAATCCCCAACAGATGCCAAGGGATGATGGTATTCAATGAGTGTTGGCAAACGTATACACCCATGGAACCATGACCGCGATCAAGCCAGAAAATGTTCCCATCACCCAAAGAGTTTCATGCCCCTTTCCAGTCAACCCTACTCTTTTTTGTTTGTTTTGTTTTTTAAGATGGAGTCTCGCTCTGTCGCTCAGGCTGGAGTGCAGTGGCATCATCTTGGCTCACTGCAACCTCCACCTCTTGGGTTCAAGTGATTCTCCTGGCTCAGCCTCCTGAGTAGCTGGGACTAGAGGTGCCCACGACCACACCTGGCTACTTTTTTGTGTATTTTTAGTAGAGATGGGGTTTTGCCATGTTGGCCAGGCTGGTCTCAAACTCCTGACCTCAGGTGATCTGCCCACCTTGGCCTCCCAAAGTGCTGGGATTACAGGCCTGAGCCACCATGCCTGGCCCCACTCTTATTCCTGACCCAGGCAACTATGGGTCTGAGTCTTGTCACTGTACATTAGTTTGGTCTATTATGGAACTTCAGACAAATGGAGTCATAAAATATTAACTCTTCTGTGTCTGGCCTTTTTCACACATCATGTTTTTGAGATTTACCCATGTTGTGGTGTGTTTTCACTGTTTCTTGTTATTGCTGGATAGTATTCCATCATATGGCTATACCACAATGTATTTATTCCATACACCTCTTGAGGAATACCTGAGCCTTTCCCAGTCTTTTACAGTTACGAATAATGCTGCCAGGAACATTTTTGTGCGAGTCTTTTTGTAAGCACACGTTTTCATTTCTTTTGAGTAAATGTCTAGGAGTAGAATTGCTGAGTCCTATGCTAAGCATGTGTTTAATTTCATAAGAAACTTTCAAGCAGCCTTCCAAAGTGATTGTACCACATTATGTCTTGTCTGCACTGTCTGAGAGCTCCGGCTGTGCCACATTCTTGCCAACACTTAGTATGGTCAGTTAAGTATTTTCAATATTCAGTTTTAATACTTCTATTTGCTTTTTATCTAGATATCATTATATTTTTAGTAGTTTCTCTGAAAGTTATAGTATGCATCCTTATCAGTCTATCTTGAATTAATATTATATCACATCACGTAAAATGTAAGAACCTGGCCGGGTGCAGTGTCTCACACCTGTAATCTCAGCACTTTGGGAGGCCAAGGCATGTGGATCACTTGAGTTCAGGAGTTCGAGACCAGCCTGGCCAACATGGTGAAACCCCATCTCTACTAAAAATATAAAAATTAGCCAGGCGTGGTGGCACAGATCTGTACTCCCAGCTACTTGGGAGGCTGAGGCAGGAGAATTGCTGGAACCCAGGAGGTGGAGGTTGCAGTGAGCCAAGATCGCACCACTGCACTCCAGCCTGGGTGACAGAGTAAGTGAGACTGTCTCAAAAAAAAAAAAATTATATATGTATATATATATGTATATATATATGTGTATATATATATGTATATATGTATATATATGTGTATATATGTATATATGTATATATGTGTATATATGTATATATGTATATATGTGTATATGTGTATATATGTATATATGTGTATATATGTATATATGTATATATATGTGTATATATATGTATATATATGAACCTTTGAACAGTCTAATTTCATTTTTTCTCCATTGTTGGTGCTATTTGGTGTGATGTTTTTAATTACTCCATGTGTTATAAACTTCCACAATTAATTTTTTGCTTTAAACAGTCCCTTAAAGAAAGTTTTTAAAAAAGAACATTTTACTTGTACTTACCCTCATATTTGTTATTTCTAGTGCTCCTCATTCCTTCCTGTAGACCTAAATTTTAGTGTTGACTGACAGGCTTTTTTTTTTTTCTTTCAACACTATAAAGATGTCTTTCTGGCATCTTCTGGCCACCTTTGTTTCTATGAGAAGTTGGTTGTAATTCTTATGTGACTTTTTTGACCCATAGGTTGTTTGGAATGCATTGTGCTTCTTGATTTTTAAATATTTGAGGTTTTTCTTAATATCTTATCATTACTGCTTTTAACTAATTTGTATTTTAGTGAGAGAACATATGTTGATTATTTCAATCCTTAGAAGTTTATTGAGACTTGTTTTATAGCCCAGCACTGTTCCATTTCGGTGAGCAATCCATGTGGTCTTTTGAAGAATGGTGTATTCTACAGTCATTGACTAGGGTTCCATAAATGTCAATTAGCTCAAGTTGGTTGATAGTGGTTTCAGAACTTCTAACAGCCTTCCTGAGTGTTTATTTGCTTTATCAATGATCAAGAAAATGATGTTAAAATCTGTGCCTGTTTCACCCTTAAGTTTTGTCTATTTTTGCTTTGTATACTTTGAAGCTTTGTTATTAGATGTATACACAGTAATATTGTGCTTTCTCAATGAATTGTCATTTCTATAATTATAAAATGTCCTTTTATCTCGGTAATATTCCTTGTCTTGACATCTACTTTGTCTGATATTGATGTAACCACTCTAGCTTTATTATCATTACTGCTTGCATGACATACATTTTTCCATCCTTTCACTTTTAACCTTATCTGTGTCTATAGTCACAACATGTCTCTTGTAAGCAGCATATCTTTGGGTCTTGCTCATTGATTCAGTCTAAAAGTCTGTCTTTTAATTGGAGTGTATAGTCCACTTACATTAATTTAAATTTTGATATGACTGCATTTATAGCTACCATTTTATCATTTATTCCCTCTGTGTGCTATGTCTTTTTCTTCCTGGATGCTTTAAAGATTTTCTTTTACCTTTTCTTTTCAGTAGTTTGACTATTACATGCGTAAGTGTAGTTTTCTTCATATTTATTGCACTGAAGATTTGCTTCTTGGAATTCAGAGTTGATGTTTTTAGTCAAATTTTAAAACATTTGGCTATTTTTTCTTTAATATTTTTTACCCCCTTTTCTCTTTCTTCTCCTTCCTCAGACAACTTAATATCATCCCACCAGTCACTGAGACTTTTTCAAAAAACTGTTTTGTCTGTTCTTCAGTGTGGATTGTTTCTATCAACCTCTCTTCAAGTTTCTTGATCTTTTCCTCTGTAGTTTCCCAGCTTCTGTTAAACCAATTCAATGACTATTTCATTTCAGATATTTGGTTGTGTTGTTTGTTTTCAGTTTCAAGATTTTCATTTGGTTCTGTTTTAGAGTTTCCATCTCTCTCCTGACATTCCCCACCTCTTTTCCATTATATTCATTTTCCAATGTATGTTATGTCACATTTTTATAATGGTTAATTTAAAATACTTATCTCCTAATTTCAACATATGGGCCTCTGTGGATATGCTTCTGATGGTTGGTTTGTTCCTTTGATTGTGGGCTATATTGTCCTCTGTGGTAATTTTTATTGTACACTGTGCATTGTGTATGATACACTGTGGAGACTTTAGATTCTGTGATCTTCCGAAGGAGAATGCTAAGTTTTGTTTAGCAGGTGGTTAAATTTTTGGTGGATCAACTTGATCCTGAGGAGGATTCTTCTCAGGCTTTATTATCTGGGTCTCTTTCAGTTTAGCCCTTGTTCCTGGGGCACAGCATTTAGTCCTAGCAGATGGTCCTTGCTCCTAACATACAGTTCTTACAGAGTCGTAATGGGAAGCAAGGTGTTTCTCCAGGAGGTCTAGCTGGGCCAACTCGAACTCCAAACTCTGTGACCCCATGCCCCTATCTTTCAGCCTTCCAGCTGTTTCCTTTCACTCAGATGTTTAAGGTCTCATCCTATATGTGACTTTTAACTCAGTCAAAAATTTGTGGATCTATTCTTCCTGTAACATCCTTCCTAATTTCCAGCCTCTGGAGACCTTAAGCTTGGACCTCAGTCTTCTCAGCCCAGCTCAGGAGCTGTAGTCAGCTGGCACCCTCTCCCTCACATTCCTGTAAACAGGGAAGCTCCCTCCAGTGGAAAGTCAGCTGAATGGGGATCGTACCTCACTTATTTCCCTTTTCCAGGCTTGCATCCCCTCTGATGCTGCCTGCCTCTGATTTCTCACCAGTGGTTTTTTGTTGTTTTGGGTTGTGTGTGTGTGTGTGTGTGTGTGTATGTATGTGTGACTGAGGCTCACTCTGTTGTCCAGATTGGAGTGCAGTGGTGCGATCTCAGCTCACTGCAACCTCTGCCTCCTGGGTTCATGTGACTCTGGTGCCTCAGCCTCCCTAGTAGCTGGGACTACAGGTGTGCGCCACCACACCCAGCTAATTTTTGTATTTTTAGTACAGATGGGGTTTCACCATGTTGGCCAGGCTGGTCTCGAACTCCTGACCTCAGGTGATCCACCTGCCTCAGCCTCCCAAAGTGCTGGGATTACATGAATGAGCCACCATGCCCAGCCACTCACCAGTCTTCAAAACAGGTGTCATTTCTATTTCATCTTGAGTTTATGATTATGAAGGGCAAGCATGTTATTCTGATATGAGCTAGTCCCCAAACACTGAAGGAGCCTTTCACACCAGTTTAATCTCTCTGTTCTTTCCCTCCTATTCTCAAAGAACTTTAATTGTCTTCCACATTACTTACTCAATTTTACATGGTGTTTTTTGTTACTTGCCGTTTTACTGTTTTGAGTACAGATATTAACTCTCCCATCGTGGTTTCTTTACATTATCTAGTTCCCCCTCATCTCTGCCTCAGGCTGATTCTCTCCTCTCAGTCTGTTACCTTTTTTATTCGTCTTTCACTTTTTGTTTCATTGAGTCGTTTTTTTAAATTCATAAATAATAAAAGCATATATTTTCTAAATATACTTGTTTCTAATGTATTTTTTAAATAAAACTATGTGTTCTCTCTGCCTTTCAGGAGAAACTTTTTAAAAAAATAATAATAATAATATCTAATGAAGGCCAGGCATGGTGGCTCATGCCTGTAATCCCAGCACTTTGGGAGGCCAAGGTGGGCAGATCCCTTAAGGCCAGGAGTTTGAGACCAGCCTCGGCAACATAGCAAAATCCTATCTCTATAAGAAAATACAAAAAATAGCCAGGTGTGGTGGCAGGCGCCTGTAGTCCCAGCTACTCAGGAGGCTGAGGCAGGCGAATGGCGTGAACTCGGGAGGTAGAGCTTGCAGTGAGCTGAGATCAAGCCACTGCACTCCAGCCTGGGCAACAGAGCGAGACTCCATCTCAAAATAATAATAATAATACCTAATGAATCTTTTGCTAGGCCCCTCTTCCGCGGGTTTTCTACTGTGGGTGTTCTTTCCAGGCCTCTGGAACTCTCCAGTCAGGGGCGTGGGCTCTCCCATCCCCGGGTCCCAGGTTGGATGGTATATACAGTCAGGTACTTAAAAGTCTGTCTGTAACTTCAAATAGCAAATGTTGAGTCCAGGCTTTCACGGCATGTTCACATGGTATATCCAGTCAGGTACTTAAAAGTCTGTCTGTAACTTCAAATAGCAAATGTTGAGTCCAGGCTTTCACGGCATGTTCACTGCAGACTGGCTGGGCCTCTTCCCCTCCTGATAATGCAGGCAGCATCAGAAGCATTCCCAGGTGGACAGAGGGGATGAAAGGGAACACTATTCTGAAGTCAGTCAAGGGGATTGTTAAAGATGGTAACTTTTTCACATCTTTATTCCCCAAACAGCTGAATTAATCCTGAATAAATGGAGAGCTGAGTGTATGGGTGGGAAGGTGAGGACACCAGGGAGGCTCTGGCCCTCACAGGGTTTGCATCTGAAGGGGCAGGGGCTGGGGCTGGGCTGGGAACTGATGGAGTAAGATGTGAATAACAGTGCCAGGGGCCCAACGTTCAGAGCTGGCAGGAGAGCGGGAAGGTGGGTCTGGCCTGGGCTGCTGAGAATTTCCATCAGGTCTGGGCACAGCTGGGGAACACAGGGTGGTCCCGGTGCAGGGCAGGCGTCAGTGAGGACATGAAGGCTGGTGAGCAGCCGCCAGGGGGCTGGGGCGCAGTGAGAAGCAAGAGGAAAGGGCAGGTGCGGCTGTGGATCCCTGGGGACTGCAGCAGGGGTCTGAGCTGTGCATGGTGACACCAGACACCACGAAGGGACCAGGAGGCCCACACACCTGGAGAGAGCCGCCACGCAGCTGGGGACCATAGCGTCACCTGCACCTCCTGGCTCTGCCTCTTGTCTTGGGCATGGCTCACTCAAGCCCCACAGGTGAGTCCCCACCGCTGCCCCCTTACTGGGGGATCCCTGAGGCCAGTGAGGGTCACGAGGACAGGCTGGTGCATGGCTGGACCTGGGAGGTGGGTTCCTAGAGCCCTCAGGAGGCAGGGTCAGGTCCAGCTGGCTTCCTGGAGGTGGTGGCCAGCAGAAAGGAAGGAGAGAGACCAGGGAGAAACCCCGGCTGGGGCCCAGGGTCCCTAAGGACAGCATCCCGCGCCCCCTCCCACTCCCGCGGGCCTCGTCGCTCGCCCACCCTGGCCTGGCCCCGCAGTCTCAGGACGCCTGGTACCTGCTTGTTTGCTCAGGGCGCCCCCTCCCCTGCCTGCCTCGTGGGGCAGGGCTGTCTAGACAGCGGGGGCTCCTTGGCCCACCGGCTTTGTCCCCAGAGTTCCCCGAGCAGAAGAGGCGGCCACAGACAAAAGGGTGTTTGCCTTTCCCCCACAGCCAGGCAGCTCCCCTGTCTCCATGGCTCCAGGCCAGCCTGTGACCCCAGGCCCCCACCCAGAGGGACACACCCAGGAGCTGGGCCTGTGGCTCCCTGAGGGGTGGGGTGAGGACCGACACCAGGACTTGCTTCCCACAGGGGCTTCCTGGGGGTGCCTCCAGCCGAGTCTGGGGCACAGGGCAGGGCTCTGATGAGTGGAGGTTAGGAGGGCGCCGTGAGGGCTGGCAGGAGCTCAGGCAGGGGGAGTGAGGAGGTGGGAGGTGGGCAGAGTGGGGTGTGGCTTCCAGCAGGGGCCCCCTGACCTGGCAGGTGTCGGGCAGAAAGCCAGGCCAGCTGTGGCGGATGCAGGTGGGCTCTGGGGTGGGGCAGATGAGGAGGGCCCGGGTAGCTGTGGGTCTGTGCCCACCTGGCCTGGCCCCCAGGCACCTCCTCTGCTTGGCCCCCAGGTTCTCCCAGCACCCTGGGCTTCTTCAAGTCCCCCTGGCCTCTCTCCCTCTCATCTCAGGTGGCTTCCCAGGCAGCCCTGCCCCTAAAACCAGCACCTAGAGCGTCCCTGCCTGTGCCAGCACCCTCTCCCCACCCGGCTCTGCCAGCCTGATTCCCTCACGTCTGAGTTTCCTCCACCCGATTTCCTGGCATATTTTATGTCACGGTCCTGCACGGTTGTCAGGTGCCCAGGCCTGTCTTGGGATGGAGGGGGCTCTGACAGTGAGCGAGACAGCAAATGTCCCAAGACTCAGTTTCTCCGTTTCTGAGCAGGGCTTCCCCCTGCCAAGGACTCGGCCGAATGGCACGTGGGGACACTCCCGGTGCCCTGGCCCAGTGGCAACCCTCCCCCGGCCCCTTCATCTGTGTCCCACATGCTGGGGCGCTCACGGATTTTGTGAATGAACAAGGAACAAGGGAGGCAGCGCCTTTGAAACCCAGGGTAGGAGCACAAAGCCACCAAGACCCGGCTCTCCTGCACACCCTTGCCCCGAGCCCGCCACGGGCAGCCAGATAGCAGGCAGCTGGAGCGAACCCCTGATCCAGGCCCCTGGCCCTGCGCCGGCTGAGGGGTGAGAGCTGGGCAGAGCGTATCTGACCTGGGAACACCCACCTCACCTAAGCCTGCCCAGCTCCACCTGAGACAACATCCGGGCCCTGATAAAGCCAGTTGTGCACCCTGGGGGCATGCACCATGCTAATCCGCTTATCTGCTGGGTTGGTCTCAGCTGTGCCCAAAAGGAGTCCACACTGGGCGGAGATCAGGGGACAGGCCCAGGGTGGGAGGCTGGCTCTGCGTCCCAGCCCGCTGTGCAGCTGGGCCCCGCAGCCTTCCCCACCTTCCCCTGTGTTGGGTCTCAGGTTTCGATGGCCTTTCCCTGCACCCCACCCTGCAGAGGTCATCTCAAAGCCATGTCCAGCTGCAGGACAGCTGCACCAGTAGATGGCCTCCCCTGCAGGGCAACAGCCATGCCCCAGGCTCAGGGGCATCCTGTGGCAGGCATGGGGCCCTGCAGCAGCTGGACGGGGTCGGCGGATCCCAGGAAGCCTGCTCCCCTGCCTGGCTTATGACCCGGGCTCAGCTCACCGGCCGCTCCACCCCGGGTGGTGCTCTCGGCCAGACAGCAGGGCAGCAGGTCTGAGGCCTGCTCTGTGGGGGGATGGGCTGGGTGCCTCTGGGCCTCAGACTCCCCAGCCACACATTGAGAGTGTTGGGGCAGGTGCAGCCCCCAGTCCAGGCTCGAGGCCGGCGTGAGCACTGGGCACCTGCTGGAAGCTGAGGTAGAGACAGTGGGTAGGAGGAGAAGGCCACCTCCGTGACCAACCATAGGCCTGCGTGGTGGGCACTGGGGGCGTCGCCCAGGCCCCACCAGGACCGAGGCCTTCGTCCCAAGCCACCCGAGTGTTGGCTGCCGAGGGCTCGGCCCTCCTTCCCTGGGAACTGCCCTCCCCAGAAAGCCACCTCGCCCAAGGCCACAGCGAGCCTGCGTGCAACGCCTGCCACATCGGGGGACAGAACCCAGCCTGGGATGTCTCCCAAGGCCTCCCGGCTCCAGAGCTCCAGGGTGGCTCCCTCGGCAGCTCAGCCTGTCCCACGCTCCCTCCATGCTCCCCTCACCCCCAGCTGGTGTCCTGAGAGCCCCGCTGACCCCTGCCCACATATCTGGGGCAGTCTGCCTCTGGGCCCCCAGCCTCAGACGGCCTGTGTGGCTGGACAGTGGGGTGCGTGTGGGGCTGCAGCGGGGGACACGGGAGGCACATGGAGGTCGGGACCCCCAGGCCTCGGCCCCCCTCTGGAGCCCTCAGGGCCTGGACAGGGGCAGGCAGGCTAGAGGGGCACCCACCTCAGGAGCCTCCTCCAACGGAGGTGGGAACAGATTGGGGGTCGAGAGGGGAGGCCGGGGCTGGGTGAGGGTGATAAGACCTGGGCCGGGGGGCAGGAGGCTGGGGAAGAGCGGCCTTAGGGGGGCCCAGCCTCCTCCTCCACTCGGGGACTGTCCTGGCTGAGGTCACAGCATCAGCCACGTCCATCCCCATCCCTGCCTTTCTGCTCCCCCAGCCCTGCCTCCTACCTGGGTCCCCCCAGCGACCCGGCCCCAGGGCAGTGCGTTGGCCAATAACGTCTCTCGTTGGCTCCAGAGCTCACAGGTTCACTGTGAATGTCAGGAACCCGGGTGTGTCCTAGAGTCAGGACAGACAGCGTCAGACCTGGGCTCAGTTGGCTGCGTGCTTTTCGTGGGTGTGTGTGTGTGTGTGTGTGTGTGTGTGTGTGTGTGTGTGCTACACAGCAGTTTTACCTGTACACACAGGCTTCAAGGAAAGGCTAGTAGTCATGATCAACTGACTCTTACGCATCTTCTTCACAACGGTGGCTGTTTCTGAGCTGCAGCTGTGCTGGGGTCTCTACAGACAGCGTTTTGCCACAGGCCTTCTGTAGCATGTGATACTGTCCCCATTTAACTCGAGAGCAGACTGAGATGCAGAGCTCAGGAGACCTCAGGTCACAGGCGGGGGGACAAGCCCTAGAGGGTCCACAGAACCAGAGCCTCCCAAAAGCCCAGATTGACCCAGCTGCCACCAGCCCTGCCAAAGTCCGTCCCCGGCCGCAGGGCTGCTGTGAAGTGGGGCAGGGGTGCCTGCTGAGAGCCCTGTCCACCCCGTAGTCCTTCCTCCTCTCACCCCTTCCTCCTTTCAGTATTTCAGCTGACGGGTGGCTCTGGGCTTGAAGCAGATCCAAAAGCTTGAGCTCTGCCCCCCAAACAAAAGGGACCCCACCCTCGTGGCATGGCTGTTCCGTGGGGACAGTGAGCTGGCACACAGGACAATGTCGGCTCGTGAAAGTTCTAGATAGGATACAGAGCGGGTAGCGTGGGCTCAGGGAGGCAGGGGCAGGTGTCTGCTTCAGACGCCTCTGGGCAGTGACCCAGAGCTCAGGGGCGGCACCAGGGCACTGGAAAGGCCCCCCACAGGCCTCCCAGAAAAGCCAACAAGAGGGCAGGGTGGGGGCTGGGCGCTGCTTTGCAAGAGGCAAGGCTAAGGTGGTCCCACCATGCACAGAGCCTGCCCGGGCCACCAGGAGCCCTGACTTTGTGCACTGGGGCTGCCCAAGATGCCTGGCCATAAGCAGCGTCCTCCCCGGGTGGTGGGAAAGGCCCGGTTTGGGGACCGCGCTGGAGGGCCACCGGGACAGTCGCCCACCTGCCCCATCTCCAGCCCAGTGCCCTCACCCAGCGTGGGGTGCAGCCAAGGAGCCTTACGCACACAGACCAGGGTGCAGCTCCAAACTCCTGGGGTCAGGCGTTGTTGCTCTGCCTCTCCCCAAAGTGGAGACTGCCGGTCCCCAGCACCCGGCGCACTGCCCGTGGGGATTTACTCTGCGGATGTGGGAGTAAACGGCACATTCTCTGTTTACCAAGCCAGCTGTGCTAGGCATCCGTCTGCCTTCATGTTGTCCGAGCACAAACCCCCTCACGGAGGAGGCCGAGTGTTCCAGCGCAGGCCAGGGCTCCCTCCCAGAGCGGGTGAGGCGGAAGGCCCAGCCATGGCCATGCCAGAAGACGGACCTGGTAGGGGTGGGCCCTCCGTGGGACATGGTCCACGCTAGCTGCACCACACACAGACGTCGTTTTCAGGGTGCGGGGGGGTGGGGGCAGTGCAGAGGCCCCAGAGCATCCCACGCCCCCATGAGGGCTTCCTCCGTCGAGTCAGATGGCTCCTCACGGTGTCCAGCTCAGTAGTCCGCAGGCTGACCAGCTGGGAGGGACTGATGTCTCCCCACCACCAGGGCATCTGGAGACGTTGCGTGTCAGCATCAGGGGTTAGGACCACGACTTCCCAAGCAGCTCCTGTCTGTGCATGGGCCTCGCACAGGCCCTGGCTGGCCCAGGGGTCCGAGCTCTCCAGCACGGGTGGACCTCCCTCCCATCCTGCCTGGCTGCTGGACTGCCCGTCCATCTGTCCCAGGGGACCATTTAGGCTGAGCTGTGAGTCCCATCAGGCCTCTGGGACTATAGGAGGATTAGGGTGGCCCCCAAAAGATAAGCCCAAACCCTGAACCCTGGGACCTGGGAGGGCTGCCTTGCTGGCAGAAGGTATAATGTGGATCTCAGATGAAATCTTCTTGGACGATCTGGGTGGTGTCGTCCACCATCCATGTGTGTCCCCATAGGGAAAGGCCGGGTATGTGTGTCAGAGGTACTCCAAGCCTCCAGTGGGAATCAACACTTCTGCCTCCCAGAACTGGGACTTCTGCCCTCCTGAACGGTGAGAGGATACATTTCCCATGTTTTCAAGCCACCTGTTGTGGGCATTCATTATGGCGGCCCCGGTAGACACACAGCAGCCAATGAACTGAATACTAGGGCTCAGGGGCCCACAGGAGCCAACATGGGGAATGAGCCCTCTCCCGGGCACAGGCACTGAAGCCACAGGCACCGAAGGCACAGCCCCTGCACCCCAAGGGGGAGTGGACAAATACACCCTGCACGGGAGCACTGCCCAGCAATGAAATCAAGCAGTGGCCACCAGGACTCAGTCCGCCGCGACTCAGCCCACGTCCACTGCCACCCGTCACTGCAGATGACTGGTGGGTCTGCACCGGAGGGTCCAACATCACAGGGGCTGGACAGGCTGGGCAGGGCTGAGCCAGGAGCCTCTCTGCCTCAGTTTCCATGGCTGGCAGCAGGGCTCACACCACAGGCCACTGTGGGAGACTGTTGTTTGTTTGTTCATTCATTGAGTCATCTTCATTCATTCATGCATCCGCTCATTCCCATCCACTCATTCCCATCCACTCATTCCCATCCATCTACATTCCCATCCGCTCATTCCCATCCATCTACATTCCCATCCACTCATTCCCATCCACTCATTCCCATCCATCTACATTCCCATCCACTCATTCCCATCTATTCATTCCCAATCATCTACATTCCCATCCACTCATTCCCATCTATTCATTCCCAATCATCTACATTCCCATCCACTCATTCCCATCCACTCATTCCCATCTATTCATTCCCATCCATCTACATTCCCATCTGCTCATTCCCATCCACTCATTCCCAACCATCTACATTCCCATCCACTCATTCCCATCTATTCATTCCCATCCATCTACATTCCCATCCACACATTCCCATCCACTCATTCCCATCCACCTACATTCCCATCCGCTCATTCCCATCCATCTACATTCCCATCCACTCATTCCCATCCATCTACATTCCCATCCACTCATTCCCATCCATCTACATTCCCATCCACTCATTCCCATCCGCTCATTCCCATCCATCTACATTTCCACCCACTCATTCCCATCCATCTACATTCCCATCCCTCTACATTCCCATCCACTCATTCCCATCCACTCATTCCCATCCATCTACATTCCCATCCATCTACATTCCCATCCACTCATTCCCATCTATTCATTCCCAACCATCTACATTCCCATCCACTCATTCCCATCCACTCATTCCCATCCATCTACATTCCCATCCACTCATTCCCAACCATCTACATTCCCATCCACTCATTCCCATCCACTCATTCCCATCCGTCTACATTCCTATCCATCTACATTCCCATCCGCTCATTCCCATCCATCTATATTCCCATCCACTCATTCCCATCCATCTACATTCCCATCCACTCATTCCTATCCATCTATATTCCCATCCACTCATTCCCATCCATCTACATTTCCATCCACTCATTCCCATTCACTCATTCCCATCCATCTACATTCCCATTCACTTGTTCCCATCCACTCGTTCCCATCCATCTACATTCCCATTCACTCGTTCCCATCCACTCATTCCCATCCATCTACATTCCCATTCACTCGTTTCCATCCACTCGTTCCCATCCACTCATTCCCATCAACTCATTCCCATCCACTCGTTCCCATCCATCTACATTCCCATCCATCTACATTCCCATCCACTCATTCCCATCCATGCATTCCTGTTCACTCATTCATGTGCTCATTCCCATCCATCTACATTCACATCCCCTCATCCTTATTCACTTATCCCCATCCATTCAGTCCCATCCACTCATTCCCATCCACTCATTCCTGTTCACTCACTCATCCACTCATTCCCATCCATTCATTCCCATCCATCTACATTCACATATTTCTCTTCATTCATTCATACATGTTCAACTGTATTATTGATATTCATATTCACTTACTCATTCACTCATATTTATTCATTCCACAACATGTATGGGGCCTTCATGGGGCTGGAACAGGTCTTGCCCTCAGGGAGCTCACTGAGAGCTGGGGGAGATGTTCATAGACAACCCCACGGCAGTATTCAGGGGTGGGGTTGAGTTCAGCACCAGGGGCAGTGGAGGGCCCTGGTCCAGGTGAGCCCTGCCTGGGAGTAAATCCCATGCCCCCACCAAGTCTCAGAAGGCTTGAGCCCATGCTCCAGGGTTGCCTATGAGCAGAGGGCAGGACTCACACCCCTCTGTCCTCAGGCAGGTGCATCCTCTGGCCCTGGGGCAGGTCAGTCATCTCTCCCTGGGGCAGGTGGGTCCTCTATTCCTGGTGCAGATGTTGAGAAGCTAAGTCTTGGGCAGAACCAGATGTGAGCAGCCTGAATTCAGACCCCACATGAACAATAGCCACGGGCTATCTCCTGAACCACCCCTGCTCTCTTTCCACACCCCAAGGAACCACCTCCTGGGCTGTTTAAGTCAGAACTCTTGGAGTACCTGTCCCATCCTGACGTCCCTCCCTCTGGCCAGACAAGGGACCCCAGATTGTAGGACATGTCTGGTCTCTGAGGAGGAGGCTGAAGCTGACAGCACCTGCACTAGGTGGACAGAACAGGTCTGAGAAGGCCCAAAGGACAGAGAGGCATGTTATGGTGTGAATATATTCCTCAAAGTTCATACATTGGAAATCTGATTGCCATTTTAACAGTATGAAAAGGTGCAGCGTTAAAGAGGTGAACAGCATGTCATGCTGGGGTTCCACGGAGCTCTGTCCCCGCATGTCCTAAAGGGGGACTGAGGCTGGATTTTACTGCAGGTGATGCTGGACACAGCAAGGACAGGACCAAAGCCTCTGTGGCCTGAATGTTATGGAGGGATTGAGAAAAAGGACAGTCTAAAAAATTGTCCCACATGCCTTCAGCCAGCATTGCATCCCATATGATGTACTAATGGAAGGAGAGACAGAGAGAGGAGGCAGAGGGAGGGAGAGAGACAGAGAGAGGAGGCAGAAGGAGGGAAAGAGACAGAGACAAGAGGCAGAGGGAGAGAGAGACAGAGAGAGGAGGAAGAGAGAGAGAGAGAGGAGGCAGAGGGAGTGAGAGAAACAGAGGAGGCAGAGGGAGGGAGAGAGAAAAAGGAGGGAAGGAAGGAAAGACGGAGGGAGGAAGGAAGGGGGAGGGGGAAGGAAGAAGGAGGGAGAGAGAGAGGGAAGAGGGAGGAAGGAGGGAATCAGGAGGAAGGAGGGAAGAGGGAGGGTACAAGGGAGAGAAAAAGAAAAAAGAGATAGAAGGGAAAAGAGAAAGAAAGCAAGAGAAGGAAAGAGGGAGGGAGAGAAATGATGGAGAGAGATAGAGAGAGAGGAAGGAAAGAGAGGGAGGGTGGGTCCACGGCTGACGCAGGGCTCACAGCCCAGGCCGCCATCCACCACAGAAGAGGTGGCCTCACGGTGGCCAGGGGGAGAGGGCTGGGCACATGGTGCTGGGCCACAGCGGACCCCCATCCAGCTGCCTGTGGGGGGGGACCCTTCATTCCTTCTTTCTCCAAATGTTCATTGAGCCTGACTGTGTGCCAGGCCCCCCATCCCCTCCAAGAGCGCTCACTGGGTGGTGTGGGCAGACCCTGCTGGCCTGCCTGGAGCCCGCTGACCAACCCAGGGGCTGTCCAGGGGTGGCCAGGCAGGCGCTGCTTGGTGGAGAGGCCCTGGCGGGTGAGAAGGTCCCAGCCATGCAGCCGTGGTTGGCATGCAGCCTGTGGAGCTGTGGACAGCTGCTTCCCCTGGCTGACCCCGGCATTGCGTGCCTGCCCTCGGGGGCTAATCCAGGATCTCTCCCAGCTCCAGGTGCAGGCACTTCCAGGTTCCCTGGGGCGGTCAGGACCACAGCCTGGCAGGGTTCTCGGGCCTGGGAACCGCTTGGCACAGGTGCCAGCAATGGGCACATTTATTCAAAGAAAAGGAAAAGATATTCTCTCGTCTCCCTGGGAAAACAGACACGGCTCATCTGGACTGGAGCATGGGAACACGCCCCAGGGAGGAGAGGCCAGCCCCTCGGGGGAGAGAGGGAAACATTGACTCAACCAAGGCCACATCCCAGGCCCTCCTCGGGTTGACCAGACGTCTCTGCAGCCGAGGCTGCTGCCTGGGCCAAGAGGGAGGTAGAGGAGGCTGGGGCAGCTGGGGCGGCTCTAACCGACTCTCAAAGACAACACACAGGCTGCCCTGCAGCCTCGGCTCTTGTCCTGCCTGCAGGTCACCCCTGAGCAGCCGCCACCAGCCTGGGCGGGTGGGGGCTCCCAGGGCAGCAGGGGACACTCCTGACCCACAACCTTCCATGCCAGGCTGCCAGGGTGCCGCGCTGAGTGGGACTCGTAGGTCACTTCTGGGCCCACACAGGAGTGGGGCACCACGACCACCCAGTGATGCTGGCAAGGCCCAGGAGGACGGGGTGGGGATGGGGCCGTCCTCAAGCCAGGCCTAAGACCCTCCGGTGCTGGCAGCCCCAGGGGAGGTCACAGTGTGAACGCCTTCTTCCTTGTCCCTCCAACCCTGGGGTACACGAGGACCTGGCCTGGGAGTGGAGGACACGGGTGCAAGGCACGGATGTGAACAGCTCTCCGGGACCCCGGGGTGCACCAGGACCCGGCCTGGGTGTGGAGGACACGGGTGCAAGGCACGGATGTGAATGGCTCTCCGGGACTCAAGCAGGCAGTGACAGCACAGGCAGGGGCGCGGACTCCGTGACAGGGACCAGGGGGCTGCCATCCTCTGTGCACTGGCCCCTCCTGACAACATGGCTCATCCTCCTGGGGCCCCGCCCTCTTTGGCCTCTGTGGTTTGGAGATTCCACTGAGCCACAGACTCAGGATTTTTGGGCAGCCCTGAGGCACCCCCCGTCTGCACAGCGAGGTGAGGCCAAGCAGGCCACTAGTGCTGCCGGCCGTTGGGGCAGGAGGGGGGCGTGCAATGGGCAGTGGGCACTGGGCACTGGGTCCCATGCCGAGCCCGTGCCAGGGGCAGGAAAGTGGGCACTGGTTCATGGGCAGCCCCCAGGGCTCCCCGCCAGGTATCCGGGCACCGCAAAGGGGCACCCGCAGTTTACCACCCGCCGCAATCAGCACTCCTGGCAGGTGGCCAGCCACACGCCACCCTCCCACCGCCCCAGGGCTGCCCATCCCTGCAGGCCACCCCCTTCCAAGTCTCCCGGGCCCCTCCCATGTCGAGAGCCCATGGGGAGGGCAGTGCAGCCCTTGCTGGCCTCCACACCCTCAAGGACATGCTCTGTCCCCAGACGCCTGAGCAGGAGCAGGAGTGAGGGTGAGGCAGCGAGAGGCCAGGAGGGTCCAGGGCTCTACAGCGAGGTTAAAGGTTTGCGGGTGTGCCTAGCAGAAGGCTCTGGTCAGCCTGGTCTGTGAGGAATCCGGGCACTGCCTGGGCCCCTCCAAGAATGCCAGGAGCCATAGAAGGGTCAAGAAAGGGTCAGGGTCAAATTGCGGTGTCAGCGGTGGGGTCCGGGTCCAAACAGCCCCTGCCTCCAGCCAGACCAGCAGAAGCCAAGAGGGGCCTCCCAGGAGAACATGGCCCCTGCCGTCTGCACCCTCCTCACTTTTCCAAGAGCAGCAAGCACCACAGTGATGGGGGGGCTCTGAGGGGCCGGGACAGGGGTGGGAGTGGCAGAGCGTGGGTCCTCTGGACCTGGGGTCCTGCAGGATGTGGGCTCTGCAGGGTCAGGCGAGGGACACACGTTCTCCTCAGCACACGCAGGGCAGAGGGTCAGTGCCTCGGGGCTGGCAGTGGCCCCGAGATTGCAGGAGCCCGTTGCACTGGAAATGTGGTTTGCTGCTGAGAAAAACATTTCTGCTCTATTGAAAAATGCAGCATGGCCAGGTGCAGTGGCTCATGCCTGTAATCCTGGAGATTTGGGAGGCTGAGATGGGAGGGTGACTTGAGCCCAGCAGGTGGAGGCTTCAGGGGGCTGTGATCCACCACTGCACCCCATCCTGGGCAAGCCCTCTATCTCCCAGGGCTTCCTGATGCTCTGCCCCTGGCCATGCCCAGGCTGCAGCCCCAGGCCGGTGGAAACAGGCCCAGGGTCCCATCTGGGCACCAAAGGGTCCCTGTGGGGAGGGTTTGCAGTTGGTCCCTCGGACACCCCGGACCCTCTTCACACGCTGACTTGAAATCTGGCATAGATGCCGTAGATCGCAATTTCCTCGAGTTGGGGTCCTCAGCCTCTCCCTTCATGTAACCCACACGGCTGCCACACAACAAATTCAATCACAGCCGAGCCAGGCTCAGGGCGGGCACCTACCATTCCCACAGCCCCTGCAGAGCAGAACCCATGGGGCCCCCTGCAAACTGGAAAGGAGGCCCCTCCAAAGATGACGGAATCCAAGACAGGGACCCAGAGCTTAAACCAGCCCTGAGCACGGTGCAGCCTCAGCCCACTCCACCGCATAGTCTCAGCCCGGGCCGCCCCCGGCCTCCCCCACAGCCCAACCTCATGCTCTGTGATGGACTCAGCCCTGGCTGCCCCACGGTGCAGTCTCAGCCCCGGCCGCCCCCAGCACACAACCTCATGCTCTGTAATGGGCCCAGGAGATGCCCCAAGCTCACCTCCTCTTGAGGCCTCTCCACGGCCCAAGTTCTGTCCCCCACAGCCCTGCCCTCTGTGAGCCGCCATCCAGGGTGGCACAGACCCCACTCTGGGTCCAAGCAGAGATGCAACAGCCCCCAGAGTCCTGAGCCCCCAGACCCAGACAAGGCCAGGCCCCTGCCCTGTGGGACGCCGCCCCCTTCAGCCTCAAAAGGACACTGGGAGCGCAGAGGTGTCACCGCCTGGTTTGGAGAGAAAGAGCTAGAATTCCGGAGGAGGGAGGAGAGCAAGGGACCAGGGACAAGGGCGAGGAGGGGAGGGGGGTCCCGGGCTCCCCCAGCAACGGGTGCAGCCACACCGATGCTGAGTGTTTGCACACAGGGCTGGCCCAGCCACCTTATTTATTTATGAGATTTATGGGGTTTTAATTCAGCCCTACCTAATGACGCACACAGTGGCTGGTCAGCACCCAACATGGGGTACGGGGAGGGGTCCCGCCCTTCGGCTCCTGAGGGCTGGTCAGGAGCCACAGTGACCTGGGGACAGGAGTGGCCTCGGGTGCTCTAAGACCCGTACCTCTGGACTGGAATAAATGGCTAGAGCTCAGCATGGAGGGGTCTTTCTCGAGTGCCCGAGGGGGGCCCCTACTACCCAGCTCCCAGGCCCTCTGAAGCCCACCGGGCCCCACCGTATTCTCCACCTTCTGGGTCTCCAGATACTCTGTCCACTTTGGGGAGACCTTCCAGGGTCTCTGGCCCCCACGCCTCACCTTCCCTTGCCCTCCCAGTTCCCACCAGCCTCCCCACTCCCTCCTTCTCTCAGCCTCCGGAAGATCCTTCTAGAAACACTTCTTCTTGGAACCAACCCAAATGTCCAACAATGATAGACTGGATTAAGAAAACGTGGCACATATACACCATGGAATACTATGCAGCCATAAAAAAATGATGAGTTCATGTCCTTTGTAGGGACATGGATGAAGCTGGAAACCATCATTCTCAGCAAACTATCGCAAGGACGAAAAAACCAAACACCACATGTTCTCACTCATAGGTGGGAACTGAACAATGAGAACACATGGACACAGGAAGGGGAACATCACACACCAGGGCCTGTTGTGGGGTGGGGGAGGGGGGAGGGATAGCATTAGGAGAAATACCTAATACAAATGACGAGTTAATGGGTGCAGCACACCAACATGGCACATTATACATAGGTAACAAACCTGCACATTGTGCACATGTACCCTAAAACTTAAAGTATAATTTAAAAAAACAAAAGGAAACACTTCTTCCTTCTCATCCCTCCCCAGCCCTACCCAGCCCCAGCAGGCCTGCCTTGCCCTCCCACGAGGACCCCAACTCTTCTCCACCAGCCCCAGCCCCCAACAAGATTTCCCAAAAGTGCCTGTTGAGGTCCAACCCCATGCTCAGCCTCTCCAGGCTTCCCTGGGAGCCCCTGACTCCTGCTGCCCAAATCCTGCCCTGTCAGCACCACCTGCCCCAGAGGCGGGACCAGAGACCATCACAGCCACCTCCGCACAGCCCCTCTCACGCTCAGTCACCCCAAGGCCCCTCCCCATGCAGGTGGGTGGTGGGTGGGCGAGGGCCCCAGCTCTGGCCGTGCCCTCAGCCCTGGGCTGCCAGTTTAGGCTGGTCTTAGGGAGCCAACCCTGGGGTATTGGTCTTCTGATCCCACCTCATGGTCTGACCTCATGATCTACCCACCTCAGCCTCCCAAAGTGCTGGGATCACAGGCGTGAGCCACAGCGCCGGCCACTTTTTTCCTCAAATGAATGAATAGTGCTAAATCTTTCTTTTTTCTTTTTTTTTTTTTTGGAGACAAAGTCTGTCATGAAAGCTGGAGAGCAGTGGCGCAATCTCAGCTCACTGCAGCCTCCGCCTCCTGGGTTCAAGTGATCCTTCTGCCTCAGCCTCCCGAGCAGCTGGGATTACAGGCATGTGCCACCATGCCCAGCTAATTAATTTTTATATTTTTAGTAGAGATGGGGTTTTGCCATGTTGGCCAGGCTGGTCTCGAACCCCTGGCCTCAGGTGATCCACCCGCTTCGGCCTCCCAAAGTGCTGGGATTACAGGCATGAGCCACCGTGCCCGGCCCCTCTGACTTTTTTGTTATGGATGATTTCAAACCCTATGAAGAACAGAGTAATGGAATGGACATGACCACTACCTCCTCACCGTCAGCTGTAACTAATATCAGACCTGCCACTCTAGCTCAGGTGTTTTCCATCAAGGAATAAACATCACGGGCAGAAGTGGGTGCCCCTCCCTGCTCTCCAACCCTCTCCAGAGGCAACCGTGACCCTGAATCCAGTGCCTCTCAAAATATTTTATAATTTTACTACTTTTGTAAGTGTCCAGCATTAGGGTCCTGTTTCACATTCACAGAAACGGACAGCATCAGGGTGCAGGATTAGAGACCCGCGATTCATTCCTTCTGCTCGATGCTGGGTTTGCGATGCCTCCTTGTCAAGACAGGCAGTTCCGGTTTAGTGCTGGGCCCCATCCAGAGGATGAATATGCCCAGAGGAGCAGCCCGTTCCTGGTGGACCAGCATGCAGGCCATTTCCAGTCTCCATCCTCCCGGGTGGGCAGCTCCCTGGGTGCCCAGAAGCAGGACTGTGTCCTCAGCTTGGCTGCCCTGACCAACCGCTCTCCCCTAAACGCCCCAGCATGTTCTCTCTGGAGGTGTGAGAACCTTCAGCTGGTCTCAAGGATTATCACGCCCTTCCTGGGGTCCCAGTGGCCGAGCCTCCCTGCTGGCTACTCCCTGTGTTGTCCGTGTTTCCTCCTGTGTGACCCCCGCCTGTCCGCGTCTCCTCCTGTGTGACCCCCGCCTCAACCCTGGGCTGCTTGTCTGACCATGACGTTCGCTAGATCTCCTGGACTCCGGCCTCAGCGCCGGATGCACAGAGATGACCTCCTTCCACTCCCTGGCTTGTATTTTTACTTAGTTATGTTGTCTTTTTTCAAACACAGTTTTTAAAATGTAATGTGGTCAAATGCGTCTCTCTTTACTTTGATAGCTTGTGACTTTAGTGACTTAAGAAACCCTTTCCTACCCTGAGGTCATCAATATTATGCCTGTTTTCCTTCTAAATGTTTTCAGGTTTAGCTTTTCACATCTGAGTTGTTTAATCTACCTGGTGTTTTATTTTTGTTTAGAGCGTGACACAGGCACCTAATTTTCCCCATGTAGAGAAGCCCCGGCCCAGCACACTCAGGGGACAGCCCAGCACACTCAGGGGACAGCCCAGCCCAGCACACTCAGGGGACAGCCCAGCCCAGCACACTCAGGGAACAGCCCGGCCCAGCACCCTCAGAGAACAACCCTCCTTCCTTGTAGATGTGGAGCACCCACCCACCTCAAAGCATCATCGTAAGCACATGGGCTGTTCCAGGCATCCACTTGCCTATCCCGGCACCAATGCCACGCTGTCTTAGAGGCAGGCGTCCCACATGATTCTTCTCTGAAACTCACTTAGCTCTGCTTGGCTCTCTGGCCTTCCACGTGGACCTTTGGACCAGCCGGCCAAATCCCACGAAAAACTCAGCTGGGATTGAGAAAGGCTGTTTGCGGAGAATCGACCTCGTTTTTCACTTTTTAAAATTAATCTCATTTTTCAAAACTTACACTTTTCATTCATGAACGTGGCATACGTCTCCATCAGTCAAGTCTTCTTTTATGCCCTTTGCAATGTTATAGTGGCCTGGACACCTTCCATCTGACGTTTTCTACATAGGTATCTTCGTAGGTTTTGAGGCTGCTGTTAATGAAGTATTTTTCTATTATATTTCAGCTTGGTTTCTACTGGTGTAAACATACGCTATTGTTTTTTCCCTCATCAACCTTGTCTCCAACATTACTGAACCCTCTCATTAGTTCAAATAATAGAGTCAAAAATTCTCTTGGTTTTTACATCTTCATGTTTCTTTCTTTGTTTGTTTGTTTGTTTTTGTTTGTTTTTGAGACAGAGTCTTGCTCTGTCACCCAGGCTGGAATGCAATGGTGTGATCTCGGCTCACTGTAACCTCCGCCTCCCAGGTTCAAGCCATTCTCCTGCCTCAGCCTCCCGAGTACCTGGGATTACAGGTGCCCACCACCACCACCTCCCGGGTAATTTTAGTATTTTTAGTAGAGATGGGGTTTCACCATGTTGGCCTGGCTGGTCTTGAACTCCCAACCACAGGTGATCTGCCTGCCTCAGCCTCCCAAAATGCTGGGAATACAGGCGTGAGCCACCGTGCCCAGCCAGTTGGCTTTTACATCTTGATAATCACATTATATGAAATAAAGGCCAGGTACAATGGCTTACACCTGTAATCCCAGCACTTTGGGAGGTCAAGGCAGGCAGATCACTTGAGCCCAGGAGTTCAAGGCCAGTCTGGGCAACATAGCAAAACCCTGTCTCTACAAAAAATAAATTAAAATGAAACAAATCAGGACAGTTTTGTTTCCCAATGCTGGTCTTCATTTCTTCTTGCTCTTGTCTCACGGACTTGGTGAAGCCTCCAGCACCCCCATAGAGGGAAGGCACAGCCATCGCCAACATCTCCCATGTCCGCTGGCTTCTGTGGGAGTGATTCTCAAGTCCCAGCAAGCGGAGGGGTTCGATGTGTGCTGTAGTTTCTGGGCAGATGTTCCTAAACAGGTTAAGACGGCTTCCTTCTAGTCTGGGCTTGCTCTTTTTATAATAGCGAGTTGAGACACGCTGTTGACTCCCATCAGACACCTGTCTGCACCTAAGATCCTTCCGTTTTTAAATCCTCCACACGTCTCTGGCACCCTCTCCTGCCTGGTGGTGGTACAGCAGCCCCAGGGACTCGGTGTCTGAGCAGAGCCAGAACCTCTCAGGGGACTGGGACATGGACAAGACCCTCGGTCTCCCGTCCCCACACCGTGACCACGGAGGCAATAGCTGCTCCCACAGCCTAGGCCCTGGAGTGAGCGGATGTAGTGGAGGGCACCAGCCACGCAGCCACAAACGGAGCATGAACCAGACAGAACCCTGCTGCCGTGAACCACCAAGACTCGGGGCCAGGTGCAGTGGCTCACCCCTATAATCCCAGCATTTTGGGAGGCCGAGGCGGGCAGATCACCTGGGGTCAGGAGTTCGAGACCAGCCTGGCCAACATGGTGAAATCTCATCTCTACTAAAAATACAAAATCAGCTGGGTGTGGTGGTGGGCGCCTGTAATCCCAGCTACTCAGGAGGCTGAGACAGGAGAACCGCTTGAACCCGGGAGGCGGAGGTTGCAGTGAGCCGATATCACACCACTGCACTCTAGCCTGGGTGACAGAGCGAGAATCTGTCTCCAAAAACAGAAAAAGAAAAAGGGTCTTTGCAGATGTGATTAGATTGAGGACCTCACGAGATCAGCCTGGATTATCAGGTGGGCCCTAAATCCAAAGACCAATGTCCTTAGAAGAGACGCAAAGGGAGAAACGCCCAGGAGAAGCCCCGTGGAGACGGAGGCAGGGCATGGGCGATGCAGCCGCAAGCCAAGGAACGCCCAGAGCCACCTGCAGCTGGAAGGGCCAAAAGCATCTTCCCCGGAGCCTGAGCGGCCTTGTGGCACCGCCACGCCTGCACCTCAGACTCCGGCCTCCGGGACTGTGGGAGACAGCTTTCCTGTGGCTTTCGGCCCCCGGTTTGTGGTCATTTGCTGGTGCCGCCCGGAGCACCCGACAGCCAGGCGCATGGCCTGTTTCAGCCCACGGAACAACAGCAAGTCTCACCTGGGCGGAAGGGAGGAGTGCGCGCTGGGGCCTTCCGTCTGCTCCCAGAAACAGGGAGGCCGCCGTGGGAACAGAACAGCCAGCTTCTTCCAGAGAATGCGAGAACTTGACCCCAACCCGTGCAGCTACTCCGAGGGGGTGGCCGGCTGCCCACCTGGCTGGCGGGCTCCCTATCTCCTCTGCTGTAGGCTTAGCCCACTGTGGTGAGCCCGGGGAAACAGGTAGCCCCTGGCCCGAGTCACCCCTAGGGAGACCCAGGAGGACCCAGCTGGGGGCATGAGTTATGCGAGGAAGAGGAGGGCGCTGGGGATAAAGTCGGGGGCTGCACCGTGACTGGACGGGGTTGGGGGGAGCCCCTGCGTCTCCCTGCCCCTCCGTTGGCACCAACCCTGCCTCCACCTGAAGGGGCAGCTCCCTCCCCACCCTCAACACCTGCACTGGAGTTCTGGACACAGAGAACCCAAAAGGAAGATCCTGAGTGGGCAGAAGGGGCGGGGCCTGTCCTAGGAAAGGGGTGGGGCCTGCTCTGGGGAAGGGGCGGGGCCTCCTCTAGGGAAGGGGTGGGGCCTGCTCTGGGGAAGGGGCGGGGCCTCCTCTAGGGAAGGGGTGGGGCCTGCTCTGGGGAAGGGGTGGGGCCTCCTCTAGGGAAGGGGTGGGGCCTGCTCTGGGGAAGGGGCGGGGCCTCCTCTAGGGAAGGGGTGGGGCCTGCTCTGGGGAAGGGGCGGGGCCTCCTCTAGGGAAGGGGTGGGGCCTGCTCTGGGGAAGGGGCGGGGCCTCCTCTAGGGAAGGGGTGGGGCCTGCTCTGGGAAGGGGCAGGGCTGTCTGGGGAAGGACTGGGGTCAGGGCTCATGCTCTCCTGGAGCTTCCCGGGTAGCCTCTGCTTTAAAGGGCACAGCAGGGAAGAGCAGGCAGGGGCCTAGCCGTACCCGTGTCCACGCTGCATCACCAGGGGAAGCCCCTCTTCGCAGCTGCAAGCTGGGAGACAGATGAGGAAACTGGAGGGAGCCTGACCACCTCTTCCTTACCAGGTCTCTGGCCGCAGTGCCCCCACCCCGCCCTGCCCATTTCCTGGCCTGTGCAGGGACTGCTGGGCCCAAGGGTCACAGCCAGGCAGAGATGTGATAGGTTTTGGGGGTGGGCCAGAAACAGGCCACCCTCGAAATGACCCAAGGATGGCTCTGGGGTCCATGCTGACAGCTTCATGGAAGGGCCAGTTCTGAAGCACCCAGAATCCCCACGTGGCTATGCCAGAGGCTCTAGGGTGGCCTCAGGGGCTCCATGGCAGGCCCAGGCCAACTGACTGCCCAGGAGGTCCCTAGGCCTAGACAGTGTGGGCTCCTGGGGCCACCAGAGGGGATGAGCAGGTCCTTTGGGGGGCTGTCCTGGGCCAAGTGGGGCAGTTGAAAGACCCCAGGCCTGAGCGGGTTCCAGGACCCAGGGTGGCGCTGATGAGCTGGGATGTCCCAACTGGCTTCAGACCCCAGGGTTGCTGCTCAACCGCGGCCCTCCCTGGGGTCAGATGGGGGAGAGGGCAGCTAGGGGAGGGCAGCTAGGGGAGGGCAGTGGCCTCAGCCCCCTGCCAGGAGCCAAGATCAGTGGCTCATGCTTGTAATCCTGGTACTTTGGGTGGCTGAGGTGGGAGGATCACTTGAACCCAGGAAGGAGTTTGAGACCAGCCTGGGCAACATAGTGAGACCCTGTCTCTGCAAAACAAACAAAACTATGCAAAAATCACGTGCCTGTTACTTTAGTAAAACAAAGGATTGTTTTGAAAGATAAGAACAAAAAGCAAAAAGCTCTTAAAAATTAGCCAATCATGGTGCCACATGCCTGTACAACTATTTGGGAGGCAGGACAGCAGGAGGTGGGACCTGTTGCACCCTGAGGACCCGTCACGCCCAGGGGACCCATCACACCTGAGGATCCGTCATGCCCTGAGGACCTGTCACACCCTGAGGACCCGTTGTGCCCTGGCTTTGGAAGTGTGGAGCCCAGCCCAGGTGTCTGCCCTCCTGAGGGTTTCGTCACATGTAAGGGGTGTGGCACAGCCTTGTAGTCTGGAGACAAATGTCCTCCCCTTTGACCTCAGAGGATGCTCGAGGTTGGATCACTGTGCTTAGAGGCCTCGGCCTCCCCACACACACCTGCTGCCTTTGACAGGAGACACCAGGCACCTGCTCTGGGCCAAGCAGCCTCCATGGGCTCCACCCAGAAGTCAGGGGCTCAGCTCTCCAACATGAGTGGGCACTGTGCCCAGGGTCCACAGCCAGTGCCCCTTGTCCAGCTGGGTCCGCAGAGCCAACCAGAACTTCTGCAGGTTTGAAGGTATTGGCGGCTCTGACTGGCAGCTCCCCAAAGCCCTGACGGGGCCACCAGGTCCTGGCCACCTTTTGTCACTAGGCAGCAGGAGCTGACAGTGACCTGAGGACTAAGACCTTCTCCATTTTCCCAGTGTAGAGACCCAGGACAAGGCGCATCTCACATACACATGGCACATGCAGACACATGTGCACACAAGCAAATGCTAGCACGCTCATGCACACACACACGTGCACACACATCACATACACACGGCACATGCAGACACGTGTGCACACAAGCAAATGCTCACACGCTCATGCACACACACACGTGCACACACACATCACATACATGGCACATGCAGACACGTGTGCACACAAGCAAATGCTCACACGCACATGCATGCACACACGTGCACACACATCACATACACATGGCACATGCAGACACGTGTGCAAAGCAAATTCTCACACGTGCATGCACGCACACACGCACACACACACACACCACCTCCCCAGGGCCACCCGACCCCCGGGGCTATGCACTCACACACACACACACACACACCCTCTGCCCAGGGCCACCTGACCCTCGGGGCTACACACACACACAGACACCCTCCCCAGGGCCACCTGACCCTTGGGGCTACACACACACACACACACACACATCACCTCCCCAGGGTCACCTGACCCTCGGGGCTACACACACACACACACGCACACACTCTCCCCAGTACCACCTGACCCTCGGGGCTACACACACACACACACACACACACACACACACACACACACCCTCCCCAGGGCCACCTGACCCTCGGGGCTACACAAAGGCCCCACCAACCGTGGAAAGCCTGTGAGATGGCTGTGAAGGAACCCAGGGCTCTTTTCACAGATTCAGGGCCGGGGGATTCCTACAAGGGAATCTGACCACATTTCGACAGCCCCGTGGGGGTTTTGCCCAGGGTGAGAATGGGGAGCGGAGGGCAGGCAGCCCCCACGTCCCCTCTGCATTTGGTACAAGGGATTTGCCAACCGCGTGGCGTGTGTGTGGTGCCCCCGTGTCCTGCACGCAGAGCCTGGTGGCCTCCGCCATGCACAGTGGCCAAGCCGCACCCCTGCAGCACCAACCTAAACCACACAGTACAGCATGTCCCCCTGAGTTTATTATTGGAAAGCAAGGACTGAACAAAGACTCAGACAATAAATATCTGAAGAGAGGAAGCCGAGCTTAGGAGGCTCAGAGGGTCCGGGGGAGGTAAAGCTGTCGAGGGCAGTGAAGGGGGCTGTGCCCACCCCGCTCACCCGCTCCCCAGATGCCTAGGGGAGCGCCGGGCCCGGCGGGAGGTGCCGGTGGGGAGCCCGCAGACGGTGTCCTGGCACTGGCAGCTCTCGATGTGGGTGTAGGTGTGTGTCAGCGAGCCGCCATTGGGGCAGCTCAGGACCACCTCACGCTGGCTGGTTTTCTCCTCTTTGCAGCAGGAGCAGCTGTGGTCCAGGGCCTGGGCCTTGGCCGAGTACCTGGGGGGAGGGCGGAGTGAGGGGTGACCTTCCGGGGCCAGCGCTGGCCTCTCGCCTCCCTGGGGTCTCCACCACCCCCTCCAGGCACACTCCCAGCCTGGGACTCACATGACAAATGTCCCGCAGGACCCGGAGCAATGATTCATGAGGACGGTCTTGGTGCAGCCGGCGTACGAAACCTCCGTGGTGACGGGGACGGTGGAGCAGGGCACCCTGGTCTCATTGCGAGGGGTGCCTGGGGAGAGCGGGCAGCGGCTTAGGGCAGGGCCTCCACATCTTCGAGGAGGCTCTCCCTCGCTGCGTCCCCTCCCCAGGCTCGGCCTCAGCCCCCAGCCCTCACTGCCCACCCAGAGGCCGTTGTCCAGCCTCCAGCCACCCCAGGCGGGGCTGAGGGCACCAGCCCTTGTGCCCCCACCCTGCCTACCCCCCAGGCTGTGCCCTGTACTCACAGGTCTTGCAGCATCCATTGGGCATGAATGTGATGGAGCCCTAGAGGGAAAGGAGAATGAGCCCGGGACCCCCGGACATTCCTGGGGATGAGAGCACCTTCCCACGATGCCGTGGGCGGGGGTAGCTGCTGCAGAAAGCCCCAGGCAAAGCCTCCTGCGGCAGCTCAGACCAGGCCCGAGGTCACTGTCGCAGCACTGGGGCCCCAGCCCCCCAGAACACCAGGCACCCCCACTCCCGGCAGAGTACACACAGCCAGGCCCCAGGTGGCCAACTCACCGGGATGCAAATGCTGGCATCAAAGTTGGGGCAGGTGATGTTGGAGACGGACGAGATGAGCTGGTTGTGGATCTTCACGCAGCTGAAGAATGTGCAGTTGTTCTTCGGGTCGCTCTTGAAGTCCCCGGGCTGTGGGGCAGGGAGCTCTGGTGAGGGAGGGCAGCAGGCCCAGCCCCAGCCCGGCCAGGAAGACACCCTGGAGACACCTGGCCGGGGAGGCTTCCTGGTGAGGCCCAGGGCCACAGGACAAGTGACATGGGCGGGGCCCCACATCAGGCACCAGCCTGGAGCCCACACAACCCTCAAAGGTCTGTCTGTGTTCTAACTCTGAATCTATGAATGTGACCTGCCTTGGAAAGGGGGTCTTTGAAGGTGTCATTAAGTGAAGGATCCTAAGATGAGATCATCCTGCTTGGGGTGCCTAAATCCTTAAAAGGGAGAGGAGAGGCAGACACAGGGAAGGAAACCTCGTGGTCACAGCCAAGGGGCACCTAGAGTGACCAGAGGCTGGGAAAGGTCCTTGCCTAGCGCCTCCGAGGGAGCACAGCCCTGAGGCCCTTTGCTCTATGGATTTCTGGGCCGCAGAACCAGGAGAATCCCTTTCTGCCCTGAAGACGCCTGCTCATTTGTCATGGCAGCCCCAGGGCGCCCATCACAGCTGCGCCCAGGACTGGGAGGACTCAGCTGGGGGATCCTGGGTGGCCCGCGCCTTGCCCTGGGCTCAAGCAACCCGGCCGCGTCGGGGCCGGCAGTGCACACCTACCTTCAGGATGACGTGCTGGTTGTCGGGCCGTTTGATGATACAGTGCGTCTGTTCACACTTCTTACAGCACTCCCCGGGGGCCTCCATGAGTTCGAAGCCCTGCGCACATAGACACGCCACTGCAACTGAACTCCCAGGCTGTACCCCACACCACACAAAGCCTGCAGGGCTGCCGAGACCCCCCCACCTGGAGGAGGCCCCAGGCTGGGCAGGTGTCAGGATGGAGAGGTGGGGACAGGGACAGGTTGGCGTTGAAAGGAGGAAAGAAAGGGTCACGATGCAGACATGGGCCCGGGTGCTTGTCTGGGAGGAGGGAAAAGGGCAGGCTGAAGGAGGAGGGTGGCCGCTTACAGGGCTGCAGGAGGTGTTGCAGGGCACGTGGGTGCAGGCGATGACGTTGAGCAGGGTGTTGTTGTCCACCTTGTCCGTGCACACGCAGTCCTGGCACTTGGAGGAATAAACTGGAGAACCGGGCTTCGGGCACAGGGAGAGACATGAGGCAGGGGCCTCTCCAGCATCCCAGCCAGCCCAACAGCCTGCCAGGACCCCCACGCTGCAGCCGACCTCCTCCCCTCCTCCCTCTCACCCAGCCCAGGGCTCACCTGGTACTCAGCATTCCCGTGAACACACACCCCCTTGGACTCTTGGGAGAAAGAACGGAGAAGGCCGTTCGTTGGAGACTGCCCCGGGGCGGCCACCTGGCCAGACCCCCACTCCCGGTGCACACCCAGTGGATGGAGCGAGCGCTCAGGGCTGGGGTGGGTGCATCAGCCAAGCGTACAGCCATCTGTGTCCCCAGAATCTGAGACCCCCAGGAGGGAGCCAACCCCCTTACAGCCACCCCACCCCGGGCGGCAGCCTCCTCCCTGCCCTGCCCACCAGCCCTGCTTACCACACCAGTAGAAAGGACAGCACCTTCCAGGCACCATCTTGCTCTTCACTTCGAATCCCAGCGGGCACACGGAGGGCTTCTCTTTGCACAGGCTGGTGTTGCACTCTGAAGACAGGGTGTGCACGCGGCCGTGAGGGTGGCTCCTCCCAGGCCAAGCCCCCGGGGCCACTGCACAGGCTGGTGTTGCACTCTGAAGACAGGGTGCGCACGCGGCCGTGAGGGTGGCTCCTCCCAGGCAAAGCCCCCGGGGCCACTGCACAGGGTCGGGCCTCCAGCACCTCCAAGGGTCCCCTCCCCACCCAGGTCAGGCCCTGCAGCAGGGATGCCTGGACTGGGCCCAGCGGCCCCCTCCCAAGCCCTCTCAAGGGGCACAGCAGAGGCCCCCAAGCCAGCTGTTTCCTCACTTGCCAAGGAGGGGACAGCAGGCAGCCCAGCCTACAGGGATGTGTGCACCCCTGAGAGGTGGCATGGGCCCCAGGGGATGGCCTTACTGCAGACGGTAATGTTGCAGCAGGTGTCGGCAGGGTTGACCTCCGTGGCGAGGTAGGTGCCGTCTTCCACGCAGTGGGTAACGGGCTTCTGGCTGCACCTCTTGGGTTGGCAGATGATGCCACTTCCACCCTCCAGGCAGACACAGTTCTTGCAGTCGAACTCGAAGTGCTCCCCAAACTGCAGGGAAAGAAGGGTGAGTAGAGAGGACAGGTGGCACCAGGCAGGCCCCACCTCACCACAGCCCCGGAGCTGCAGCTGTGGTCAGCGGGGAGAAACAGCCACCCTGAGCAGAGTGCTGAGGGATCCTGGGGGAAAACCATGTCCCTCCTCACTTCTGAGCACACCAGGCAGGTTCTGGGATAGGACAGTAGCTGCTCATTCACTGATATCACAAAGCCATTACCTGCTCACCAGCATCGACAAGCAGGGGCTTGGCACGTGGCAAATTCTCCACTCAGGCCTCTCAGGTTTGTACAGAATTTAGCTAAGGAATCATCCACATGGCTGCTACCACAGGTAGGAGGCATGGGCAGCACAGAGGTGGCCAAGATGTCATGTCAGAGCTTCTAGACAGAGTATCATATGACCAATGGGTGGTGAATGGAGGGAGGGAGAATGGATGGATAAATGGGTGGATGGTGGGTGGATGGTGGATGGATGGATGGATGGTTGGGTGGATGCGTGGATGGATGGGAGGGTGGATGGTAGATGGATGGTGGATGGATGGATGGATGGATGGATGGTGGATGGTTGGGTGGATGGATGGGTGGGTGGATGGGTGGATAGGTGGGTGGGTGGATGGTAGACAGATGGTGGGTGGATGGATGGATGGATGGATGGATGGATGGATGGATGGATGGGTGGATGGATAGGTGGGTGGGTGGATGGTAGACAGATGGTGGATGGATGGATGGATGAGTGGGTGGGTGGATGGTAGACAGATGGTGGATGGATGGATGGATAGGTGGGTGGGTGGATGGTAGATGGATGATGGGTGGATGGATGGATGGTGGATGGTTGGGTGGATGGTGGATGGTAGATGGATGGTGGATGGATGGGTGGATGGTTGGGTAGGTGGATGGTGGATGGATGGATGGATGAGTGGGTGGGTGGGGGGGTGCATAGATGAGTGGGTGATGACTAGGTAGGTGGAAGGATGGAGGGGTAGGTGAGTGGGTAGATGGGTGCACAGGTGGATGAGTGGGTGGGTGGAAGGATGGGTGGGTGAGTGGGTGGTGTCCATGCCAACTCAGCCATCCAGGACTTAGATGACCTCATTCCTCAATCTTTGAGGCTCCAGGTTTTCATGTCCATCCCTCACTCCCCAGAATTCAGAATTTGTGGAAGGATCCCCCAGCAACACGGTGGGGCCTACCTCTCTGGGCACATTGTCAGGTCCCACACAGCCTAGGAAGAGGGAAGAAACAAGTTGTGTTAGCAGAGTCCTTGTGCAGCAGGGAGCAGGGGTGGGGGTGGTCAGCCTCCTGGTCCCAGCCTCCATGGACACCCAGGAGACAAGTTGTGTTAGCAGAGTCCTTGTGCAACAGGGATCAGAGGTGGGGGGTGGTCAGCGTCCTGGTCCCAGCCTCCGTGGACACCCAGGAGGAGGCAGGAGGGAGGCAGGAGGGGACAGTGTGAGTGGGTGGCGTACCGCAGGTCTTCACGCAGACATCAAAGCCAGGAGCGTAGTTCATGGTGCCCTCAGGACAGAAGCAGCCTTCCACCAGGACTGTGTTGTTCTGCTGGGAGGAGCTGGGGGCGGGAGGGCATTGTCAGACAGGTGGGGTGGGGCTGGGGAGCTGGCAGGTGGGACTGCTATGCCCAGATGATGCCACCCTCCGCACTGCAGAAGGCGAGCCCACGGTCCTGGTGGACCCTCAAACAACATACCTGGATTTGCACGTGGGCTCTTCTGCAGGGCCACAGGCCTGGTACTCCCTGTGAGATGGGCACTCCACCACTGAGGGACATGGGCAGAGGTCAGAGGGCTGCCTCATGTCAGGCGGAGGAGCCTGGACCCCCTTGAGTGACAGCTGCCCAGTGCCCCACACACGGAGGAGGGTGACCAGCTGCCTGGGCATCAACCTCCACCCTCGAGGTTGTCCCGAGCTGGGTGGTGGGCACCCAGTTGCATTTAGCGATGCTGGCAGAAGCCCCAGCACCTCAGCCCCTCCAGCCTGGCCTTCCCCACCCCATGGCCCCAGCCCTGGTCTCACACCCGCCATCTCTGCGTCCCTGGCCGCAGCCCATCTAGGTCTAGCTTCAGGCTGGGCACAGCACCTGGCAGAGCCTAGAGACCACGTCTGGCCTGCAGGCCCCCAGCTCCAGGGCAGGGGCAGATGGGCACTTACAGCAGGCCCCATGCGTGTGGTTCCGCCAGTCGAGGCAGATGTTCTGCTGGGCACAGAGGGCTGCGTAGGCCTGCAGACTGGCGCACTCCAGGCTCGAGCCCGGCATGAAGCAGCTGTCGAACACGCAGGCATCGTAGTAGTGCTGCGGGGGCACCAGTGCGTGGCACTGGGCAAACAGGCTGCGCAGGGAGAGGCACAGGTCACACTCAGGTGGCACCTGCCTCTCCCCTGCTCTCTACCCCAGCGTCTCTGCCCGGACTGTCCTCCTGGAGTCCGGCACCCGCCAGAGAGGCGCCTGTGGCTGATGGAGGGTCAAGGGACAGGCCAGCCAGGGGGACAGCTCAGGGACAGACCAAGGGATGGCCGAGCAAGGTGGCTCTGCAGCCCGGCTCCCAGAGATAGAAACCACGTCTATGTGGTCATCAGCTTCAGGACCCCCTCCAGCAACCCTGGCAGATGGACACCCAGCCTATACCTGGCCCCTATACTTCCAGGGACAGGATGCTGACCCCCCATGACTGCCAGCGTTAGGAGCACCCCCTCTCTGTCAAAGCCCAAATCTGCCCTCCCAATATCAGCCCTGAGCTCTGTCCTGGGTTGACTGGTTTACTCCGGGCCTCACACTCGGCCAGCCCTGCACCTTCCCGGGAGCCAGGAGAGACTGGAGTTCAGCAAAGGCACAGGCCGCACGTAGCAGCTCAGCCCCGTGGAACCCAAGGGCCTGGGTCCTGGACCCCACGGCGACCTAGCGCCTGATCCTGGTTCCGCGGCTCCGTGCCTTCCCAGCCCCAGCGCCAGGCCCCACGCGCTGCCTCCTTCCTCTTTGCAAGAGCTGGGGGCTGGGGCACAGAGGCCCTCAGCTTATTGGTGTCGTGGCCACAGGCAGGCCTGGGCGGGGTCACCTGTCCTTGATGAGCTGGCAGAGGGGAGATGGGGTGCAGTCCTTGTGTGGGGTCGTTTTACCGCCCCCGGGCACAGTGACGGCCGGGCGCTTGGTCGTGGAGCTGCTGTGGGGGCAGTGTGGCTTGGAGGGGTCGTTCACCAGCCACTGGTCAGCCGCAGCCTCACAGTTGGAGACGATCTCCCCGCTGGGCAGAATGCAGTCGTCGGAGGTGGTGTTGGTGCAGGTGCCTGTATCAGTGAGAGAGGCCACGTTGCAGACAGGGTAAGCCCTGCCCTTCTCCAGCCCAGATGCCCAGGACCGGCCAGCCAGGGCCGAGGGCAGAGACCAGGCCAGGCCCCCTCCTGTTGGCTCCTCACAGAGACTGAACCCGGGTGATGGCCACAGCAGCCCCGAGCAGCGGGGCAAGAGGCCCACAGCCAGGCCCATGGGTGTTTACACGCAGCCTCAGCCTCAGCCTGGCCTGGCCACCCGCCCTGGGGCAGGACATGGGGGCACAGGGGACGGTGGGAGCCGTGGGGGCCTCGGGGGCCATGGGGGTCACGGAACTCACCACACTGGCCCTTGGTGTTGTTGCCAAACCGGTGGTAGGGCAGCCTGACGGAGAAGGACAGGCCATTGTAGGAGACGAGGACACCCAGCTCGGGGATGTCCACCACGTAGTTGATGCCAGACTGGTACACCTCCAGCCCGTACTTCTTGTAGGGCAGTGCCACCGCCTGCCTGTTCACCTGCACCTGTGGCCGACACACCATGGGAGCTGCAGCTGCCTCGGTCCTCTCCTTGTGAGAGCTCCAGGGCTGCCCCACCCCGCCTGCTCTCTGACCTACACATGTAGGGAGAGGGCCCTGCCTACCCCGCTTTCCTGCCCCCTTTCTTGCTTCCACTCCACTGCTCCCAACCAGACCCTGGTCCCATGGGTGAGCCAGTGAAGGAGCTCTCCTGGGAGCACCTGGGGACTGTGGAGCCCGGCGCAGGCTCCCGGGGCCTCCTGAGCCTCAGAACCAATGATTCCCCTGCAAGTAGGGGCATCTCAGCCAAGGGTGTGCAGAGCCCTGTCCCTGACTCTGTCCTCAGGAGGCAGCTTCTGCTGCAGAGACTGTGCCCAGCGTGGCATGGTGCCAGGGCTCGAGGGGCCCAGGACACACCTGGAGGGCCTGCAGGAAGAGCTGATATGTCCCGGAGCCAGTCGCCCACCCCATCCTACCTTCTAGCCCAACTCTAGGAGAGGCTATGCCTTGGCACCCCCACAGCCCAGTCCTCTGGCCCCTGGGGAACCAGGGTGCATTGGGGCCCATGTCAGCACCCGCCTCCATGCCAGCCTCCTGTGGCCACGCTGTGCCTACCTGCACCTGCATGGGCATCATATGCACGGTCTTGATCAGCACCTCCTGGGTCTCGTGGCGCACGATGAGGGTGCGGGGGCAGGACACCTTGTCGTTGGGATCGCAGTGGTAGTTGTCGATGTAAACTCCGAAGTTGTCCACGGAGGGGCTGATCTCCTCCACCAGCACGTAGGTGCAGTTGCCCTGGTAGCTGTAGTAGAGTCCGTCGAAGGTGACATAGTGCGGGTCGCCCCAGCCCGTGCAGTAGCCTGCAAGGGAGCCGGAGTGAGCCGTGCCACCTGTGCCCCTCGGCCGGGGTCGGGTGCAAGGGCTGGGCTGGGGCATAGTCAGGAAGAGCCAGCAGGAAGCTGGGGCCTGAAAACCCCACTCCTGTGCGTGGGCACGGGGATGTCTGAGCTGCACTTGCCCTGGCGCACCCACAGTGGCCCATTCTGCAGGACGGACCAGGGTTCAAACTTCAACTCAGCCCCCTCTTGCCTCAGAAGCACCCTTGTTCCAGGGAGGAGCCCTAACTCCACCAGGCAAGCCCTCCACCTGCCCAGGCCCTCCCCACCCAATGAGGCAAAAGCAGGGCTGTGAGAAGACCCTCAGAAGTCACCCAGCCTCAGCGAACACCTCAGTGGGATCTGTGCCCAAGGAGCCTCAGCCCTTCCGCCCCCGGGAGACGGGCCCTGCAGCCCCCACCCACGGAGAGGGCAGGAGATGCGGGGAGGGCCTGGGGGCCCCGGACTCACAGTCGCACTCCCAGTGCCAGCAGCAGCCGTCGGGGTCCTCGACGCGCACGGGTTGGAGGCCGTTGGAGCAGGTGGGCATGGGCGGCGGCTCACACTCCACCTTCACGATCTCCACCGTGTTGTTGTACTTGCACGTGGCCATGAAGCAGTCGCACAGCCACCAAGTCTCGTTCTCCTGGGGACGGGAGGCAAGGGACGTCAGGGGGACCGGCACAGGATGGGGTGGTCTGCGCTCAGGAGGGGCGGGTGCTGAGCCGGGAGGCTGGAGGCCGAAGTGGCTTCCACGGACCTCACTGCAGCCAGCCACCTCGCCAGGCACAGCGGGGCACGGTGAAAATGTGGAGGGCTCGGCAGACCCTGCACCCAAGGGTTGCTGGAGGCCTCGGCCCTCAGACGACCAGCAGGAAGTGGTGCCTGGGGCCTCAGCTGCCCGGACATGCTGCGCAGAGTGCCATGGGGACAAAGCCGCCTGCAGCCCACTGACCTGTCTGGGAGGATCAAAGTCTGGGCACTCGGGGGGCTTGGTGCCGGGCGTCGGCTTGGAGGGCGTGGACGATGGCTTGGAAGGCGTGGGCGTCGACTTGGAGGGCGTGGGTGTTGGGGAGGGCGTGGATGGGCAGGACCAGTTATAGAACTCCAACGTACAGCTCAGTGAGCAGTTGACGAAATAACAGGTGTCTCCGTATGTGCCGTTGTACACCTCCTCACCTGCGAAGGGAGACAGACCCACGATCACACCGTCCAGAGGCAGGGCTAGCCGGAGGCAGGGCTAGCCGCTGGACCCCGTGGAGGTCCCCACAGCGGAGGTCCCCACAGAGGCCACCCAAGGGAAGCCGTGCCCTGGACACAGCCACCCTCGACGGCTGCTGCCTCCTGAGACGCTTCTACTGCGATCTCAGCCCTGGCACCTGACCCATTGGTACATGCCGGGGCCAGCCTCGGCCACCCAAGCACAGGATGTGAACAGCCTGAGTACCTGGTGCGTAGTAGGTGTCGTTCAGGACACAGCAGATAAGCACAGAGGAAGGGTAGGGCCTCAGGCCTGTGGTCCTGATGATGCTGGGTGTGGAGAGTGGGGTCGGCGTGGGGGTCCAGGCACTGGTGGTGGTCGTCTGCACAGTGCTGGGGGTGGGGGCTGAAGATGACCCAGTCGTGGTACCGCGAGTGGGGGTGCCTGTGAGAGCAGGAGACACCAGTGAGGGCTGAGACGTTGCACATCTCAGATGCCACAGGGTCCCAACTGCCACTCCCCAGCTGCAAGGGAGCCAGACAGCCGACCGGGTGGCAGAACTGGAGGACCAGGGCCTCGTGCCCACCTCCCAGGCTCTCAGAGTCACCAGGCAGGGTGGAGCGGCAAGGCCAGTATCACCACAGCCGAGTGTCACGAGAGCCTGCAGGTGACCTGGTGCTCTGGCAGCAACACAGCTTGCTGGCCAAGCCGATGGCCAGCAAGAGGCGTCCAGAAGGCACTGGCTGTGGCATGCCGTCCACCAGGAAAAGGCCCCAAGGAGGGGCTGCAGCCAGAAGCAGGTGGACCCGCAGGCACCTCACTGGCAGCCTCTCTCTGCCCCCCAGCCTTGATGGGCTCCCACAGCACCGCATCACATAGCAGTGGGCCCCTGAAGAAGGCCGTCTTATGGGCGAGCAGGATAGCCAAGGGCTCCACTGCCCAGCACTGGCCGGTGTCAGCAGCTCCTCAGAAGGCTGTCCTATGGGCAAGCGGAATGGCCTTTGGCTTCACTGCCCAGCACTGGCCAGTGTCAGTGGCTTCTGCCCACACAGTGACCAAGCTTCGTGGGCAGAGAGGCGCCCAGAACGTGCCTTGAGCCTTCCTGGGACAGTCCTGCCCGGCACAAGGGGAGGAAGAAGCATCCCAGGCCAGAGGAACCAAGCGGCTCTGCTTACCTGGAGGGGACGTGGTGGTGCTGGGCGGTGGAGACAGTGTGTGGCCTCCGCTCGTGGTCGTGGGTGCCGTGGGTGTGGAGGGTGGGGCCGTGCTGGTCATCTCAATGGCAGGTGGTAGGGTACTCAGAAGGGTGGTTGACTCCGTGAGAGGGGAAGAGGTGGACCGAGAGGTCTGAGGGGTTGAGGACTCAGGCGGAGGATTGGATGTGGTCAACTCAGCAATCGGTGCTGTGCTTGTGTGGGTGGGGGGCCCCGTGCTTCCAGTGGTGGGTGTTGGGGTTGGGGTCACCGTAGTGGTGGTGCTGATGGGTATCATGGTTGGGGTCTGTGTGCCGGTGGGTGTTGGGGTTGCGGTCACCGTAGTTGTGGTGGTGATGGGTGTCACGGTTGTACTCTTTGTGCTGGTGGGTGTTGGGGTTGGGGTCATCGTAGTGGTGGTGGTGATGAGTACCGTGGTTGGGGTCTGTGTGCCGGTGGGTGTCGGGGTTGGGGTCACCGTGGTGGTGGTGGTGATGGGTGTCGTGGTTGGGGTCTGTGTGCCGGTGGGTGTTGGGGTTGGGGTCACCGTAGTGGTGGTGGAGATGGGTGTCGGGGTTGGGGTCTGTGTGCCGGTGGGTGTTGGGGTTGGGGTCACCGTAGTGGTGGTGGTGATGGGCGTCAATGTTGGGGTCTGTGTGCCGGTGGGTGTTGGGGTTGGGGTCACCGTAGTGGTGGTGGTGATGGCTGTTGGGGTTGGGGACTGTGTGCCGGTGGGTGTTGGGGTTGGTGTCACCGTAGTGGTGGTGGTGATGGGTGTCGTGGTTGGGGTCTGTGTGCCGGTGGGTGTTGGGGTTGGGGTCACCGTACTGGTGGTGGTGATGGCTGTTGGGGTTGGGGCCTGTGTGCCAGTGGGTGTTGGGGTTGGGGTCACCGTGGTGGTGGTGGTGATGGGTGTCGTGGTTGGGGTCTGTGTGCCGGTGGGTGTTGGGGTTGGGGTCACCGTAGTGGTGGTGGTGATGGGTGTCGATGTTGGGGTCTGTGTGCCGGTGGGTGTTGGGGTTGGGGTCACCGTGGTGGTGGTGCTGATGGGTGTCGTTGTTGGGGTCTGTGTGCCGGTGGGTGTTGGGGTTGGGGTCACCGTGGTGGTGGTGGTGATGGGTGTCATGGTTGGGGTCTGTGTGCCGGTGGGTGTTGGGGTTGGGGTCACCGTAGTGGTGGTGGAGATGGGTGTCGGGGTTGGGGTCTGTGTGCCGGTGGGTGTTGGGGTTGGTGTCACCGTGGTGGTGGTGGTGATGGGTGTCAGGGTTGTACTCTGTGTGCCGGTGGGTGTTGGGGTTGGGGTCACCGTGGTGGTGGTGGTGATGGGTGTCGTGGTTGGGGTCTGTGTGCCGGTGGGTGTTGGGGTTGGGGTCACCGTAGTGGTGGTGGTGATGGCTGTTGGGGTTGGGGCCTGTGTGCCAGTGGGTGTTGGGGTTGGGGTCACCGTGGTGGTGGTGGTGATGGGTGTCATGGTTGGGGTCTGTGTGCCGGTGGGTGTTGGGGTTGGGGTCACCGTAGTGGTGGTGGTGATGGGTGTCGATGTTGGGGTCTGTGTGCCGGTGGGTGTTGGGGTTGGGGTCACCGTGGTGGTGGTGGTGATGGGTGTCATGGTTGGGGTCTGTGTGCCGGTGGGTTGTTGGGGTTGGGGTCACCCGTTATTGGTGGTGGAGAATGGGTGTTGGGGTTGGGGTCTGTGTGCCGGTGGGTTTTGGGGGTTGGGGTCAACCGTAGTGGTGGGTGGTGATGGGTGTTGATGTTGGGGTTTTGTGTGCCGGTGGGTGTTGGGGGTTGGTGTTCACCGTGGTGGTGGTGGTGATGGGTGTCAGGGTTGTACTCTGTGTGCCGGTGGGTGTTGGGGTTGGGGTCACCGTGGTGGTGGTGGTGATGGGTGTCGTGGTTGGGGTCTGTGTGCCGGTGGGTGTTGGGGTTGGGGTCACCGTAGTGGTGGTGGTGATGGGTGTCGATGTTGGGGTCTGTGTGCCGGTGGGTGTTGGGGTTGGGGTCACCGTGGTGGTGGTGGTGATGGGTGTCGGGGTTGGGGTCTGTGTGCCGGTGGGTGTTGGGGTTGGGGTCACCGTAGTGGTGGTGGTGATGGGTGTCGATGTTGGGGTCTGTGTGCCGGTGGGTGTTGGGGTTGGGGTCACCGTGGTGGTGGTGCTGATGGGTGTCGTTGTTGGGGTCTGTGTGCCGGTGGGTGTTGGGGTTGGGGTCACCGTGGTGGTGGTGGTGATGGGTGTCATGGTTGGGGTCTGTGTGCCGGTGGGTGTTGGGGTTGGGGTCACCGTAGTGGTGGTGGAGATGGGTGTCGGGGTTGGGGTCTGTGTGCCGGTGGGTGTTGGGGTTGGGGTCACCGTAGTGGTGGTGGTGATGGGTGTCGATGTTGGGGTCTGTGTGCCGGTGGGTGTTGGGGTTGGGGTCACCATGGTGGTGGTGGTGATGGGTGTCGTTGTTGGGGTCTGTGTGCCGGTGGGTGTTGGGGTTGGGGTCACCGTAGTGGTGGTGGTGATGGCTGTTGGGGTTGGGGCCTGTGTGCCAGTGGGTGTTGGGGTTGGGGTCACCGTGGTGGTGGTGGTGATGGGTGTCGTGGTTGGGGTCTGTGTGCCGGTGGGTGTTGGGGTTGGGGTCACCGTAGTGGTGGTGGTGATGGGTGTCGATGTTGGGGTCTGTGTGCCGGTGGGTGTTGGGGTTGGGGTCACCGTGGTGGTGGTGCTGATGGGTGTCGTTGTTGGGGTCTGTGTGCCGGTGGGTGTTGGGGTTGGGGTCACCGTGGTGGTGGTGGTGATGGGTGTCGTGGTTGGGGTCTGTGTGCCGGTGGGTGTTGGGGTTGGGGTCACCGTAGTGGTGGTGGAGATGGGTGTCGGGGTTGGGGTCTGTGTGCCGGTGGGTGTTGGGGTTGGTGTCACCGTGGTGGTGGTGGTGATGGGTGTCAGGGTTGTACTCTGTGTGCCGGTGGGTGTTGGGGTTGGGGTCACCGTGGTGGTGGTGGTGATGGGTGTCGTGGTTGGGGTCTGTGTGCCGGTGGGTGTTGGGGTTGGGGTCACCGTAGTGGTGGTGGTGATGGGTGTCGATGTTGGGGTCTGTGTGCCGGTGGGTGTTGGGGTTGGGGTCACTGTGGTGGTGGTGCTGATGGGTGTCGTTGTTGGGGTCTGTGTGCCGGTGGGTGTTGGGGTTGGGGTCACCGTGGTGGTGGTGGTGATGGGTGTCATGGTTGGGGTCTGTGTGCCGGTGGGTGTTGGGGTTGGGGTCACTGTAGTGGTGGTGGAGATGGGTGTCGGGGTTGGGGTCACCGTAGTGGTGGTGGAGATGGGTGTCGGGGTTGGGGTCTGTGTGCCGGT
Organism: Homo sapiens; assembly: GCF_000001405.40. Lineage (NCBI taxonomy): Eukaryota > Metazoa > Chordata > Mammalia > Primates > Hominidae > Homo > Homo sapiens. Next base: position 1,096,672 of record NC_000011.10, on the reverse strand, counting down.
GGGTGTTGAGGTTGGGGTCACCGTAGTGGTGGTGCTGATGGGTGTCGATGTTGGGGTCTGTGTGCCGGTGGGTGTTGGGGTTGGGGTCACCATAGTGGTGGTGGTGATGGGTGTCAGGGTTGTACTCGGTGTGCCGGTTGGTGTTGGGGTTGGGGTCACCGTAGTGTTGGTGGTGATGGGTGTCGATGTTGGGGTCTGTGTGCCGGTGGGTGTTGGGGTTGGGGTCACCGTGGTGGTGGTGGTGATGGGTGTCGGGGTTGGGGTCTGTGTGCCGGTGGGTGTTGGGGTTGGGGTCACCGTAGTGGTGGTGGTGATGGGTGTCGTGGTTGGGGTCTGTGTGCCAGTGGGTGGTGGGGTTGGGGTCACCATAGTGGTGGTGGTGATGGATGTCGGGGTTGTACTCTTTGTGCCGGTGGGTGTTGGGGTTGGGGTCACCGTAGTGGTGGTGGTGATGGGTGTCGTGGTTGGGGTCTGTGTGCCGGTGGGTGTTGGGGTTGGGGTCACCGTAGTGGTGGTGGTGATGGGTGTCAGGGTTGGGGTCTGTGTGCCGGTGGGTGTTGGTGTTGGGGTCACCGTAGTGGTGGTGCTGATGGGTGTCGATGTTGGGGTCTGTGTGCCGGTGGGTGTAGGGGTTGGGGTCACCGTAGTGGTGGTGGTGATGGGTGTTGGGGTTTGGGTCTGTGTTCCAGTGGGTGTTGGGGTTGGGGTCACCATGGTGGTGGTGGTGATGGGTGTCGTTGTTGGGGTCTGTGTGCCGGTGGGTGTTGGGGTTGGGGTCACCGTGGTGGTGGTGGTGATGGGTGTCGTGGTTGGGGTCTGTGTGCCGGTGGGTGTTGGGGTTGGGGTCACCGTGGTGGTGGTGGTGATGGATGTCGGTGTTGTTCTCTGTGTGCTGGTGGGTGTTGGGGTTGGGGTCACCGTAGTGGTGGTGATGGGTGTCGGGGTTGGGGTCTGTGTGCTGGTGATTGTTGGTGTTGGGGTCACCATAGTGGTGGTGGTGGTGATGGGTGTCGGGGTTGGGGTCTGTGTGCCAGTGGGGGTTGGGGTTGGGGTTACCGTATTGGTGGTGGTGATGGGTGTTGGTGTTGTACTCTGTGTGCTGGTGGGTGTTGGGGTTGGGGTCACCGTAGTGGTGGTGGTGATTGGTGTCGGAGTTGGGTTCTCTGTGGTGGTGGTTGTCATGGTGGTGGGTTGGGTGACACACTCACAGCACTGAACGTTGATCTCGTAGTTGAGGCAGAAGGCCATAGGGATGACCCCACCTGGCTTTTGGTCTTCATTTTTGCATATCAGCCCCACAGAGACATCACACACCACTGTTTGTCCAAGCTGTCCAATGGGAACATCAGGATACATGGTGGCTCTGCAAGAGATGTTAGCTGCCCAGCCTGGTCCACAGACGTCTCCAATCAATTCTGTGTCTCCACCTGGTTTGTGAAAGTTGGGTTTTCCAGAATCCAGCCAGCCAGTCCAATTGCAGAGAGGCACGCATGGGGTAGTAGGGGTTGTCGTTGAGAATGGTGAAAATGTAGGAGGAGTTATTGATGGAGGTAGAGGAGTAGTTGTTAGAGGGCTGGAAGTGGTGGTTGGTGGAAGGGTGGTCGTGGTGGTTGTTGGAGGGCTGGGAGTGGTGGTTGGTGGAGGGGTGGTTGTGGTGATTGTTGGAGGACTGGGAGTGGTGGTTGTTGGAGGGCTGGGAGTGGTGGTTGGTGGAGGGGTGGTTGTGGTGGTTGGTGGAGGGCTGGGAGTGGTGGTTGGTGGAAGGGTAGTAGTGCTGGTTGGTGGAGTGATGGGCGTAGTCGTTGGAGGACTGGGAGTGGTGGTTGGTGGAGGGGTGGTTGTGGTGGTTGTTGGAGGGCTGGGAGTGGTGGTTGGTGGAAGGGTGGTAGTGCTGGCTGGTGGAGTGATGGGCGTAGTCGTTGGAGGGCTGGGAGTGGTGGTTGGTGGAGGGGTGGTTGTGGTGGTTGTTGGAGGGCTGGGAGTGGTGGTTGGAGGGCTGGGAGTGGTGGTTGGAGGGCTGGGAGTGGTGGTTGGTGGAGGGGTGGTTGTGGTGCTTATTGGAGGGCTGGGAGTGGTGGTTGGTGGAGGGGTGGTCGTGGTGGTTATTGGAGGGCTGGGGGTGGTGGTTGGTGGAGGGGTGGTTGTGGTGGTGGTTGGAGGGCTGGGGGTGGTGGTTGGTGGAAGGGTGGTCGTGCTGGTTGGTGGAGGGCTGGGAGTGGTAGTTGGAGGGCTGGGAGTGGTGATACACTTATCCATGGGCCAGCAACAATTGACACGTATCTTGTAGTCGTAACACAGTCCAAATGGTCCATTTCCAAACTGGTCTTCATTCTTGCAAATGAACCCAACAGAGACATCACACTGCACCTTCTGGCCTAGCTGCTCCAAGCTGAGGTGGGGATCCTTGACCGACCTGCACTCGATGTCCTCAGGGGCCCCGCAGACCCCATCAAATGTTTCTCGGTCACCGTCGTCGCTGCCACTGCTGGGGTGGTCCTCATTGATCCAGTCAGACCAGAGGCAGCACAGCTCTAGGGAAGCAAAACCAAGTTCTTGTCTCTCACACCTGGGGAGAGGCACCTCCAGGAAGCCACCAGGATTCAGAGGACCCAGGGACCTCCATGACCATCCCCCAGCTGCAATCTCTCTTTTCCCTGTCATTGCCAAAAAACCAGAGTGCAGGGCCAGAGAGCTCAGGGCTGGACACCACTTCCATCCTCATTTTGCAACTGAAAACCTGAGCCCAAAGAGACGGGGCCACCCAGGGCCACACCTGGGTGTGATGGACCCTTTCCTCAGCTATTTTCAATACTTTTTTTTCAAAGAATCAATAACAAGAGAGCTTCCCATTCCAGTAAGGAAGTGTGACGGAAGGGGCTTTGTCTCCACTCTTAACCAGCAATATTGTCACCGACAGCCAATCAGGTCTCACTTTAGCCCCTGGCCTCAGCAAACCATGAATGAAGTGGCCAAAATACATCCATCTTTGGTCCATAAGCAGAGGAGTCCAGCCCCGCCAGCCTCACATCTGGGCCCTGAAGGAAGCATCCTGCAGGTGATTTTATAAGACTTCGCTCCTCCCACCCTGCTTGTCATCATGAATATCATCACCGTCACTTACTCGGAGTTGTTGATAAAACTGCAATAAAGCAGGAAGAAAAGAGGATATCATTATATAGTTCAAGATCTTTTAAAATCTTGCCTTTTTTAAAAAAAGTTTCTTTTTTCTGTGGCTATCATACCCCTGGTGGCTTGTTCAGTGGTAGCTAGGATTTCAACCAGAACAAACGCAGGGGAACATAAGAAAATTTCTCTAACCCTTAGGGATAGTTTCCTGCTGGTTTTCAGAAATCTCCCCAGGTGATCCTCCACTGTGGTCTGGGCTTGGGGATGTGGTCAGGATGCTACTATCTCAATGCACCAGGCCAGGGGAGCCAGGGCAGGCCCCCTCACACCTCAGTGCAGAGGAATGCCACTGTCACCTCACTCTGCAGCTGGTGTGCAGGGGTCACAGCCTGGCTGCACCAGGCCGGGGCCTGCCCCCGAAAGAGCCCTCTGTGCTGGATGCTGGATGCAGGGGAAGGTGAGAGCCCGAGGAAGCATGGAGGGAACCAGGGGGCCTTACCTGTGCTGGAGGTCGGGGTGGTGGTGGTGGTGGTAGTGGTGAAGGTGGTGGGGGTGGTGGGGAGGGTGATGGTGGTGAAGGTGGTCAGGGTGGACGGGCGTGTCGTAATGGAACAGATGTTGAAGTGCTTCTCCACCGTCCCGTTGGGGCCACAGATCTCCCAGTAGCAGAAGGCGCCATCCTGGGTCTGGTTAAGAATCTTTCCTGGGGGTGAGGGTGAGGCCAAGAATCACCTCATCAGGAGCAAGATAGGAAGAAGGCCAGGTGTGCCCGAGCCCCCACAAGCAGCTAAGAAATGCTCCAGTGAGACTGCACCCGTCCCAGAGCCCCTCTCTTTGAATAAAGGGAATCTCATCAGAACGCAGAAGCTGGATCACGGGAGAGGGTGACGGAAATTCCCCACAGGACACCGACACCCCAGAAGAAACAAAATGGGTCACAGCAGCCCCCCAGGGCTGATACACATCGGAGGTGGGTCTGAGCTGGGGGGGGACCAAAGGGGCAGAGCCCAGGAGGAGACCAGCACCCCCCACCGATCCAAGGCCCCACAGGCTTCCCCAGGATGGGCCCGGCCACCGCAGGGCTGGCAGCAGAGGGCAGCTTACCTTCCTCCGGCCTGCAGACGACTTGGGAGGAGTTGGTACACACGCTGCAAAGCAAGCACATGGCTACAAGTCCCACTCCACTGACAACGCGCCCACGCTGCTCAGACCCCCAGCTTCCCCATGTGGCTAGTACCGAGCCCAAAGCCCCCAGGCACTGCCCCAAAGCCAGCTCCGGAAGAGCCCCCCACTGGGTTGTAACTGTGGGAACAGAGCAGGGGCGAGGAGAGGAAGGAAAAAGCCAGACCCAGAGGATGGGATGAGAACAGAAGACCCCCCGCCGCAGTGAGGGACTGGTACCTCTGTAGCCTGGCTCCTGTGTGCATGTGTGACTGTGTGACTGTGTGTGCTTGTGTGTCTGCCTCCATGCATGTGTGCATGTGTGACTGTGTCACCGTGAGTGTGTACCTGGGTGTCTGTATCTATGCATGTGTGCATGTGTGCATTATATGACTGTGTGACCTTGTGTACCTGTGTGTCTGCATCCATGCATGTGTGACTGTGCGACTGTGTAATTGTGTGTGTCTGGGTATCTGTGTCTAGGCACGTGTACATGTGTGACTGTGTGTGCCTGCGTGTCAGTGTCTGTGCATGTGAGCATGTGTTCATGTGTGACTGTGAGTGCATCTGTGCACGTGACTGTGTGTGCCTGTGTCTGTCCATGCATGTGTGCATGTGTGCACGTGTGACTTTGTGTCCATGCATGTGTGCATGTTTGACTATGTGTGTGTGCCTGCATATCTGTGTCTAGGCATGTGTACATGTGTGCAGTGTGTGCATGTGTGACTGTGTGACTGCGTGTCTGCATCCATGCATGTGTGACTGTGTAACTGTGTGTGCCTGGGTGTCTGTGTCTATGCATGTGTGCATGTGTGACTGTGTGTCCTTGCGTGTCAGTGTCCATGCATGTGAGCACATGTTCATGTGTGACTGAGTGTGAGTGCATGTGTGCACGTGACTGTGCCTATGTCTGTCCACACGTGTGTATGTGTACACATGTGACTCTGTGTCCATGCATGTGTGACTGTGTGTGCCTGGGTATCTGTGTCTAGGCATGTGTACATGTGTGCACTGTGCATGTGTGTGTGCACCTGCGTGTCTGCGTCCATGCATGTGTGCATGTGTGACTGTGTAACTGTGTGTGCCTGGGTGTCTGTGCATGTGTGCATGTGGTGTATGACTATATGACCGTGTGTGCCTGCGTGTCTGCATCCATGCATATGTGCGTGAGTGTGTAACCGTGAGTGTATGCCTGGGTATCTGCGTCTAGGCATGTGTCCATGTGTGCGCTGTGTGCATGTGTGACTGTGTGTGCCTGCATGTTGGCATCCATTCATGTGTGCATGTGTGCACCATGCATGCATGTGACCGTGTGTATGCACGTGGTATGCTGTGTGCGTTTGTGTGCATGTGCACCCATGTGGAACGGTTGTGTGTCTGTGTACTGTGTACACTGTGTGCTCACACGTGTGTGTGTACTCATGTGCCCATATGTGCAGCTCCCCCAGGCCCCCTGCCACGTGGGCTTAGGTACCAGGACTTGCAGGTCTCCTCGGTGGGAACCGATGCTCCAGGTGGGTAGTGGGTGTCCTCGACATAGCAGCCACACTTGTCTGCAGTGACACACTTCTTCAGATCCTCCTCATAGATGGGCCTGTCCTTGGGGCACCGGGGGTAGCAGCCTGGTGGACACAGGGCATAGGGTTGGGACCACCGCAGTCCACCACACCCCACCCACCGTCCCTACCCTGGCAGGCCCTTCTCTGCAGGATGCCCCTCTGGGAAGGCCGGGGATTGGAAAGGCAGGGCCTGGATCTCCCCACCCCACTGAGCCCTGAACGCTGCCTGCTGAGGAGCCCTGCCCAGTCTCATCGGGCCCCCCGAGCAGCCCTGAGTCCCAAGACCCATGTTCCTCTCCCATGGCGGGATACTCCTCCCAAACTTCCCACCAGTCCCTCCTTCACGTCACTGGTTCTCAGCTCAGACACCAGCACCCGGCAGGGGCCTCCCCTGACCTGTGCCTGAAATGCTCCCCAACCCGCCCTGCTCTGCACGAACCTCAGCACCTCCCACCCCTGCCACTCCCAGTTTCCACGATAGCCTGCTTCCCTCCTGATCCTGCAGCAAGGGGAGCCTGGCTGCCCTGGGCTGTGGGTACCCTGAGGGTCAGGCCTCCCTCCGGGTGTCCCCATGGGTCTCCAGACATCAGCCTTCAGCCCCACAGTGCCAGGCCCGTCGGCCGTAGCCTCCCCCGAGGGCCGCCTGGCTCACCCTCCAGGCCAGTGGACTGTTGCCTCTCCCGAGGGCTGCCCCACTCAGCCTCCAGGCCCCTCGGCCATCACCCCCGCTGAAGCCCGCCCCACCCTGCTCACCCTCCAGGTAGGACACGGAGATGTTGGAGTGGATGCCATTGATGGTCCTGCAGGTCTCGAAGCTCCGGTTCCCACATGGCTCATAGTGCCACTCACACTCATGCGGAGGGTTGTAGTAGTCGCAGAATATGGCTTGGGGGAGACAGGGCCAGGGTCAGACGCAGGAGGGCTCAGGCCTGGGCCGGGGTGAGGGCGAATCTGGGGTCGGGGGCTGGGACGCAGACGCATCAAGCTTGCTCTGCCAACCCGGGTCCCACAGGGCCCCAAAGAAGGACACTGGAGAAGTCGGGGAAAGGGTGGGTGATGCACACCCATCACCTGGATGGACAAGGAGTGTCACCCCGGCCCGCAATACAGCACCTCCCAGCCCCCGTCCCGGCCCTGAGTGCAGTTCGGGCAGGCTCTTACGGCACAGGTCCGGCGTCCTCCAGAACACGCAGGCCCCCTCTTTGGTACACTCCTGGGCGTAGGAGGCCACGGCAGAGCAGAAGCACTCACAGTCCCCACCCGTGTCACAGGAGCACGAGTCGTGCACACAGGCCTCGTAGAAGGGCTTGGGGTCCACCTGGGGAGAACACCCTGGTCTGTCCTGGGCCCGTGCTGCCCTCATGGAGCCAGGACTTCCCCAGTGCCCTGGAGCTCAGGACCCTGAGGCCGGCCCTGCTCCTGGGACAGGGCACATTACCCAGCACCAGCCAGCCAGGGCCCCGGCAGGGCCAACCTTGGGGAGAGGGTCCAGAGACACCTGTCCCGCCGTGGCTGTGCAGACCCATCACCCAACCCCTCTGCATCCTCAGCTGTAACATGGCCATCCTAGAACCCGTCCTCCCCAGCTGCCTGTAGCTGGGGATGTGTGGGCATGGGGGACACATGTCCTTTCTCCCTCCGGGTGAATATCTGAGCCTGGGGAGGCAGAGGGAGGCCGGGGGTCCAGCCCAGGGTCTCAGAGGGGAGGCCGATTATACGGTCATGTGACCAAAGGAGGCAGCGGCCAGAGCCAAAGCTGGAGGACAAGCGCCGTGTGGTGCGTGACGCAGCAGGGCGACTCCTGAAGGTGTGGGGAGCATGTGGAGAAGCCCCCCAGCCCCAGGAGCACCCAAGACCCTACCCTGCTATGACCACGCCCTGGTCATTAGCATGCTCTACGGCACCCTCACCACGTCCACAGTCAGCCCATAGCCCCGCTCTGCCTAGTCGGCCCCGCCCACAGCCACAGCCCACCTACAGCCCTGCTCTGCCTACAGTCGGCCCCGCCCATGGCCCCGCCCACAGCTATAGTCCACCTACAGCCCTGCTCTGCCTACAGTCGGCCCCGCCCGTGGCCCCGCCCACAGCTATAGCCCACCTACAGCCCTGCTCTGCTTAGTCGGCCCCGCCCATGGCCCCGCCCACAGCTGTAGCCCACCTACAGCCCTGCTCTGCCTAGTTAGCCCCGCCATGCCCCGGCCTATAGTCACAGGCCCCCTACAGCCCTGCTCTGCCTACAGTCGGCCCCGCCCATGGCCCCAGCCCACAGTCACAGCCCACCTACAGCCCTCCTCTGCCTACTTGCCCCACCATGGCCCGGCCAGCCCACCTTGCTGTGGCAGATGCTGAACACGCTGCTTTTGAGGATGCTGCACTGCTTCTCGGCCCAGGAGCGGCGGTGCGGGTTCAGGCTGCAGGGCTCGGGGTTGGTGCTCACATCTGGGCAGGTGGGGGCCTCCTTCCAGCTGTTCCCGAAGTCCAGCTCGCTGCTCACCACCATGTGGTCCCGCGTGGTGAAGTCGTTGTTGGAGCGGTGGTCAAAGTTCCCACACAGGCCACACACGGTGCCCTGCAAGAGACAAGCATCACAGGGGCTCCAAAAAGGGGCTGGAGGGAGGACAGGGGCTTGTCCTGCAAACACCAGGGCAGGGGGTGGGGGGCTGGCCAGGAGGGGGCAGGGCAGGCAGGGAGGCAGCCCACCTTGTAGGAGGGAGCCAGCTTGATGAACACGGTGGTCCTCTTGTCCCAGATGACGATGATGCCCGTGCTGGACTCCACCACCAGGTACTGGCCCACCTCCCGCGTGGTGTAGGCCACGTGGTGACCCTCATCACGCTGGATCACCACACGGTGCTTGTCTTCCAACTTCAGCTCCGTCCTCTGCCCGGAGGAGAGGCCCAGTCACTGGCTGGTCTGAGGGTCCCGCAGGGCTCACGCGTCCCCAGGGCCAGCAGCACTCACCCCCATGAAGATCTTGATGGCCTTGGAGCAGGTGACGCCCGTAGTGCCACAGGGGACGTTCTCGGTGATGATGCTGAATGAGCCCAGTGAGGAGTTCTGGCCGCAGTAGTCCTGGGGGCCAGGAGGGCAAGGTCAGCCAGGACAGCTGGACCCCAGGTGTCCCGGGGCACACCCGCCCCAGTTGGCAGGGTCACAGCCACTGAGCAGACAAACCAGGCCCTGGCCTGGCCCATCCAAGGACCTGACCCTGCTGCAGGCCTGTCCCCTGTCCCTGGGGATCACGGTGCCTCAAAGGGCTGTGGGATTTGGATCTGGAGAGCCGCGCGGGCAGCGGCCTAGCCCTGGCCTTTACTCAGCTCCCCAAACAGGTGCCCTCAGTCCCCATGGCTGGTGCACCCACCTTGTGCACCCAGAGAAGGACCCAGAGGAGGACCCAGAGGAGGACCCAAATGAGGACCACAGAGGAGGACCTAGAGGAGGACCCAGAGGAGGGAGGACTCAGAGGAGGACCCAGAGGAGGACCCAGAGGAGGGAGGACCCAGAGGAGGACCTGGAGGAGGACCCAGAGGAGGGAGGACCCAGAGGAGGGAGGACCCAGAGGAGGACCTGGAGGAGGACCCAGAGGAGGGAGGACCCAGAGGAGGGAGGACCCAGAGGAGGCCAGAGGAGGGAGGACCCAGAGGAGGACCCAGAGGAGGGAGGACCCAGAGGAGGCCAGAGGAGGGAGGACCCAGATGAGGACCCGGAGGAGGACCCGGAGGAGGACCCAGAGGAGAACCACAGAACTGGGCAGTACAGAGGGGTTTTACCACCCCTACCCAGCCCTGGCTAGAAGAACGAATCCTCCTGCGGGTGCAGGTGCGGGTCTGGGGCTGAGGAAAGGCCGGCCTTCCCAAGTCTCAGGGTTTCTCGGGGAGCTAAGCACTGCACTTGGGGCAGGCAGAGGGTCCCTGACCATAAGCAGCCCGACCAGGCAGTGCCCGTGACCACACCTGAACAGCCACGTAGGAGCAGTGTCCGTCAAAGTCGTAGTACTTCCCGTCAAAGGTGATGTAGTGGCCACTCCCGTAAATGGAGCAGGTGCCATGGCACACAGCCTGGGTGCACACCCAGCGTCCTCTCTTGCAGGTGCTGAGGAGGACAGGAGAGGAGCCTGAAGGGACCCAGGACCTGCTCATGGGTGGCTGGAGGAGACCCTGGGCACCGTGCAGACAGCTCCCTGTGCCTCCCACACAGGACACCTGCAGGCCCCAAAAGTGGCTCCAAATGTCCCTTCCCCCATGGCTTCAAGACCAGCGGTTGACATGAGAGACCACCCTGCCCGTGGGACAGGGGCCACCACAGGATCTCGCAAGACCCAGGCGGAACCCCCAGGAGAGGCACTTGCCCCTTGGACCGCTCTCCAGTGGCCACCCCTGCGGAGCACGTGGGGCCTGGGAGGCAGCCAGGACAGGCCGGGCCAGCTTACCAGGTATTGCAGTCCACCTTGATCTTGGCGCCGGAAGAATACAGGTCGTTGTTATGGACGCAAGGGCATTCCTTCTCCACCACGCAGCCACCCCGGCCGTCATCCATCAGCCCGTCGGGGCACACACAGCCACTGACACACTCTGTGTGGTACTGGGGACAGCCAGAGAGTGGGGTTCAGGGGTGGACAGGTGAGGCTGCAGCCCTCCCTGGGGTCAGGATTGGATGTGCAACCAGGAAAGGCCTGACCATGCAGTCTCTGTCATGTCCCAGACCTCCCACCACTCCCCCTGGCCTGGGCTCAGGCTTCCCTCCCCTTGGGCCCGCCACAGGGCAGTGAGACTGGTGAGGGCTGCCGGCCAAGGGCCCTACACTGGCCCCTGTGCCCCAGTGGCTCACAGGCTGCCACTTCCCTCCCAGGGCCAGGGACAGCATCAACAGGGCCTGCGTCCTCAGGACTCGGCACCCAGACCCTAGCGGGGGCACAGCACAAGAGCCAGGCTCAGCCAGCCAGGAATCCCTGCCCGCCCACAGCAGCGCCCCCAACACGCACATAGCCGGCGGCCAGCGTCTGGCAGCTGAGGGCTCGGGGCTTCGAGGTGGCCAGTGCAGTCAGGTTGCTGCAGTCCATGTGGATCTTTGGGGCCGTGCAGCCTGTGGGACGGAGGGGCCACCTCAGCTCCAGCTGAAGCTGAGGGTCTCAGGCAGGCCCGGGAGGGGTGGCCGGGGAGGGTGGCCAGGGCAGGCAGGGAGGGGTGGCTGGGGAGGGGTGGCCGGGGCAGTGCCACTTACTCTGGCCGATCAGCCGGATCTGCCTACAGTGCAGCCGCCCATCCCGGCACACACTGTGGAAAAGGCCAGGGATGAGCGGGGCCCATGCAGGACGGCCACAGACAGCCAGCAGCTTCCCCGCAGATGTGAGCCTGATGCCTCTCAGCGCCCCCCACCCCAGGCACCCCTCAGCCTTGGGTGTCTCAGCTTCCCCAGGTAGAGACTCCCAGGTCTCCGCTTGGGGCAGGTTCAGAAGGAGTTCCCCCGCCCCCACGCCACACCTGACCCCCGAGCAGGTACCCACCATCGTTCTTCCTGCCTGACGACCACGTCCCCCGCCTCCAGGTAGAGACCGCGGTGGTAACAGGAGCACTTGGCCAGGGGTACGCAGCGGCCCTTCTCGTCCAGGAAGGTGTGGTCAGGGCAGCCGCAGCCGTCCACAGGCGCAAAGCCCTCGAGACAGTGGCTGTCGGCCTCGGAGAGGGAGCGGCAGGTCTGCTGGCAGGTGGTCAGGTTGTACAGGAAGACCTGCGAGTTGGGGCAGGAGCCCACATCCTTGTCTGCAGAGGACCACGGGGTGGTGTGAGGGACGGGAAGAGCCAGACGCCCAGCTCCCATCCCCAGGGTGGCCAGGGGGCCAGGGAGTGCACACTCTGGGACCCACTCCCACACTCGGCCGCCACAGCTCCAGGCCCACCCCAGGTTCTGCCCCTGCTACGTGGCCGCCCCTTGCTATAGGAGTTGCTGGTTTCCTGCTACCACCGGCCGACGAAGCTGGAGCCTGGTCCGTGGCTGCAGGGGGCCAACCCCTCTCCCTGGACCACCCGTGCTCAGGGCCCCCAGCCCCGTCCCAGGAGCTCAAAGCCCGGACCCCATCCCCAGGATGCAGCCCACGGGGACGGCACTCACTGCAGACATGCTCCCGCCAGCCCCACAGCATGACGCCCTTGGCGGTGCAGGCGCGCGCGTAGGAGGACAGGGCGGCGCACAGGCAGTCCTCATTGTTCTGACAGTTACACGTGTCATATTTGCACCTCTGGGCGACAGAGCAAGGTGGACGGGCAGTGAGGCAGGGAGGCAGAGTGTGGCCTGGCGCTCACAGACGCAAGCTCACACGCACACACAGCAACCAGTGGGCCCAACCGGGTGCTCTGAGTCCACCTCACGGGTGGCATGGGGGGCTGGGGGTGCCCTGAGTCCACCTTGATGGCATGGGGGCCTGGGGGTGTGGGTCCCACCCACCTTGTAATACTCAGCAGGGTCCACAGCCGAGTGGCACCTGCCAAAGGGGGTCTCTGTCTTCTTCAGGAGGGAGCACCAGTGCTCGGCGTAGTTGGCTGGGGAGTGGGGGATCGGAACTTCAGCGGGGCCCGGGACCCCCGTGAGATCCCCTGGGCCCTGCTGCCTGGCTGCCTAGGCCCCAGATATGGTTCCCTCTGTGCACCGATGCCCAGGCCCCTTCCTCCCCGTGAGTCAAATTTCCAGGCAGCTCCTGGCTAGATAGAAACCCCTGCAGGGCACCCACCACCTCCCGTCTCTCACCCCCAAGGGCCCAGCATCCTGGACATGACGGGGCAGGTAGGGACCAGCCCAGGCCCTCTTCCAGGTCACCTGGCAGGCTGCCACCATGGCCGCCATAAACTAGCCACAGCAGGAAGCAGCAGGGGCCGGGCTGCCCCTGGAGGAGAGCCACCTCACTTCTGCCCCTCACCACCCATGCTTCCTGCTGGGAGCCCCGTCTGCCCTTCCAGGCCATGGGCCGGGTACCCTAGGCACGCTAGGTGGGGGCGCCCGTGTTGCCGAGCCTCACCGCTCTCGATGTTCAGGGAGCAGGGATCGTCCAACCAGTCCAGCTTGTCATGGCAGGTTGACTGTGCCTTCCAGGTGTTGGCAAAGCCGGCCCCCGTGGCCTCCACCAGCCCGCTGGCCGTCTTGAAGTCGTCACCTTCCAGGCCGTTGAAGTTCCCGCAGAGGCCTGAGGGGCCAGGACAGGGTTGGGAAGAGTCTGGGGCTAGCAGGCCCCCCTGTGGGCCTTTGTTGGGGCAACCCCGGTGGGGCCACTTACCCTGCACCTGCCCCTGGGAGGCCTGGTCCAGTGTCACAAAGAGTTGCATGACTGGGGCCAGCTGCACCTGCAGCCGGACGCCAATGGCCATGCTCACCATGATGTGGTAGGAAGACGGGCGGAAGACAGAGAAGCTCGCTGTGGGCAGGGGCACGATGAGGGACACGGTAAGGGGCATGGCGAGGGGCGGGGCTCCCGGGACCTGCCTGGCCCAGGTGAGCAGCGGGAGGGTGTCACCCTCCCACCACCCCCTCCAGCAGAGGACCCAGGACGGAGCCTGCTGGGTGCCGCAGGGACCCTCCCCCCGTGGAACCTTCCCACCCAGCCTCCTGGGTCCGAGGTGGCTGGACTGTCCGAATCACTGCAGGCCCAGTGGAGCTCGAAGGGCCCGGGCCCCTCCCTGGGGCGCAACTCACCGGTCACGTGGGGCAGGTTCACCTGCAGCTCGTTGAGCAGTACACTGCCATCGGACTTGAAGACCACCACCTGCAGGGAAGGCCGAGGTTGCTCAGGGCTGAGAAGGGCCCCCCTCGGGGGACCTGGGGCTCCAGAAGGAGGGGGCAGGACCACTCACATTCTTCTTCTTGTCAGCCAGCAGCACCACCGTCTTCAGGCAGGTCTGCTTGTCTGTGGAGCCACAGGGGGCCAGCTCGCCCAGGAGAGCGTAGGAATCGTTGTGGTCACCCTGTGATGGGGCAAGAGGCAGTGCAGCTGCTGAGGGCCGGGACGGGCAGCACCCTGCACCCTAGGACCCGGCAGTGGCTTAGAAAGGAAGGCCTGCTTCTTATTCTCCAGCCAGAGAGCAGAAGCATGGTCACCTGCCCCAGGACAGCCCACAGGCACCCTCTGCTTCAGGGACAGCCAGCCCACCCACCCCGGGACAGCCAAGGGCCTGGATGCCAGCCCCAGCTCTGCCCCATGCCCCAGACCCTGGGCAGCCTACCTTGGCCAGGACATAGTAGCAGTCCCCGTGGAAGGTGTACGTCTTCCCATCGAAGGTGGTGATGTGGGAGCCGCCTTCCAGGGCACAGGTGCCGGGGCAGGGCAGGTCTTTGCACACCCAGCGGCCAGCGTTACAGACACTGTTGGGCAGCGGGGCACAGGGTCAGGGCTCAGCCGCCCCAGCCTCTGCTGTGCCCAGCCCTGGCCCCGGGACTCACCACTGCTCGCAGTCATTGGTGATCTCCTGGCCCGGTGTGTACAGGTGTCCGTGCAGCCTGCAGTGGCACTGGCTCACAGGAACGCAGCCACTGTCCCCGATGTCGTCATATACGGTGCCTGGGACAGCCAGGGAGGCGATGTCACCCCGGCTGGCTCAGAAAGAGCCAGAATCCCCACCGAGGGGCTGCCAGCCAGGCCTCCCACCCGCAGGCACCACTGGTCCCCTGTGCTGACGCCTGCGGTCCCCACCTGGTCCCTGGGTTGGGGTCTGGCCATGGGGGTCCAGCCTCCAGGCCACCTTCCTGCCCCTGACAATCGAGCTGCTCCCAAAGGCCTCAGGCACCAGGCCAGGGGCCGGGCAGGAGGAGGTCTGTCCCCAGGGTGATAACCAGGAAGGCAGCCCCCTTCCCGGCCTCCCTGAAGCCACCCTTTGGGAAGGGCCTCACACCGAGGCCCCTTCTCCCCCGGTATCGGGTGGAGGGAGAGGCACTTCTGTGCCGCCGCTGCCCCCACCACCCAGCGGAGCCGTCCCCTCAGCGCAGGCGAGAACCCCAGGCCAGGGCTGCCTCTCATCTGGTGGGCAGTGCCAGGGCGGGGCCATCCTCCACACGCACCTTCTGGGCAGAAACAGCCGTCCATGCGGTGCTCCTCGCACAGGCTGCTCACCTCCAGGTGTGAGCAGGTGTCCATGCAGGGCGAGCCGCTCTCCAGGTACACCAGGTTCCCGGGGCAGGTCTTGGCTGGAACCGCAGAGGCCACGCAGTGAGGGTGAGGCTGGGGCACAGCAGCCGCTCCACCCCGAAGTGCACCGAGAAGGGCTCTCAGCCCACGGTGAGTGTCCCCCCAGCTCCCGGTGCCCGGCGCGGTGAGTGTCCCCCCAGCTCCCGGTGCCCGTGGTGAGTGTCCCCCCAGCTCCCGGTGCCCGTGGTGAGTGTCCCCCCAGCTCCCGGTGCCCGGCACGGTGAGTGTCCCCCCAGCTCCCGGTGCCCGTGGTGAGTGTCCCCCCAGCTCCCGGTGCCCGTGGTGAGTGTCCCCCCAGCTCCCGGTGCCCTCAGTGAGTGTCCCCCCAGCTCCCGGTGCCCGTCACGGTGAGTGTCCCCCCAGCTCCCGGTGCCCGTGGTGAGTGTCCCCCCAGCTCCCGGTGCCCGGCACAGTGAGTGTCCCCCCAGCTCTCGGTGCCCGTGGTGAGTGTCCCCCCAGCTCCCGGTGCCCTCAGTGAGTGTCCCCCCAGCTCCCGGTGCCCGGCACGGTGAGTGTCCCCCCAGCTCCCGGTGCCCGTGGTGAGTGTCCCCCCAGCTCCCGGTGCCCGTCACGGTGAGTGTCCCCCCAGCTCCCGGTGCCCGTGGTGAGTGTCCCCCCAGCTCCCGGTGCCCGGCACAGTGAGTGTCCCCCCAGCTCTCGGTGCCCGTGGTGAGTGTCCCCCCAGCTCCCGGTGCCCTCAGTGAGTGTCCCCCCAGCTCCCGGTGCCCGGCACGGTGAGTGTCCCCCCAGCTCCCGGTGCCCGTGGTGAGTGTCCCCCCAGCTCCCGGTGCCCGTGGTGAGTGTCCCCCCAGCTCCCGGTGCCCGTGGTGAGTGTCCCCCCAGCTCCCGGTGCCCGTCACGGTGAGTGTCCCCCCAGCTCCCGGTGCCCGTGGTGAGTGTCCCCCCAGCTCCCAGTGCCCGTGGTGAGTGTCCCCCCAGCTCCCAGTGCCCGCGGTGAGTGTCCCCCCAGCTCCCGGTGCCCGTGGTGAGTGTCCCCCCAGCTCCCGGTGCCCGTGGTGAGTGTCCCCCCAGCTCCCGGTGCCCGTGGTGAGTGTCCCCCCAGCTCCCGGTGCCCGTCACGGTGAGTGTCCCCCCAGCTCCCGGTGCCCGTGGTGAGTGTCCCCCCAGCTCCCAGTGCCCGTGGTGAGTGTCCCCCCAGCTCCCAGTGCCCGTGGTGAGTGTCCCCCCAGCTCCCGGTGCCCGGCGCGGTGAGTGTCCCCCCAGCTCCCGGTGCCCGTGGTGAGTGTCCCCCCAGCTCCCGGTGCCCTCAGTGAGTGTCCCCCCAGCTCCCGGTGCCCGTCACGGTGAGTGTCCCCCCAGCTCCCGGTGCCCGTGGTGAGTGTCCCCCCAGCTCCCGGTGCCCGTCACGGTGAGTGTCCCCCCAGCTCTCGGTGCCCGTGGTGAGTGTCCCCCCAGCTCTTGGTGCCCTCAGTGAGTGTCCCCCCAGCTCCCGGTGCCCTCAGTGAGTGTCCCCCCAGCTCCCGGTGCCCTCAGTGAGTGTCCCCCCAGCTCCCGGTGCCCGGCACGGTGAGTGTCCCCCCAGCTCCCGGTGCCCTCAGTGAGTGTCCCCCCAGCTCCCGGTGCCCGGCGCGGTGAGTGTCCCCCCAGCTCCCAGTGCCCGTGGTGAGTGTCCCCCCAGCTCAAGGTGCCCGTCACAGTGAGTGTCCCCCCAGCTCTCGGTGCCCGTCACGGTGAGTGTCCCCCCAGCTCCCGGTGCCCGGCGCGGTGAGTGTCCCCCCAGCTCCCGGTGCCCGTCACAGTGAGTGTCCCCCCAGCTCTCGGTGCCCTCAGTGAGTGTCCCCCCAGCTCCCGGTGCCCGGCGCGGTGAGTGTCCCCCCAGCTCCCGGTGCCCTCAGTGAGTGTCCCCCCAGCTCCCGGTGCCCGGCACGGTGAGTGTCCCCCCAGCTCCCGGTGCCCGTCACAGTGAGTGTCCCCCCAGCTCCCGGTGCCCGTCACAGTGAGTGTCCCCCCAGCTCTCGGTGCCCGTCACAGTGAGTGTCCCCCCAGCTCCCGGTGCCCTCAGTGAGTGTCCCCCCAGCTCCCGGTGCCCGGCACGGTGAGTGTCCCCCCAGCTCCCGGTGCCCGGCACGGTGAGTGTCCCCCCAGCTCCCGGTGCCCGTGGTGAGTGTCCCCCCAGCTCCCGGTGCCCGGCACGGTGAGTGTCCCCCCAGCTCCCGGTGCCCTCAGTGAGTGTCCCCCCAGCTCCCGGTGCCCGGCACGGTGAGTGTCCCCCCAGCTCCCGGTGCCCGTCACAGTGAGTGTCCCCCCAGCTCCCGGTGCCCGTCACAGTGAGTGTCCCCCCAGCTCTCGGTGCCCGTCACAGTGAGTGTCCCCCCAGCTCCCGGTGCCCTCAGTGAGTGTCCCCCCAGCTCCCAGTGCCCGTGGTGAGTGTCCCCCCAGCTCCCGGTGCCCGGCACGGTGAGTGTCCCCCCAGCTCCCGGTGCCCGTCACAGTGAGTGTCCCCCCAGCTCCCGGTGCCCGGCGCGGTGAGTGTCCCCCCAGCTCTCGGTGCCCGTGGTGAGTGTCCCCCCAGCTCCCGGTGCCCGGCACGGTGAGTGTCCCCCCAGCTCCCGGTGCCCGGCGCGGTGAGTGTCCCCCCAGCTCCCGGTGCCCGGCACGGTGAGTGTCCCCCCAGCTCCCGGTGCCCGGCACGGTGAGTGTCCCCCCAGCTCAAGGTGCCCGGCACGGTGAGTGTCCCCCCAGCTCCCGGTGCCCGTGGTGAGTGTCCCCCCAGCTCCCGGTGCCCGGCACGGTGAGTGTCCCCCCAGCTCCCGGTGCCCGTCACGGTGAGTGTCCCCCCAGCTCCCGGTGCCCGTCACGGTGAGTGTCCCCCCAGCTCCCGGTGCCCGGCACGGTGAGTGTCCCCCCAGCTCTCGGTGCCCGTGGTGAGTGTCCCCCCAGCTCCCGGTGCCCGGCACGGTGAGTGTCCCCCCAGCTCAAGGTGCCCGGCACGGTGAGTGTCCCCCCAGCTCCCGGTGCCCGGCACGGTTAGTGTTCCCCCAGCTCAAGGTGCCCGGTGCGGTGAGTGTCCCCCCAGCTCAAGGTGCCCGGCACAGACACAGCTCCCACCCGGGCTTGGGGAAAGCACCAGCGTGGGGTCTCCCTGGGGTCCCCTGCCCACAAGGCGCCGGGGCTTACGGCAGAGCGTGGCGGTCCTCCAGTTCCCGGGCCGGCCGCCGGCGTGGGAGCACTGGCGGGAGAACTCGGCCACGGTGCTGCAGACGCAGGTGTCACCGCCCGGGCACCGGCAGCGGTCCTGCTGGCAGGCGCGCAGATACGGCTCCAGCGGCACCAGGTCCTGACAGTCCGCGAAGGCCTCGGCGGTCAGCAGCCTCTCACACTCGGCGCGCTGGGGACAGACGCAGGGTGAGCATGCTATTCAGAGGCCAGCTCCGCCAGGACCCCCACCCCGGACCGAGGGGACTCACGTGCTCGGAGCAGGATGCGGGGGCCACCTCCTCCTCGGGATCCTCACACACCACATCGGGCTGGTTGATCTTCTGCATGTTCCCAAACTCCAGGGGACTGAAGAGCACGCCTGGGGATGCACGGCCCTTCAGCTAGGGCTCCTGGGGGCCCGTAGCCTACCCTGCCCCCTCCAAGCCCTCCGGGCCTCACCGTCAGAGAGGAATTCTGAATAGCTCTGCAGGCCGTTGTAGTCCCCGCAGAGGCCACAGGTGTGGTTCCGGAACTTAGTGTCCAGCTCCAGCTGTTGCGGGAGGGAGCAGGTGAGCTGGCCTCCCGCCCGGCCCACAGCCGCCAGGAACCCCCAAGACTCGTGGCTTGTTTGAGCCAGAGGAAGGTGGGGCAGGAAGGCTGGGGTCAGCAGCCAGGGAGCGGCCTGGCAGGGCAGGTCCCTGAGAAGCCGAGTGCGTTTGGGGGAAGGCTGAGGCCTGGGGGGGTCAGGGCCAGGTCGGCTTCTGCTGCTGCCCCCCAAGTCCAGCACCGACGCCCTGCGCTGCCGAGGCCCTGCCCCACCCATGCCCTCTCGGTGAGGGGTCAGAGCACTGCCCTCCCTGCCCTCCCTTGGGGTCTGCCCAGAGGCCTGACGGAGCCCCCACCAGCCCCACGAGTCCGGGGACCCCTGAGCACCATGAGTGCATCCTCCCGGTTCCACATGAGGGTGAGGCCGGCGCGGGAGTAGACTTTGGTGTAGGCATCGCTCTTCTCAATGAGCAGCCCGGGGCTGTAGTGCGGGGTGCTGACCCTGGCGGAGGCACATCGGGGTCACTCTTGGGTCCACCACCCAGGCCCCCCCGCCCCAGCTTGTCCTCCCGGGACCCCGCCGCCCAGAGGGGACTGAAGCTGGGCACCTGGGGTGGTGGAGATGGCTCTGCCAGGCCCAGCTCCTGCCCTGGGATCACCAACTTGGCCGGCCTCTGGGGTGGAGGGACATAGGCAGTGGCCAAAGAGCACCTGTCCATCTCCGCTGGCCGGGCTTCCCCGGCAGAGCCACCTCCTGCCTGCACGCCCCTCCTCTCCACTCCCTCCTCGGGGCACGGTCCTGGGCAGGGTCCCCCCTCAGAGGCCCTGAGGGCACCAGGTTGGGAGAGGAGGGAGGACCAGGCTGCCCAGCCCCCTTCCAGGCCCCCTGCTTGGTGGAACATCCCCCCATGGGGTCCCAAACCCCCCAGAGCCCCCCAGGCTGCCCCTGAGAACGTCAGGGGCCCTACCCCACCTCCTGCCAGTGCCCCTTGCTGGTCCAGGTAGAGGCACTCACCCCAGCCTCTGTGCCTCGGTCCTCAAGGGCCTCTACCTGCCTGCCCATGCCTGAAAGCCTCTACCCACCCACCTGCCAACACCCATGCCTGAGGGCCCCTACCCACCCACCCGCCTGCGCCCATGCCTGAGGGCCTCTACCCACCCACCTGTGCCATGCCTGAGGGCCTCTACCCACCCACCCACCTGCGCCCACACCTGAGGACCTCTACCCACCCGCCCGCACCTACGCCTGACGGCCTCTATCCACCCACCCGCGCCCACGCCTGAGGGCCTCTACCCACCCACCCGCCTGCACCCATGCCTGAGGGCCTCTACCCACCCACCCGCGCCCACACCTGACGGCCTCTACCCACCCACCTGCCCATGCCCACACCTGAGGACCTCTACCCACCCGCCTGCACCCATGCCTGACGGCTTCTATCCACCCACCCGCCCGCACTCACGCCTGAGGGCCTCTACCCACCCGCCTGCCCATGCCCATGCCTGAGGGCCTCCACCCGCCTGCCCATGCCCATGCTGGGGCGCCTTGCAGGAAACTAAATCCCCAGGCAGAAGAGGGGCAGGCGCTGGATGGGAACGCACTTACAGGGCCTCATTGTTCTGGAGACAATAGGGGAGCAATAGCTGGGGATGGGGAAGGGGGTCCCACAGCCCCCTGCACCGGCTTCTGTAACTCTAGCCTGGGGAGGGCACACACGGCCACTCCATGCACAGGACCAGAGACATGCAGCCTCCAGGGGTGCCAAGTCTGTCCGGAGCCTGGTGGGCTCCGAGGGGAGGGGCTGTCAGGGACACACAGGCAAAGGGATAACTGAAACCCCTTGCCTATGGGGGGAATGGTGGGGGCTCATCAGTGTTTGTTGAATGAATTAGTGACCTGAACCCAAACCTCAAGGCTGTTCTCCTGAGCTGTGTGCTGGGGCGGAAGGGGTCTTCTAGGGCTACAAGGAATATCCCTTTGGGAAACATCAGCCCCCGTTGCTAGGATGTGGGAGGGGTGCCACCGACCACACTCACACGGCCCCGTTAAGCACAGCCAGGTGGCGGGTGAGGTAGATGGTGTCATCCTTGATGGTCAGCAGGATGGACTCCACCCCGGCGGGGGCCTCAGCCTGGCCCGGACCCCGCTTCAGGTGCACAGCAAATTCCTTGTAGGAGCCTCGGCAGTCGGAGGCGAAGTTGTAGTCGCAGGGGCCGGGGAAGCGGAAGACGTCCCCGTCGAAGGTCTTGTAGTGGAAGTTGCCCCAGGTGCTGCAGACGTTGTGGCCGTGGTTTCGGGTTCTGCCCTCTGAGGGAGCAGCGGGGAATGAGGGGTGAGTGGCCCCGGAGGGGGAAGGCTGCCCAAGCTACCCTCGAGAGAAGGCCCCTGAAGAAGCACCTGGAAGCAGCTTCGAGCCCAGCACAGGGCCCCTGGCCGGGAAAGGTTCCTTCCTATCCTCGGGCCCTCTGCTGGGCCTTGGTCACCCCACCACAGGGGTCTCAGGGCTTCTACCCCCGGCCTGGTGAGGAGTGCGGCCGGGTGCCAAGCGGGATGTAGGAGAGGGCATTCTGGGCACCCCGCTCCCCAGCAAGGGCTGTGCTGCCCCAACTCTTCAAGGGTCTCTGCCACCTGAGAATGGGGCCTTCTGGTGGGATCCTGGCCACCCCTTCCTCCCCTATGGACAATGACCCAGTTCACTGGGGCCTGACCTGCTGTTTCCACCTGGTGCTGGCCCCAAGACCCACACTGTCGTCGGGCAGTCAACCCCAAAGGAATAGCAGGGGAGCCCCGACCTTCCAGCTCCTTGAAAGTCAGCAGGGCCGGGGGCTTCCAGGGACCAACCCGGGCCAGGAGCCTCAGCAGAGCCGCGCAGGCTGCACTCTGGGACCAGCTCCTCCTCCCAGACGCGACTTGCCCGCCCGCCTCGCCCTGCCCCCAGGACACTCTGCCAGGCCCCAGACCCCTGTGTCTGCTCTCTCACCTGTCTGGAGCTCCGAGCCCCCTGCCAAAGACAGGGCCAGGCACACAGCCGCCAGGCGGGCTAGTGGCAGCCCCATGGTGGCTGGCAGGGGCGGTGTGGGTTGCGCCCGGGGGCAGGGGTCTGGTCCTTATATGTCCTGGCAGGAGGGTAGGAGGGCAGGAAGGCAGGGGAGGGCCAAGGGTGGGTGTGGCATCTGCCAGATGATCAAGAAGACAGCTGCGGGGGCCCGAGCCCCAATGGGGAAATATTGATTCAGGTTATCGGAGGTCATCTCTTTATGGCTCCCTGGGTAAACGCAGCCTTCTTCAGGATGAGGCAGCCCTGTAGCCTGAATGCCAACACACACCCGGGGAACACATGCAGCTACTAGAGGGGCGAGCCCAGGGTGGCCGGGGGAGGGGTGTCCTGCCAGAAGCAAGTCTGGTCAGGCTCCTTAGCCCGCCATGGGCCCCCAGACACCCGCTGAGCAGGTCCCCAGGCCTGATCAGGCTCACGTTACGCTGGGAGGACCAACCCATTCCTGGGGCCCAAGCTCTGGGGCAGCTTCCAGGCCTGACCCCAGAAAGGGGCCTCCCCGAGGGCAGGGAGGATGTGGGATCCTTCAGGGTCCGGGGGGGCCACTGACTTGTGTGGGACTCTTGGCCGGGCTCATGGAGCTGTGTCAGAGGCCCCAGCCCCCAACCACCCCCTATGCCCATCCTTTTCCCAGGCTGAGCCCTTCTCTGCAGTTACATGTAATTAGAACTTGGGGAGTACATGCCCAGCCAGGGGACATGTTACGGAATCAGGCACACAGGGAGCTGGCTGGTGGCCGGAAGTGGCCGTCTGCCCCTTCTCCTGGGGACCACATGAGGACCTCGGGCCTGACAGCTGAGGAGGTGACAGCCTGCCCAGGCTCCCCAGAACTACCTCTGACTCATGGTGGGGATCCTGCCCCCAAGGCTGTGCCTTTGATGAGCCTTGGTCTCGCCCACCAATCCCAGCAGTTGTCTGGAAAAAAGCCTGGAGAACCGGAACTCACACCGACCCCAGACTACGAGACCACTGGGCCCACCACTGCTTGCCCCGGCCCGGGAGGGCACAGGCAGGCACCCCTGTGTCGCCAGTGGGTAAACTGAGGTCTGGGGGCCCTCCCCTCTCTCTACAATTTTCTCCTCCTGAAAATAGAGAGGGGCCCTGAGTTGAGTTCCTGGCTTTGGCCTGAACATGCCAGGGACATGCCGGCAGCATGATGGCAGTGGGGAGGGACTCACCCCAACAGTTATAGAGACTCGGGGCCCAAAGCACCAAGCCTGTTTCCCTGGCTGACCTGCTGCCCAGACCCAGGGCCTGGGACGAAGCCCCTCCCGCCCTCCTGCGGTGCCCGCCAGCACCAGGCCCCAGGGTCTGCGCTCCCTGCCAGGACCTGGGCACGTGGAGGAAGCTCAGTGTGTGGCCCCTGCCAGGAGGACCGGGGATTAGGAAACCAGAGCCAGCTGGGCGAGGCCAGAGGAGATCATTGTTCACTTCCTGGTGTGGGCCTCCGCACACTGGCACTGAGCCCTGGGGAAACCCAAGGACGGCCCCAACTGCAGTCCCCTGACCCTGACATGCCCCAGGCGGGCCTCAGGACAGAGATTTTCCAGGCCAGGCTCCCCCTGCCCTGGGGGGATTGGAGGAATCCTAGCGGAGCACAAGCTGCCCAGCACAGCCCCTCCAGCCCTGAAGCCTGAGGTAGGTCCCCTAGATCTGACCCTGTGTCCCCTCTGGACGGGCAGTGGTGGTTCCCAGGCTCAGGGGTCTGACCCCAACACCCCTCTTGGCCCATGGCAAGGTCCCAGGTAGGAGCCCTGTCTGAGGTTACAGGCAGCCCTGCATGGGGCAGGGTGCAGAGAGCTGAACCCCATTCCTAACGGGGAAAGGGAGCTGTTCTGGGGAAGAGGACAGTGAGGGCTCCATCAGGCCGGGGCGACTATGGAGTCACTGGCACCCCCAAAGCGAGAGTGTCCCCAGCCTCTTTGCCTCCAAGCCTCAGCCGGTCCCCACTGCCAGATTCGCAGCATCTACTGTGGTGGTGGAGGCGATGGGGGCCAGGCAGTTCCACAGCACTGCATCCCCTCTCTCCCCACGTCCTGTGTTGGTCCAAATGTGGCCCCCATTGCTGGTTACTGAAATGTCGGCCTCCAGCAAGTGCAGAGTGGGAGAGTGGGCAGCCGTATTGCCCTGGGACCCCATCGCCACTCTGTGGCTTTCCCATGGGGTTCGAGGGACCCTGGTGGAGGGAGAGAGTGGGGGCTTTGACCACTCCGAGGAAAATGCTTGTCGGTTCTGCTTTCTGTGACAAGAACATGATGGCAGTGGTGGGAATGACCACCCACCCAACGGCGGGCCGGACACAGTTGAGCCAGGAGCCCACATCCCCAGCCCCATGTCAGGCTGCCCCAGCCTCAGGCCCCGGCTGGGACTCAGAACGAGGCTGCATGGAGTACAGCCTCCCACACAGACAGCATCCTGGAGTACAGCCTCCCACACAGACAGCATCCTGGAGTACAGCTTCCCACACAGACAGCATCCTGGCCCCCCCAGCCTCTCCCCACCCTGCCCACGCCCAACATGTTTACCGTGACAAGACACTGTTGCCAACGGCTGCATGGAATTTGCAGTAGTGACTGCAGGGAGGAGGCAGCACTGACGTCACATGGCACCTGAAGTGACGGCCCCCCTACTGTGTATCCACAAACCTGACTCACCAGGAAGCCCGGGTGAGGGGCATGTGGGGGTCAGAGCCACCGGAGGAAGAGGGAGAGGGAAAGGAGGAGGAGGAAGGGGAAGGGGAAGAGGAGGCTGGGGAGGGGGCGAGAAGAGAGAACCCCTATGCTGCTGGGGGAGCCAAAGACAGCAGGTGCGTCCCCTGCACACGTCCCGGTCGCTCGAACGGTGGCTTTGTGAGTCGGCCTGTCTGGCCATGGCTCCAGTCTTTGGCATGGCGCCGGGCTGGATGCTGCTGTGAAGGGACTTCTTAAATGTGACCCTGGCGAAGCAGGTGGGTCTGACACAATCAGTGCAGGGCCTTGAAAGAAAAGACCTTGGTCCTCCAAGGAGCAGGACGTGCTGCCTCCAGGACGTGCTGCCTCCTGATGGCCTCCGGGGGTCTCCAGCCTGAGGCCCACCCTAGGCTGCCTGAAGTAATGGCCCATGCCCCACTGATTGCTTCCCTGGAGTATCACCACCCACCCCCGCAAGCACTCCCCATGTGGCCAATACCTCTCCCACGGGGGCGGGAGACCAGTCACAGAGCCTGCTTTCCTGGAGAGCACTCCACCCGCCCACACCGCAGCCCTAGGTATCCCCACGTGGCAGCCCCTGTCTCCCTACATCCTGTGTTGGTCCAAACGTGGCCCCCATTGCTGATTACTGAAATGTCGGCCTCCAGCAAGTGCAGGCTGCCCACATGTCAGTCACATGTGTCATCTGGGGCCATTTTTCCATGTCCCTATGTGGTTGGTCTGATTATTAGCTCACATTACAGAAGGGGAAACTGAGTCACCGAGCATCTTGTGTCTCCATCTCAAGGCCAGCATCTCAGGACACAAGAGGCCAGGCTGGCCCACACCCATTCTGCAGGCCAGAGCCATCCTGCCACAGCCAACCCTGCCAGCACCAGGCTGCCCAGCCCCCAGCCAACTGGGCTTAACCAGGGTGGTGGGGGCTGGCACCCAACCCCAGCGCCACAGCTCTGGCCCTGCCTTGGTGGGCAGATGGAGAGCACACCCAGAGAAGCCGTGGTTCTCAGCCCTCTGGACACCAAGGAGGACCCCAGCTCCAACCCCAGCCCCACACAGGGACACAGTGGCAAGGCCCAGACCTACACCCTGGCAGGTGAGCATCTGAGGATTCAAGGGAGGGCAAATAAAACACCAGTCACGTCCAGCTCTCCAGGGCAGACTCAGACACCCCAAGCATGTCCACTTTCTGGGGCTCCAAAGGTTCGGAGACACCTGGAGGTGTGCACTTCACCTCCCAAGGACTGCAGAGGTGAAAGGCGGGATGTTGGTGCCACTGCTCTGTGAGGTGTGGAGGGTGAGCAAGTGAGCACACAGAGGCGTTTGTTCTCAGGTGAGGGATCAAGAGAGGCCTCAACCAGTCCAGGCCTCTGCTGGGCAGGCGGGCACTGGGCAGGCTCCATTGAGGAAAGGGCAGCCCAGGGCCAGGGCCATCAGGTGGATAGCTGTGCTTCAGGAGTCCAGACACCCTGGGGCACTTGCCCCTCAAGACTTGGTCCAGGTGTCACATCCTCACACTGAACACTGTTCTCACCACCCTGGCCACACTGTGTGACCCTTGCTGGCCATCCTGCTCCGAATGCTGCAAGGGCAGCAGCCCATGTGGGCCCCCCATGGCCACCCTCACAGCAGATGCACTCAATAACTTTGCTTCTGGGTGGGTGGGTGGGTGGGTGGGTGGGTGGGTGGGTGGATGGATGGATGGATGGATGGATGGGAGGAAGGGAGGGGGAATGAATGGGTCAGCAGGTGGATGGATGGATGGATGGATAGATGGACGGATGGGAAGCAGGGAGGGGAAATGAATGGGTCAGTGGGTAGATGGATGGGATGGATGGATGGATGGATGGATGGATGGATGGATGGATGAATAGATCAATAAATGAGTGGGTAAATGAGTGGACGGATGGATGAATGGGTGGTTGGCTGGGTGAATGAGTGGATAAATGGAGGGAGGGAGGGACAGATCGTTAGATGGATGGATGAATGGGTGGGTGGGTGGATGGATGGATGAATGGGTGAATGAAAGGATGGATGGATGGGAGGGAGGGAGGGAAGGATGGATGAATGGGTCAGTGGGTGGGTAGATGGATGGGATGGATGGATGGGTGGATGGGTGAGTGGATGGATGGATGGATGGATGGATGGATGGAAGGGATGGATGAATGGGTCAGGGATGGATGGATGGGAGGGAGGGATGGATGAATGGGTGGGTGGATGGATGGATAGATGAATGGGTGGGTGAGTGGATGGATGGATGGATGGATGAGTGGATGAATGGGTGAATGGAAGGATGGATGGATAGATGGATGGATGGATGGATGGATAGATGGGTTAGTGAATGGATAGGTGGATGGATGGAGGCATGGATGAATGGAGGGATGGATGTGTGGATGGGTCAAAGAATGGATGGATGAAAGGATGGATGGATAGATGGATATGTGAGTGAGTGACTGGATAGGTGGATGGATGAATGGAGAGATGGATGAGTGGATGAGTGGATGGATGGATGGATGGATGGATGGATGGATGGATGGACAAATGGACAGATAGATGGATGAGTGGGTGGGTGGATGGGTGGGTGGGTGGGTGGATGATGGATTAATCGGTGGGTGGGTGGGTAAAAGGATGGACAAATGAAATCTCCCTGGTACTGGAGTTCACCTTCTGTGGCAGCTCCACAGGGCTCCACCTCACAAGAGCTCATGATGAGCAAGTACAGGCCAACTGCTCTATAGGCCCACCTCACTGGAGCCCTCAACCCTGGGAGGAAGGCACTCACCTCACTCCATCCTATAGACAAGGAAACTGAGACTCAGAGAGGGTGAAAGCACTCCTTCGGCTCACCCAGCCCAAGAATGGCAGAGCTGCAATGTGGTCCCAGAGAATCTTCCCAGCCCCAAACTTACACTGTCCACCGCTTGATAATGGTGTGGCCACTTTTTGCAAAGGAGACTGTTGCTTTTTGGAGAAACCCCAGTCATAAGTAACAGAAAGATCAGGGGTTCCTGGGTGGTGTCGTAGCCCCAGGGCAGGAATCTCAGTGCCCCCTTGCTCCTTGCCGAAGTGCCCAAAGGTCAGGGCCCTTCAACATCCCTCCACCCCCGCCCCCTTCTGTGAGTTTATTTCATGCATTTGAAATACAGTTGGATTGTTTTGCCACATTCCGCATTTCATCTGTGGCATCCCTCAACCTCCTGAATATTTTTATGTTTGTGTACATCAAGGTTCACTCTTTGCACTATTAAGTTTTCTGGGTTTTGCAAATGTAGAGTGTCAAATATCCACCAGGATAGTAGCATGCAAAATGGTTGTACCACCCTAACACATGCCCTGTGTCTCAGCTATTCCATCCTTCCCCACAAATCCCTGGCAAGCACTGGTCATTTTTTACTGTCACTATAGTTTGGGCTCTAATATATTTCTCTGATTAATTTTAAATCTCTAAGAGCCAAACAACTCTAGAATAACATGCATCCACTATAAATTATGACTAGGATTTTATGTGGCAACAAGGAAAACACTTAGGATTTACTGGTCAGGAAAGTGCGTTGACACAGGCTAAAACAGCTTAACTGAGTTAGAATTGACATACAATAAACCGCACATGTTTACGTGTATGATTGGGTCAGTTTTGACATAAATTGGTTGAACTTGGGAAACCACCACCCCAATCAGGATGAATATGTCCCCACCCATCACCCACACAGGGCTCCTTACACCTCTTTGGAATCTCTCCCTCCCACCCTTCCCCACTCGGGAGCTACCCAGGGTTTCTTTTCCATGGCATTTGTTTGCATTTTCTAGGACTTTGCAGATTTGTTTGCATTTTCTAGGATTCTGTGTAAATGGAACTATACAGTATGCATTCTTCGGTCTCTTTCACTAAGCATAATTATGTTGAGATTGCATCCAGCATTGCTGTGTAAATAGCTCATTCCTTCCTGGGCTCATTCATTCCCTGCTAATGGACACTGGGCTCATTGTCCATTTGAGGCCACTACGAACAAAACTGCTTCGAACATTTGTGTAATCTTAGTGTGGACATACACTTTCTTTTCTGCCAGGTAAATACCTAGGAGTGGAGTATCTGGATCAGACAGGTAGGTCTATGTTCAACTTTTTGAGAAATCGCTAAACTGCTTTCCAAAGTGGTTGTACCTTTCTACATTCCCACCGGCAGTGTATGAGACATCCGTTACCCCACAGCCTTGTCAACACTTGGGATGGTCAGTCTTTTTAATTTTAGCCGCTCCAGTAAGTGTGTGATGTTGTCTCATTATTACTTGAAATTGTATTTCACTAATGACTAATGATGTTAAGAATTTTTTTATACACTTATCTGCCATCCATATGTCTTCTTTTTTTCACTTTTTAAAAAACTTTATTTTAGACCAGGCACAGTGGCTTATACCTGTAATCCCAGCACTTTGGGAGGCCAAGGCAGGCGGATCACCTGAGGTCAGGAGTTTGAGATGAACCTGGCCAACATGATGAAACCCCATCCCTACTAAAAATACAAAAATTAGCCAGGCGTGGTGGCGCACCTGTAATCCCAGCTACTTGGGAGGCTGAGGCAGGAGAATCAGTGGAACCCGGGAGGCAGACGTTGCAGTGAGCCAAGATCGTGCTGCTGCACTCAAGCCTGGGCAACAGAGTGAGACTGTCTCAAAAAAAAAATTATTTTAAAAACCCCTATTATATAGTTTTGCTTTTTCAACAAATACTGGGTGCTGTGTTTAAATATTAAATCCATTATAGAGAAATCTTTGGTAATGTACTTGTGACTAGTATAGCAATTCCTGTCAAAGCACTTTCTCCTCACATCCTTGTGTGACTGTTTAACTTAGGATATCTAATTTCTTACAAAAAAAAAAGTCAGTTTACTCCCAGGCTTATAAGCCCCATATGTCTTCTTTAGTGAAACGCCTACTCAAATCTTTTGCCCATTATTTATTGGGTTATTGGGGTGGGTTTCTTTTTAAGATCTAAACATTATTTATGTATTCTAGATACGAGTCCTTTATTGGAGAGATCCTTTGTAGATATATTTCTCCCAGTCTGTGGCTTGTCTTTTCATTCTCTCAATAGTGTTTTTTAAAGTAGGAGTTTCAAAATTTTGATAAAATCCAATTGATCAATTTACTTTTTTATAAATTTTGCCTTTGGTATTACATGTAGGAAATCTTTGCCTAACCCAAGATCACACAAATATTTTCCCCTATGTTTTCTTTTAGAAATTTTATAGTTTGGGGTTTTCCATGATGCATTTTGAGTTAATTTTTTATATGTAGTATGAGGTATGGCTTGAAGTTTGTCTTATTATGTATGGATATCCAATTGTTCTAGCCCCATTTGTTGACAAGACTATTCTTTCTTCATTGCAGTACTTCTGCTCCTTTGTTGAAAATTCAATTAGCCAGGTGGGGTGGCATGTGCCTATATGGCTACTGGGGAGGCTGAGATGGGAGGATCACTTGAGCCCAGGGTGTAGAGGTTGCAGTGAGCTGAGATCATGCCACTGCACTCCAGCCTGGGTGACAGAGTCAGACCCTGTCTCAAAAAAAAATTTTTTTAAAGAAAAAATAATTATTGTTTATATACACATGAATTTGTTTCTGGACTTTACTCTGTTCATTGACCTATTTGTCTGTCATTATGCTAATGCTGCACTGTTTTGATTATTGTAGCTTTGTAACAGTTCTCAATCCCAGCCAATGTTTCAGTTTCCTCCAACTTTGCCCCTTTTTCAGGACTGCGTTGGCTCTTCTATGTCCTCTGCATTTCCCTCTGAATTTAGTCTCAATTTGTCAGTTTCTACCAAAAAAAAAAAAGCCTGCAGGGATTTTGACTGAAATTGCATTAAATATATTTATCAGTTTAGAAAGAACTTACGTCCTAGCAATATGGAGTCTTCCAGCCCATGGACAAGGTGTACATACCTGTTTCTGCAGGTCTCTAATTTCCCTCCCAATGGTTTACAGTTTTCAGCGTACTCGTCTTTCACATCCTTTGTCAGATTTTTCCCTAAGTATTTCATATTTTTGTACCGTTATAATGATATTGTTTGTTCCCATTTCCAATTATTTATTGCTAATATAGAGAGATACAATTGATTTTTTGGGACTTTTTATTATGGAAAGATACACATAACAGAATTTCTCATCTTACGCAGTCTTAAGTGCGTGGCTCAGTGGTATTGACTATGTCACCATGCTGTGCAGCCATCACCAGCATTCAGCTCCAGAACACCTTCATTTTTCTTAAACTGAAACTCTGCTCCCACTAAACACACCCTCCGCTCTCCCCCAGCCTCAGGTAGCCACCATTCTGCTTTCTGTTGCTATGAATCTGACAACTTGAGATACCTCAAATAAGTGGAATGATACCGTGTTGGTCTTTTTGTGTCTGGCTTATTTCACTCGGCCTCATGTCATCTATGTATTGTAGCCTGTGTCAGAATTTCCTTCCTTCCTTTTCAAGGCAGAATAATATTCCACTGTAAGGACAGACCACATTCTGTTTATCCCTTCATCTGTCAAGGGGCACTTGGGTGGCTTCAACTGCTGTGAACATGAGTGTGCAAATATCTTTTCAAGACCTGCTTTTAATTTTTTTTTTTTTTTGAGATGGAGTCTTGCTTTATCACCCAGGCTGGAGTGCAATGGTACAATCTTGGCTCACTGCAACCTCCACCTCCCAGGTTCAAGTGATTCTCCTGCCTCAGCCTCCCAAGTAGCTGGGATTACAGGCGCCCACCACCACACCCAGCTACTTTTTGTATTTTTAGTAGAGACAGGGTTTTGCTGTGTTGACCAGGCTGGTCTTGAACTCCTGACCTCAGGTGATCTGCCCACCTCAGCCTCCCAAAGTGCTGGGATTACAGGCATGAGCCACCGCACCCTGCCTCAGCCACAAGAGTAGCTGGGATTACAGGCACACACCACCATGCCTGGCTAAATTTTTTTTGTATTTTTAATAAAGACAGGGGTTTGCTATGTTGGCCAGGCTGGTCTCAAACTCCCGACCTCAAATGATCCACCTGCCTCGGCCTCCCAAAGTGCTGGGATTACAGGCGTAAGCCACTGACCCTGGCCCCTAATAGAAATTTTAACATGATATAAAGATGATTTAAAGTATACGGGAGGATGTGGTCAGGCGTGGTGGCTCATGCCTGTAATCCCAGCACTTTGGGAGGCCGAGGCGGGTGGATCACCTGAGGTCAGGAGTTCGAGACCAGTCTAGCCAACATGGTGAAACCCTGTCTCTACTAAAAATACAAAAATTAGCCAGGGGTGGTGGCAGTTGCCTGTAGTCCCAGCTACTCGGGAGGCTGAGGCAGGAGAATTGCTTGAACCCAGGAGGCAGAGGTTGCAGTGAGCCTAGATCACACCACTGCACTCCAGCTTGGGTGATAGAGAGAGGTTCTGTCTTAAAAAAATAAATAAATAAATAAAGTACATGGGAAGATGTATGTAGATTATATGCAAAGACTATGCCATTTTATGTAGAGGATTAGCGCACGCATACATTTTGTGTCCTAGGGGTGCTGGCACCCATGCCCCGTGGATATCAAGGGACAACTGCCGCTGCCTTTTATAGATACTCGATTATGCACAGATGATCACATCATCTGTCACAGTTTCACTCCCCCTTCCAATCTAGATCTTTTAAGTGTATTCACCTTCCCGATTGCCTGGCTGTGCTTTCCAGCACCATGTTCATTAGAAGTGGTGAGAGCAGGTATCTTGGTCTTGTTCCTGATTTCAGGGGAAAGCATTAGTGTTTAAGTATGATGTCATCTGCAGGCTTTTTATAAATGCCATTATGAGGATGAGGAAGTTATATTCTATTTTTAGGAGAGTTCTTATCAGGAGTGGGTGTTGAATCTGGTCAAGTGCGTTCTTCTGAATTGACTGAGATGATCCTATGATTGGTCATCTTTAGTCTGTTCACATGATGAATTACATTGATTTTGAATGTTAGACCAACTCTGGATTCTTGGAATAAATCCCCTGTGGTTATAGTTTTAATAAATTTTTTGATTCGATTTGAAAAAATCTTGTTTAGAATGAGAACACGTGGATACAGGGAGGGGAACAACACACACTGGGGCCTGGTGGGGGGTGGGAGGTGAGGGGAGGGAGAGCATCAGGACAAATAGGTAATGCATGTGGGGCTTAATACCTAGGTGATGGGTTGACAGGTGCAGCAAACCACCATGACACACGTTTACCTATGTAACAAACCTGCACGTTCTACACATGCATCCCAGGACTTAAAGTAAAATATTTTTTTAATTTGTTTAGAATTTTTACATCTGTGTTTATGAGGGATGTTGGTTCATAGCCTTCTTTTTTTTTTTTCCAGAAATATGGACACTTTATTTATGTGAAAGAGTCAGGAGAAGAACTGGCCACAGTGGTAAAGTACATTATCAAAATAACCAGGAAACATAGGACAAAGAATAGCAGGAAATAGTATACCGTGTGTTTATTAAGTTGGGTTGTAAATAAGAGGGATAGGAAAGCCCCTTCCCACACTCTTTTCCCGATGATCTCATTTCCAACACCTTCATAAGCCCCTTCTTTCATTTGATACACAGTCTTTCATTTGAAAGCAGTCTAACATGTTAATGTGTCAGATAAAGCTTGTATCTAAAGACTGCTTTCAAAGGAAAGGTTCATAGTCTTCTTATAATGTTTTTATGTGGTTTTGAAATCGGGGTAATACTGGCCTCAGAGGAAGAGTTGAAGGTGTTCCTCTCTTTTCAGTTATTGTTGGAAGGGTTTGTGCAGAGTTGACATACTTCTTTCTTAAATCTTTGGTAGAATTCACCAGTGAAACCATCTGGGCCTGGGGTTTTCTTTGCAGGAAGGCTTTGTTGTGTTTTATTTACAATTCAATTCCTTTAACATATAGGGCCATTCAAGTTATTTCTGCCCAAGTGATCTTCGATTCATCCTGTGTCCAAGGAGTTTGTCCTTTTCATCCGGGCTGCCAAATGTTTCGACTTGAAGTAGTTCATGATGTCCCCCTATTATCTTTGTAATATGTGTAGAATCCACAGTGGCGTCACCTGTCTTGTTCCTAACATTGGTAATTTGTCTGTTTTCTCTTTTATTCTCCAGCCTGGCTAGGGGTTTATCCGTCTAATTGATCTTCTCAAAGAACCAGCTTTTGGTTTTGTTGACTTTTCTCTAGTGTTTCATTTTGTTGTTTTATTGATGATTTTGCTTTTCCTGCTCACGTTGGGCTTAATTTGCTCTTCTCTTTCTTTCCTAATTTCTTACGGTAGAGAGACCATTGATTTGAGGCTTTCCTTCTTTTCCCATGTAGGAGTGGAACGTGGTGGATTTTCCCTACATGCGGCTTTGGCTAAACCGCACGTTCCCCTCCCTCCTGAGGGTCTGTCTCCTCATCCACCCGCTAGTGCATCTCCAGCTTCTGTACCTCAGACTCACCTTGAAAGTCCACTTGACATCCATCACTGTGCAGTCAGTCAGGAAAAGGAAGCCACACTCGTTATTTCAAACAGAAGGAAGTTAATACAGAGAACTGGTTACACAGGTGCTGGAGGCTGGAAGAGAAGACGGGCACCGAGGCACCTGACGTTGTGAACAGCAGGAAGCAGCTTCCACTCCCAGGGCTGGGGGAACAAATGAAAGAGGTTGGGCTGCCAGAACCCAGGAGCACAGAGAAAGGATGGAGTGGCAGAGCCAGTATTGGGAGTGCCAAAAGAAGTGGTGGGCTGGAGTAGCCACCCCCCTCTATGGCTGGAGGGCCCTGAAAGAAGCTGGTGAAGGAACAGAAATCTCCTCTCCTCACCTCCCACCAGTGCCTTCCAGGAAGACATCTGGTCAAAGAGCCTGAAAATACAGTGTGCACAATCCCAGCCGCATGTATCAGTCAGCTATTGCTGCATAACAAAGCACCCAAAAACCAAGGGCTTACAACAATGTGTTTCATGGATGATAGACGGATAGAGAGATAGAAGAGATAGGTAGAAATGTGTGTGCGCACGTGTGTGTGTGTGTGTGTGTGTGTGTGAATGTGTGTGTGTATGGATTAGGGTATATACAGATGCTTTCTAGTATTCTCCCCTGAGAAGGTCTACCAAAAAAAAATGACACCCCAGTAGTAACTACCACACCCAATGTCCAGATCTTGGTTTCTAAATACCATTTTCCAATTAAAAGAATCAGGACTCCTTAGAGAAGTAGCTGGGTCTCTGGGGAAGGAAATTACAAGATAAACCTGGAGCATTTTATGGTGCCAGAAAGTGAGGAAGGGCTCAAAAACAGATAGGGTGAAAGCACACAGGAGCCACTGTGAAGGGGCTGCCATGGCCAACACTGGAACAATTTGAGAAACAAAATAAAGATAATGTTGGATTATAACCCAAATAATAAAATAAGTATCTACAAACCCATAGTGAAGTAAATAACTGCACAAACAAATAAGAAGAAACAGCTTATTTTAATAGAATTCCAGTTACTTAATGCAGAAGAAATGAAGTAAATAGAAAATCACCATCAGAGGCCACAGGATTAACAGCTGTCTACAGAGGTATGCTAAAGTCAATAGGCTGAGGTTAGAAGAGAAACAAGTTATTTACATGAATTCAAAGTATCTTCCCTAAGATATTTATTAATTACAAAGTCGCAAAATAGTAACTTTGCAGTGCAGAGACCTGGCAGACGCCACCTGAACCAAGGGTTCAAGGTTAACATCCCCAGCAATGGGACAGGCAGCGTCATACACTCTGATAAGCTACATAAGAGCACGTGGCCGGGCCCACTGGCTCACACCTATAATCCCAGCATTTGGAGAGGCCACATTGGGAAAACCGCTTGAGGCCAGGAGTTCGAGACCAGCCTGGGCAATCTAGGGAGACCTTGTCTCTGCAGAAATGTTAAAAAATTAGCTGGGCACAGCAGTGCATAGACTCTGGGGTTCCCAGGGACCTCAAACTCCACCCTAGTGGGGCTGGACCTGGGGTGTGGCCTGTGCCGGATGTCCTCGCTGGCTGACATTTGCTTTCTTTATTACTCCCTTCCTTTATTGCACCGTTTAATTGTATTAAATGGTGCCCAAGGCATAAGGTGCAGGATTTTATGGCCTCGGGGTGACCCTGCAGTGAGGCCTGGCCCTTTCCTTCTTTACTTTGTGAGCCCGGGGCTGCCCTGCCCTCAACGGTGACGCTATGGGAGCCCTTGACTCATGTGCCAGGAATTGGGAGGGACGCCAAAGGCAGTGCTGTTTTCCATACAGAGCTGTGGCACTCGTTACAGAAATCAGAAAACACAAAACTGTCCGTGGGTGGAAGAAAAATGTCCCCCTCCCCCTCCCCCGAGAAGCCTCTTAATCCTTCAAAATCTTTCCCACCTTCTGTGCAGGTCTGGGAGATTCCTGACATTGTCCTGGGCATTCCTGGGGACAATTATGTAGCCGGAGTCTTTTCATTAAATGACATTTGACGTCTCTGAACTTAAAGCAATACACGTGCACCGAGGGCATGTCCAGATGCAGAGACGTGTTCGAAAGCTCTAGCGCGTCCCCATGTCAGCGGCCTGGGGTCCCCAGGTGGCAGTATCGTTTCAGGTGGGGAGGGGTCCCGGCTGCTGGGTGCCGTGGCCTGGCCTGGGCAGGCACAGTTGCTCATCTGCGATGGGTTCTGGATAGCAGCACCCTTGCTGGTTATGGGGGTGAACAGTGTTCGTGAATCTCTGCCCGCATGGGCACCCACGGGTGCTCCTAAGTTCTCCTGGTTATTACCACAGATTGTTTTACAGCCTCTTTTCCCCCACAATATATCGGGGAAGTTAAATATTTGCTGAGAACATGATTATTGATTGATTGATTGATTTTGAGGCAGGGTCTCGCTCTGTTGCCCAGGCAGGAGTGCAGTGATGCAATCTTGGCTCACTGTAGCCTTGAACACCTGGGCTTAAGCCATCCTCCTGCCTCAGCCTCCTGAGTAGCTGGGACCACAGGTGTGCACCACCAAGCCCAGCTAATTTTTTAGTTTTTAGAGATGGGGTTCTCACGATATTGCCCAGACTGGTCTTGAACTCCTGGTCTCAGGTGACACCCCGACCTTGGCCTCCCGCAGATCCAGTACCATCTTCCCAGGCTTTCTGTTTTCCTCCTAGGAGAGCTGTGGCTAAGGGGTCAGCCCAGCTTGACTGTCGTTCTGCCTCTGCTACTCATGATGGCGCCCGCATCCCCCTTGCCTCTGACGGCTGAGAGCCACCTCCTGGCAGTCCCAGGTCCCCCTCGCCTCTGACGGCTGAGAGCCACCTCCTGGCAGTCCCAGGTCCCCCTCGCCTCTGACGGCTGAAAGCCACCGCTCGGCTGTCCCGGGTCGATTCTTCCCATTGCGACTCTTTTCCAGCTGAGTGGCTGTGGCTCCCACTGTGAGGTCTGTGGCCCTCAGAGAAGAGCAGCCCAGGGATCTGTCCCTATTTCTACCCCACTCACTAATCTAGTTCCCAGTGTGGGGAAAGGTCTGTCTTCTGGACCTTCTGGTGGGTGAGGAGGTCTTAAGTGACAAACCTACCCTAGCCTTCCAATCTCCCTAGGCCTTTGCATCCCTTCCTCCACAGTAAACCAAGCCAGGTCTGGCCTTTCCAGTTTAATGTGACCCCTTTTCTGTCTATGTTGCACCCAACGAAGCAGCCAGCGGTTAGCGCCCTGCTAACTCCCTGAACCACACCTCGAAAGGCAGACTGTCTGCTTGGTGGGCACCTGCAGCACGTTCAGCGTGACCCCTTCATGGTCCTCCCACACCCCTGGACCGCATTTCTGTCTGTGCGGGACGGACACGCCACACCGCTCTTGCCATGGAGGTCACCTCCGTGGTTTGCACTCAGCCTCTGGCTCTGGGGCTTGCTGGACTCGAGTCAGCACCTGGGACCCCGTCAGTGAGGATCAAACCCTTGTTCTTACGCACGCGTTTTTAGGGAGGTAACACATTTGTCACTTTTTTTCTTTATTATTTCTTCCTTTGTTTGTATGCTTAGAAAAGTGCTCTTCTCTAAAGATCAGATAAATATCTGACTCTATTTTCTTCTCACTCTTTTTTAAATTATCCTTTTTCCTTATTTTTTACCATATAAGCATTTCTCACATTAAACATTAAACATTATTTTTTATTAAACATTATTTTACTAAACATTATTTTAAAATTTTAAATTATTTTAATGGGGGTTTTTTTGTGGTTTTTTTCTGGGTTTTTTTGTTTGTTTGTTTGTTTGTCTCTGCGACCCAAGCTGGACTGCAGTGGCGCAATCTCGGCTCACTGCAAGCTCCGCCTCATGGGTTCATACCATTCTCCTGCCTCAGCCTCCTGAGTAGCTGGGACTACAGGCATCCGCCACCACGCCCGGCTAAGTTTTTGTATTTTTAGTAGAGACAGGGTTTCACCGTGTTAGCCAGGATGGTCTCGATCTCCTGACCTCATGATCCACCCGCCTCAGCCTCCCAAAGTGCTGGAATTACAGGCATGAGCCACCGTGCCCAGCCTTTTTTTTTTTTTGAAATGGAGTCTCACTCTGTCACACAGGCTAGAGTGCAATGGCGCATTTTATGTGTTTTTTCTGGTTTTTCTTTTCTTTTTCTTTTTCTTTTCTTTTTTTTTTTTGCAATAGAGTCTCACTCTTTCACCCAGGCTGGATGGAGTGCAGTGGCGCGATCTCGGCTCACTGCAACCTCCGCCTCCCAGGTTCAAGCAATTCTCCTGCCTCAGCCTCGCGAGTAGCTGGGATTGCAGGTGTGCCCCACCACACCCGGCTAATTTTTGTATTTTTAGTAGACATGGGGTTTCACCACGCTGGCCAGGCTGGTCTCAAACTCCTGGCCTCAAGTGATCCATCTGCCTTGGCCTTTATTTTAATTGTTTTTGAATAGGTAAAGAACAGATCATGAAAGCAAACCTCCCTCCTGCCTGGTCGCCCCAGCTCCCTTTGCCCTGCCCAGAGATGACAGATCACCATTCTCTATACTATTTTTACCAGGATTCTACGAGTCTAAAATGATTTCATGATAAGAAGTCTGTGATGATGGCCGTTATGGAAAACAGCATGGAGATTCCCAAAAAACTGAAAACAGAACCACCACGTAATCCAGCTGTCCCACTCCCGGGCGTGACACGCGGAGGCCACATCAGTACGCAGAAGAGACACCCGCACCCCATGTTCGCCGCAGCGCTGTCCACTACGGCCAGACATGGAACCAGCCTCAGCGTCCAGCAGCCAAGGAAGGTGCATCCACGTCAGAGAACTGTTCCTCCACAGAAGAGGGAATTGTGTCATTGGTGCCGACATGGATGAACTGCAGGACTTCATGCTGAATGAAGGAAGCCAGGCCCAGAAAGACAGACACTGCATGATCTCACACATAAGTGGAGCCTAGAAAAGTTGAACTCACAGAAGCAGAGAGAGGACCCAGGGACATAGGGGCTGGGAACTGGGGAGGGGTTGGTCCAAGAGTACAAAGTTTCTGTTACAGACCGTGCACAGTGGCTCATGCCTGTAATCCCAGCACTTTGGGAGGCAGAGGCAGGCAGATCACCTGAGGTTAGGAGTTCGAGACCAGCCTGGCCAACATGATGAGACCCCCGTCTCTACTGAAAATACAAAAATTAGGCCAGGCGCGGTGGCTCATGCCTGTAATCCCAGCACTTTGGGATGCTGAGGCGGTCAGATCATGAGGTCAGGAGATCAAGATCATCCTGGCCAACATGGTGAAACCCCATCTCTACTAAAAATACAAAAATTAGCTAGGCATGGTGGCAGGCGCCTGTAATCCCAGCTACTCAGAAGGCTGAGGCAGGAGAATCGCTTGAACCCAGGAGGCGGAGGTTGCAGTGAGCCAAGATGGCACCACGGCACTCCAGCCTGGCAACAGAGTGAGACTCCGGTTCAAAAAACAAACAAACAAAAAAATTAGCTGGGCGTGGTGGCGGGTGCCTGTAATCCCAGCTACTCCAGAGGCTGAGGCATGAGAGTTGCTTGAACCTGGGAGATAGAGGTTACAGTAAGCCGAGATCGTGCCACTGCACTCCAGCCTGGCGACAGAGCAAACTCCATCTCAAAAAGAAAAAAAAAGTTCCGTTAGACAAAAGGAATAAATTCAAGAGATGTACTGCACAGCATGGTGACTACAGTTAATAACACCATATTGCATCCTTGAAAATCATTAAGAGAGAGAAAAAAAGAAAGAAAATCATTGCGAGTAGAATTTGAGTGTTCTTACCACAAAAAAATGGGAAGTATGTGAAGTCATGTGTGTTATGCTGCTTGATTTAAGCACAATGTAAACACGTTTCAAAACATCACATTGGACATGATAAATATATACAATAAAAGAACAAAATACATTTGCAAAACGAAGCATTATTATTGTGCAGGCTCTGCTGGTCGCCTGGTCTCAGTTCTGGTCTTGGCTGGACTCTGGGTCTAGTCCTCTCTCCGCAGCAATCCGGTGTCCCCTCGACGGACAGGATCCCCGGCCCCGCCCGCCGGACAGCAAGCTCACATTCTCTCTGTCGATTCAGTGGGAAGAGAGGCCCCTGGGGACAGTCCCGACGTCGAACTCCACACGGCCAGCACCTCGACCCTGGAGGGAGTGCTCCTCCCTGAGGAAGCGGGACCTTCAAGCTAGAGTGAACGGTGGCTGTGTGGGCAGGCGGCTGGTGCGACAGGGACTGTGGCCGTGACTCCCACCCGTGATTCCTGGATACCATCGCCACAGAGAAGCGGCACCGGACATGGATGGCGAGCACCTGGTCTGTTCTGCGGGGTTGCGCCCGTCCTTTCAGAGGGCCTCCTGGCCGGCGCCATAACTGGTCT
The DNA here is from genome assembly GCF_000001405.40 of Homo sapiens. Classification (NCBI taxonomy): domain Eukaryota; kingdom Metazoa; phylum Chordata; class Mammalia; order Primates; family Hominidae; genus Homo; species Homo sapiens. Next base: position 1,056,361 of record NC_000011.10, on the reverse strand, counting down.
TCAGGGGCCGTCCCACGCTCTATTAACCCGCTGCTCCTGGGAGCACTGCCTGAGCATGGGATGAGTCCTGCTGTGGGAAGCAGCATCGGTGGGGGTGTGATGGACAGTGGGGTGCTGTCGAGTCCGTGGACGAAGCCATGGGCAGGAACAGCAAGTCCACATTCAGAAAACTGCGAGGGCCTCCGTGACAGCTGACGACCTGTCCCTGTCCTGTCTGTGGAGGGCCGGCGAGGCAGGCGAGGACCCGTCCCTGGGGAATGGCACCATGAGGGGACCAGATTGCTGCCCCTGGAGTCGGCAGGGCACTTGTGCTGCAGGGCCGTGCAGAGCCCCCATCCCGCCACATCCCACCTTCCTCTTGGGCCCCTGGGGCCTGCCTGGCATGGCTGCTGAGTGACCGTGGGCGCTGACCTGTGACCGTCATGAACATACCACAGGCCACACTGGCTCTCCCGTCTTCTACATGCCTCCATGTCTTTCACACCTTGACACTTTTGAGGGGCTCTGGGCAGGTGTGTGTAGAACCTCCCCTTGTTGGGGACGTTGGATGTGTTCTTATGATTGAGATTGGAGTTATGCATTTTTGGCCAGGAAACTGCAGAAACCACATGCTCTTCTTTATTTTTGTTTTTATTTTATAGAGACAGGGTCTCACTCTGTTGCCCAGGTTGGAGTGCAGCGGTGCCATCACGGCTCCAGCCTGAGCCTGGAGTGGGGACAGGATGACGAGAGCCCACCGTGCATCCCAGCGACTCTCCAGGGCACACTCTGGCTGTGGCTCGGACACAGACACCCTGGGCCCCAGGGGAAGCCTCAGCTGCATTCTGAGCTCCCTTCTGAGGACAGAAGTCAGAGGACACCAAGACCCCTCCGGAGGTCCCCTAGGGTAGGTGTCGCTCAGACCCCTTCAGCCTCTAACCAGACAGGAGCTGGGGCCTGGGGTCCCCAGAGGAAAATGAGGGGTGACTAATGAGGCTCAGGAGACTGGGGTGGGGGCATCTGACGGGGATGCAACTGGCACCTGGCTTCAGGGGCATTCGCTGATCCACCTGGGGCACCCCGGATTGACCCTGGTCCTTCTTTCCCCTGGAGCAGCGTCAGGGAAGGAAAGGAGCTGCCCAGTCGGGCCACGCTAGATCCCAGCACACAGGCACGCAGTGAAGAAGCCAGGCCACTTCTCAGTTTTGTTATGAAGATCGTTTAGGGCCCATGGTCTTCCCTGAAAGGATCCGGGGAACCTCCAGGGACCTGTGGGCCATGTGGGAGAGCAGCTGAGACAATTTATCACCTGAGACAATTATTAGTATCACCAGGTGAATATCAATGCCTGGGTAGGGAGTTCCCCGGAGCAGGCAGGTGGGAGCTGGAGGAAATGCTGTCAGCATCGCCACCCTTGGCCCCTTCAGAGCTGAAATTGTTAGAAGAGGCCACTCCTGCCTTTCCTGACTATCAACTTCCTCTGTCCAAGATGGGGCTGGGCCCTGGAGGAGACTCACCTGGCCCAGTCCCAGCGCAGGTCAGACAGGCCCCCTGCACCTGTTCCCTGCCTTTTTGGGACCTCAGTTTCCCTGCCTGGTCCCCGGTGGCCTCTCCAGGCTTGCAGCCTGCTGCTGGATGGAGCTGGTTTCGAGGGGGGTGGACAGCAGGTGCGACCCCCAAGCCTGCAGAGGAGCTCGCAGGCAACGCACCAGCTCCTTCAAGGAACAAACAAAGGCTGTGGCTTCCCAGGAAGAGCCAACAGCTGCGGGCCAGGGCGGGGGGTGGGAGGGGAGATAGTCCACCAGGAGGCTCAGCCACCCACCCCGCAGCCTCGCCCTGACTGCGTTTATGGCCAGATCCTGTTGTGGGCGCAAGTCCAGCTCCACTGCCCTCCCTCCTGCTGGCATCTTCCAGGAACTGGCAGGGGCAGCAGGAACCTAGGGACCCAAGAGCCAGGAGACGGCCAGGATCAGCATTTGCTTCTCATTACCGGAGATGGAGGAAATGGGCAGCTTCTCCTGCTGTCCAGATTGTAGGACTGGGGCGGCATCATCAAGAGTGGAATGTGACGTCGTCCAGCTCCCCAGACTCGGCCCTCCCGGAGTCCAGGGCTGCCAGGCTGCCCTCTGGCCCGGGGGAAGTGCCTGGGGAGGATGAAGGAAGCCAGAGGGTGCTGGGGCCCGGTGCCCATGCATCTGTCCATCGCGTTCTGCAGGGAGCAGCCTCCCAGGGACCCCACTGCCTCCCGGATCCCCGGGGGAGGGGCAGATAGGGGCCAGGAGGATGTTTGCCAGGTGGCATCCGGTAGGAAGGTTAGGGTGAGGCTAGCGGTTAGGGATTAGGGCTTGGGGTGTAGGGTTGGGTCTAGGGTTAAGGTGTTGGGACTAAGGGGTTTGGGTGGAGGCTTGGGGTGAATTTAGGGCAGGGGTAGGCTGGGGTGAGGGTAATTTGGGGTGGTATGTTAGGGTCAGGACCCTGGGACCACGCTGGGTCTGACGCATTCAAGGGCACTTTGTCAGCCATCAAACGGGGCAAGACGCTCCACCTGGGTGACACAGAGCCGCACAGCCCTGCACCTGTACCTACACCTGGGGCCCCTCCTGTGCCCACAGGGCCTCCCCTGGTCAGCTGGGAGGGCTCTGCTAGCTGCCTCCTATCCCTAAGTGGACACAGTCCCTGGATCCTTCCCCCAGGGCTGGCCACACCCAGCTGACCACTCCCCCAACTCCCCTCTGGGCCCAGGCAGTCACCAAGGGGGTCAGCCGTCCTCAGTCCTCTCAGCCACGCAGGCCTGGGCCTCGGGTAGGGCTGCAGGACACACCTCCCCTACAGCTGGGCAGGTCCATGGTGTCCAGGCAGCCTGCCCTGGCCCGGCCCCAGGTGGTGCCTGGCATGCAGAGGACCGGAAGGCGGCAAGACCCCCGCTGCCAACGCCCCTCTCCGGCCCAGATAAGGTTCTGGGGAAGTCATTTCTTCCAGGCCCAGCTTCGGGAGGGTTGCAGTGTCCACACACATCTCCCCCTGCAGCTCAACCAGGCGCCACGGGAGGCACCCAAACAGCTGTGGGAACTGCAGGAAGGAGGGGAGGAGAGGGCGGGGAGTGGAGGAGGGAGGAGCTGCCCAGGCGTCCCCCGCGTAGGGGTGCAGGCTCCTGGGGATGCTGGGGACTCCAGGTCCTCACTGGCCCTTCCCGGCTGGCCCGCCTTTGCTCTGCATACAGCTGGCGCTCAGCAAAGCTTGCCGCTGCTGATGGACAATTCCATAGCTCACTCCAGCATATCTGTGCCCCAGGAGACGGTGCCCTCCTGGCCCCGGCCTGTGCCCTCTGTGGCCATTGAGGGCCCCGCCAGGCCTGCGGTCACAGGCGGGGCCAGTGCAGGGAGGAGGCCCTGACCACAGCAAAGGGGTCCGCAGCAGGGGAGGCACCAGCGTCCAAGTGCCCGTGCCCAGGGAGGTGCCACCTCTGACACGGACAGGGCTTCAGGCTTGGGACACAGGTGCCGGGGAAGCAGAAGGGAAAGGGAGGGGGCGGAACCCCGGCAGCAGGTCGGCTTGGTGACTGCACACCCCACGGGGGCAGTGGCTTACAGGGACCCACAGCCCAGGAGGGCCTCACCTTCGGCCCCTCCCAGCAGTAGCACCAACTGCCGTGGCCGCCCACACTACCCTCGTCCCGACGGCCACCCACACCAGGCCCTCCGTGGCCAGCACTCCTGTCATCCACATCCCCATCTTGCTGATAAGCGGGCGGTGAGGACACAGGAAACCCAGGCTGTCACCCGCCCAAGTCCGGAGCCAGGATGGGTCCCCCAGGTGGGAGAAGCCTGGTCTCACCCCCAGAGTGGCCCAGCCTGTCCCACAGCCAGGATCTAATGCCAGTCTCCCAAGGAGTGGGCACAGGGGGGTGTCTGGCCCCCCCTTATGGGGAGGGAACTCTCCATGGGGGGCCAGGAGCTGGGGAGCCTCAGGGGTCACAAGAAGCTGGTGGAGCCAGGGAGCCATGGCCACAGCGTGGGGGCAGGTGCCCCAGGAGGGGGAGGGGAGGGCATGGCCTTGGTTGCTACCAGCCCCCGCACTGGCATTCGGGCAGCATGGGGGCACATTTTGGGCCTGGGGGACTGTGCCATCGTGGCCAGGAGCACCTTGAGAAGCCAGGAGGGCTGGCCAGGGTGGGGCAGAGCAGAGCAGGGCAGGGACAATCTGCCCAGACGTCTCACCACCCCTCAGACACCCCCAGACTTGCCTGGGCCAGGATAAATACGCAGTCCTTGCCCCAAGGCCCAGAATTAGGTACGTGGGTACCTGCATGTCTGGCCGGGTCCCCTGCCTCTCTGTGCAGAATCCTGATGCCCCCTGGCAGGCCTAGGGGTTCAGCAGAAGCAGGTTGCAGCCCCCACACCCCTCTAATGGGCCACATAGAAGGTGGGCCAAGGGCAGTGGATGGGGGGCCTGGGACACAGCAGCTGGGACACTGCCCCAGGACCAGGGTCGGGTCCAGGAGTGGAGAACCCAGGGCAGTGACGGGGAGAGCAGACAGACCTGGGTTGAGATGGTGTCTGGGTGGGAGTCCAGGGGGCCGGGGGCCCAGCTTCCCAGGTGCCAGGGGAGCCCCCGCCCCTGAGTCCTTGGTGAGCTGAGTCTCCAGGGTGTGGTGCTCCCAGCATCCTAGCCAGGCCTTGTGGCTGCAGAGGGACAGAAACCAGGCCCAGCTTCCTGCTGGGGGGGTCACCTCTCCCCAGGGGTCCAGGACACCGCTGCATCTGAAAATGAGCAGGAAAGGGGTGCTCAGTGCAGCCTCAGGGCCTTGGGGACCCCCTTGGATCTTGCCAGCTCCCGAAATGCAGAGAGAGAGTCGGGCAGTGGGGCCAGGGCTACAGCCCCCATGTCTCCTCAACGTCTGCCTGGCTCTGTCTACCTCAGGGAACCAGGGCTCCTCATACCGGACCTGGCCTCTACCCGCCCAGGGCGCTTGGAGCAAAGACTGTGGTCCCAGGTTCCCCGACAGTGGAAGCTTCCCTGCCCAGCCCAAGCCGTCTGCAGCCAGACCAGAGGCTGGTGTGGCACCATGGAAGGTTCCGGAGGGCGAGAGCCGTGATGCTGTAGCCCGCCAGCAGGTGGCACCTGGCACCCGCACCACAGCCCGGAGGAGGGCTGGGCAAGGCGTGTGCTCAGGGCCGTGTGGCCCAGGTGTGTGCCTGCGTGTGCCTGCATGTTGGCAAGTCCGGTGCCCGGGTGGCTCTCAGGCATCTTGGGGAGAACAGTCAGCCCACAGCCGGGCCAGAGCCCTCTGGCCCCATTGATGGGAGGCTCTGGGACAGACAGCACTGAGAAGGGAGAGAAGCTGGGCAGGTGGGGCAGGTGGGGCCACCGGGCAGGCGTGAGGGTGACCCTGCCAAGTGGCACAGGGACGATCTGAGTCCTGCAGGGCCCGGCAGCGCCTGAATAATGGGAGAAGCTGTGTGAGCCGTGCACGGGCGGGACAGCAAGGCGGGCGGGCGTGGGTCCTGTACACACGGGTGTGGGTGTGGCTGAGCGACCACTCGCCCTCTCACATCCCCTGCAGTGAGCGTGGGGGCACTGGCCCCTCATTTCCCAGCCCCGCTGGGCCCACCTCCTGCCTGGCCCTCCCAGGGACTGACGTGTGGCCACCTACCCCTCGAACCGCAGGGGTTGCCTGTCCCCGCCTCTGTCCCTGCACCTCAGGCCCATCCCCGCCCTTGTCCCCGCACCTCGGGCCTGTCCCCGCCTTTGTCCCCGCAACTCAGACCTTTGGTGACACCTGTGGGCTCAGGCGCCACATGGGGCCCAGGACACTGGGGCCGCAGCACATCGGGGAGGGGAGGCTGCAGTCTGGGCCCAAGGGCATCCAGCCTCTCCACTCCCTCCCCGGTGACCTTGGGCAGGCTGCCCCCTCTCTGTGCCTGTTTCCTCATCTACGTGGGTACAGAACCCGTCTCCACCTGCAGTAAATCCAGTGATGGCGGGAGTGTCCCGCCAGCTGCACTCTAGGACCCGTTCGCTACAAGGATTGCACTGGGGGATGCCCTGTCCCCAGCTGGCCCGGCTCTGTCATGGCCTGGACCCTCCCTGCCTGGGCACGTCTGACCCAGAGAGAGGGAAGGCCACCAGGGCAACCCCAGAGGCCTGTCCAGCTCAGAGCCAGCCCCTCCTGCACCAGGGTCCCCTGAGATTCACCCTGACAGGCAGCAGGAAGGCAGGGTGCCTGGTGGCCTCCTTCCCCCAGGGATCTGGGGAGGGTCTGGGCTGGGCTCTTCTTTGACAGGCCGCCCGGGCCCCACCTCAGGCCTGGAGGAAAGTGGAGGGGTCCACACCGTGGCCGACCCTGGGACTGGAGACACATGGGCACCAGGACACGCGAGGCCCATGGGGGCCAGGGAAGTCCCCAGAATCCCCACTCACCACTCTGGGGTGGGAAGAGGCAGGGCCAGCCTGTCGACATGCATCTCCTGCTGTCCAGAGAATGCTCCCGACGTCCCCATTTTCCTACAGAAGAGGACATCCTTGCTGGGAAGCCGGTGGCTGCAGCCAGTCAATGGTGACTCCCAGAAGGTTCCAGGCCCCGCCCAGCCAGAACCCCAGAGCCAGACCTGGGGCCACAGGGCATGACGCAGCTCTGCCTATACAGGGACAGGCAGCTGCCCACGGCCATGGGCACAGGCTTTGAGGAAGCGACAAGGCTCTTGCACCAGCAGATTAAAATGCTGCCAAGCGGAAGAGTCTGTCAAAGCTCTCAAGGAGCAGCTGGTTCAGGGCCAGCAGGTGCTGGGGTGGTAGGGGGGCCCCTTGGCTGCTGTGACGGTGCCTGTCCCTGGCTCCCAGCCCGGGAGCCCCAGCAGTGCCTTGTACAGCCGGCCCAGACATGCAAAGGGCCAGAGCCCGGCACGCGGCAGTGTTGACTGTCATCATTGTTATTGCCATCATCATCATCATCATCATCATTGCTATTATTATATTATCATCAGGAAACTCACCTACATTCTGCAGGCTGTGGGTGAGGCCAAGGAGCAGAGGGCTGGGGGTTGATGTGGGCCGGCAAGGTCCAGGCCAGGAGGGTTCATCCCAGGGATGCCAAGACCCAGCAGAAGGTTAGCAGGGGAGGAGAGACCCTTACCCCAGGGTGACCCCACGGCGGGGGCTGCATGTGGGCACCAACTGGAGGCCTGCGGGAGGCAGGTGTGGCTCGGAGGCTCTTTGGCAAGGTGGGAGCCGGGGGTCCCTTAAGAAGTCCACCTTAAGAGGTCCTCCAGAGTGACCCAGGGAGAACCATTCTCCAACCCACCCACTCCTGGATCTCAGGCTCCCAGGACGCAGAGAGACTCTGAGCCATCTCCCGGGTTGTGCTGCTTGGTTATGGTGGCCCCAGGAAAGCGAATCAAGAGTTGCAGCAATGCTGCCCAGCCCCACGAGCAGGGAAACCAGAGCCAGGAGGTGGCGATAGGGACTGCGGGTGGGTGGACCGCGGGGCTGGGGTGTGTTCTCTTCCTGCTACTCTTCTACATTTTTCCAGGTTTTATTTAGTGACTATGTTCCACTCTGTATTAAAGTATCAAGATTCCATTTCATCAAGGACTAGCATTTTTAGCAAAGAGAGTAGCAGAGGCCAGGATTTAGCAACTAAAAAACTCCAGGAAATATGGGAAACAACATCTGTCAAGACGGTGGACATCAGGCGACGAAGAGAGTGGTCCCAGAGAGACAGCGGGTCCCTCCAACCTGGCTGCTATCCGGAAACGCCATGGCCTGAGCGGCATAAAAGCAACAGACACGCATCTCCACGGCTGCAGAGGACGGGACGTTCAAGATCCACACTCTGGCAGATTCGATGTCTGGTGAGGCCACTCCCTGGTTCACGGACGGCACCTTCCCACTGGGTCCCCTTCGCCTCTGGTAGAAGGGGTGGGAGAGCTCTCTGAGGTCTCTTTTTTTTTTTTTTCGAGACAGGGTCTCACTCTGTCACCCAGGCTGGAGTGCAGTAGCACAATCTCGGTTCACTGCAAGCTCACTTCCCAGGTTCGAGTGATTCTCCGCCTCAGCCTCCCGAGTAGCCGAGATTACAGGCGCCCACCACCATGCCCAGCTAATTTTCATATTTTTAGTAGAGACAGGGTTTCTCCATGCTGGCCAGGCTCATCTCGAACTCCTGAACTCAGGTGATCCACCTGCCTCGGCCTCCCAAAGTGCTGGGATTACAGGCGTGAGCCACCGCGCCCGGCTCTGGGATCTCTCCTGTAAGGACACTAACCCCATTCTTGAGGGCTCTGCCACCTCCCCAAGTCCCCACCTCCTAATATCGTCACCTTGGGCACCAGGATTTCAACACAGGAACCGGAGGGTGGGGAAGACACAAACGTTCAGTCCATGGCAGACAGGAAACAGCCCTAAACTGCCCAGGTCACCGCCTGAGGGTTTCCAGGACAAGGGGCCAGGAAGGAGAACTCAGGAAGAGCTCAGATGAGAGGCCGGGGAGACCACGGCAGCTGGAGTGCACAGGACACTGGCAGGGAGAGAGCTGCCCAGAGCAAAGCCTGGAGACCTGCAGAAGGTCCGTCTTGAGCGTTTGGCAGGGAACCCGCTCAGCACGTGCCTGGGAGGAGACTAAGGCTGGCGAGCAACGACCCGAAGGATTGGAAGGAAGAGCAGCGGAGCTCACAGAGGCTGGGAAAAGCACTGCTCCCGCCAGCACCACCGAGAAACCTCGCCACTCAAAGTTCACGGTGCGGTGGGCAGAGTGCCCCTCAGGGTCTTGCCTCAATGGTGAGGCGTAGTTTGCCCTGGACTCAGCACTGCTCTGAGCCCACCTACGAGCCACACGAGGCCCAGGAGGCCCAAACTCTCTCCAATCCCTTAATTATGTCCCAGAACAAAGCCCCAGGACACAAAAGTATCCAGCAGCCCACGAGGTAAAATTCACGAAGTCCAACCTCCATTCAAAGAGTACCAGGCAGGTAAAGAAAGGGGATAATTCCACCCATAATCAGGAGAAAATTCAACTAATCCAAACCACAAAACCAACACAGATGTTGGAATTAGCCGACAAAGACATTAAAACAGGCGTTACGACAGTATTCCATGTCATCAAAATGCTATGCTGAAAATTGAACGTATTTAGTAAAAAACATGAAACATATAAAAAAGGATCCAAATTAAACATCTAAAGATGAAAATGACTATGTGTGAGATGAAACACACTGGACAGGATTAACAACGGATGCGACAATGCAGAAGAGGACAGCGGTGAACTTGAAGACATAATAGAGACACAGAAAGACAAAAGAATCCAAAAAATAAACAGCTCCTTAGCGAGCAGTAGGTGGCAAAGCTTCGCGCAGCCTGACACGTCTGTAAACGGAGCCCACGAAGGGAGAGGAGGACAGGAAAAATTGAAGAAATCATGGCCATAATTTGTTCAAATCTGAGGAAAACTTGGCTGGGTGCGGTGGCTCACGCCTGTAATCCCAGCAATTTGGGAGGCCAAAGCAGGTGGATCACCTGAAGTCAGGAGCTTGAAACCAGCCCAGCCAACATGGTGAAACCCCATCTCTACTAAAAATACAAAAATTAGCTGGGTGTGGTAGCAGGCGCCTGTAATCCCAGCTACTCGGGAGGCTGAGGCGGAAGGACTGCTTGAGCCCCAGAGTTTGAGGTTGCGGCGAGCCGAGATTGCGCCATTGCACTCCAGCCTGGGCAACAGAGCAAGACTCTGTTTCAAAAAAAAAAAAAAAAAATTAATGAAAACTAAAACCCAGAGATACAAGAAGCTCAGTGAGTACAAAGTACAAGAAACATGAAGGAAATGACACCAAATCCTAATCATACAGAATCAGTGTAAAAGAGAAAATCTTAAGTTGTGGGGTGGGGGCGTGTTACAAAGAGGAAACATATTAAAATAACAACAGATTTTTTTGGCGGGGGAACTTGTGCCAGTAAGAAAACTAGAGCAGCACCTTTACAGTACAAACGGAAGAAGAAGCTGTCATCCTAGAAAAACATCTTTCAAAAACAAAGGCAAAAGGAAGATATTTTCAGACAAATAACCATTGCAGTGTCCATTAAGAAATGTTAAAGAAAGCCCTTCAGGCGGGTGGAAAAGGAAATCAGATAGAAATGTGGCTCCACGGCCGGGCTCGGTGGCTCAGGCCTGTCATCCCAGCACTTTGGGAGGCAGAGGCAGGCAGATCACTTGAGGTCAGGAGTTCAAGACCAGCCTGACCAACATGGTAAAACCCCATCTCTACTAAAAACACAAAAATTAGCCAGGCGTTGTGGTGGGTGCCTGAGGTCACAGCTACTTGGGAGGCTGAGGCAGGAGAATCACTTGAACCCGGGAGGTGGAGGTTGCAGGGAGCCAAGATCACGCCACTGCACTCCAGCCTGGGTGACAGAGCGAGACTCCATCTCAAAAAAAAAAAGAAAAGAAAAAAGAAATATGGATCTACACGATGGAATAATGCATTTGAAATAGTAATTGTATGGGTAAATATAGAAGTTTTTTTACTATTTAAGCCTCTTTAAAAAATAATTAATTAAACAAAAATACCAACAATGCAGTGCGGTGTGAATCGTGTGTGGACACAAAATGGGTGACAAGAATTGCACAACCCAAGAGAAGGGAGCTGTGAGGCACCTTTTTTTTTTTTTTTTTTGAGATGGAGTCTTGTTCTGTCACCCAGGCTGGAATGCAGTGGCACGATCTTGTCTCACTGCAGCCTCTGTCTCCCGGGTTCAAGCAATTCTCCTGCCTGGGCCTCCCGAGTAGCTGGGATTACCGGTGCCCACCACCACACCCAGCTAATTTTTGTATTTTTAGTAGAGATGGGGTTTCACCACGTTGGCCAGGCTGGTCTCGAACTCCTGACCTCAGGTGATCCTCCCACCTTGGCCTCCCATAGTGTTGGAATTACAGGCGTAAGCCGCCGTGCCCAGCCTGGAAGGTTCTTCTTCTATATATGGAATGTGATAATATCTTTGGAAAGGAGACTACAGTAGGTTGTAGACATACTATAAACTCTAAGACAACTACTAAAATAATAAAAAGTTATGGCAGATAAGCAAACAAGGAGATAAAACTGAACTGTGGAAAAATAGTCAATCCAAAAGAAGGCAGAAAAGAAAGACAAAGAACAGATGGAAGGAACAGAAAACAAGTAGCAAGATGGTAGCTTTTCACCTGGCCACATCACTAATTACATTAAATGTAATAGTCTAAACACCCCCAATAAAAAGATGTGGATTGTCAGACTAGAATAAAAAGCAAGATCACTCTATAAGCTGCCCAGAGAATCTCACTGTAAGTAAAAGACACACATTAGTTATTGAAAGTAAAGGAAGAGGAAAAAACACACCGTGCTAACACAGAAAGAAAGATCAAGTGGCAATATTAATACAAAGGTAGACTTTAGAGCAAGGAACTGGCAATAAAGAAGATCCTTTCATAATGATAAAATCATGACCTTGGATTAGGCAAAGATTTCTTAGACACAACACTAAAAGCATGATGTGTAAAGTAAAAATTAATACATTGGGCTTTGCCAAAATTAAGAACTTCGGCCAGTCTAGGTGGCGCACGCCTGTAATCCCAGCAATTTGGGAGGCCGAGGTGGGTGGATCACCTGAGGTCAGGAGCTTGAAACCAGCCTGACCATCATGGTGAAACCCCATCTCTACCAAAAATACAAAAACTAGCCGGGCGGGGTGGCACTCACCTGTAGTCCCAACTACTCCGGAGGCTGAGGCAGGAGAATTGCCAGAACTGGAAAGGCAGAGGTTGCAGTGAGCCGAGATTGCACCATTGCACTCCAGCCTGGGCGGCAGAGCACGAGACTCCATCGAGAGAGAGAGAGAGAGAGGGAAGGAAGGGAGGGAGGGAGGGAGGGAAAGAAGGAAGGAAGGAAGGAAGGAAGGAAGGAAGGAAGGAAGGAAGGAAGGAAGGAAGGAAGGAAGGAACAGAGAAGAAAGCAAGAAAGGAGGGAGGGAGGGAAAGAATGAACTTCCGCTCTTTTGAACAGAAGTTTTGACACTTAATAGTATCTTCTGACACTATTAAGAGAATAAAAAGACAAGCCCTGACTGGGAGAAAAATCTTTGCCAAGTATGTATTTTTAGTGAAGGACTCGAATGCAGAATATATAAAGAACTCTCAAAACTGAAGCAACCCAATTTTAAAATGGATGGACAAAACGTTAGAACAGACACTTCATCAAAGAAGATACACAGAGGGCAAATAAACGCATGGAAAGATGCTCAACGCCATTAGTCGTTAGGAAAATTCAAATGAAAACCACAGTCAGATAGCACTGCACACCTGTTAGAATGGCTAAAATTTTAAAAACGGACGACGTCAAGCATACAGGAGGGTGAGGAGGGGCTGGAACTCACATCACGGGTGGGAGGCACAATGGCACAGCCATGCCGGAAAACAGTTTGGCCGTTTCTGAAAAATTCAGACGCCAACCACGTGATCCAGCCAGTCCACGCCGGGAGAAGTGGCAGCACATGCTCCTCTGAGACACGGACACACGTGTTCTAACTGCTTTGTTTGTAATTGCTGAAGCTGGAAGAGCAGGTGAACAGGCTGCGCTCTGATGGACATCTGGGTCATTTCCAGTTTGGGGTTGTTACAAACACCTCCTGGGAGCATGTGTGCGCACGCATCCGCCTCGGGCACTGGCCATGCCCCCAAGAGTCGGTGGCATCAGGACTGGAGGCCACTGCCTAGTACAGCGAGGGTGCACCTTGGCCACCAGTCTTGAGCCAGGGTCCGTGGGTAAGCTGGGGGGTGCTCCTTGGCCACCCTGCTTGTGCTCCTATCTGGGGGAGGGTTGGGGTTTGGGGGACCCCCGGGGAGCTGCTGAGACAGGGGACAGTGGACATGGGCTGCTCCGATGACCGGTCTCAGCCCCGATCAGCCCTGATGCCAGCTGGGAGGGCCTGAGCCTCTGGCTTCCCGGGGCCCCGAGCCCGGCTGTAGGGCCACGTCTGTGCCACCTGGGCTTCTGCCAGGCCTACGTGTTCTGGGCCCCCCACACCTGACTCTGCAGGCCATATGCACGGGGCCTCCCACGGGCCACACAGCACTCACGGCCGCTGGGCAGCAGATCAGGCCCAAGGCTCCCTTGGGCCGGCACCTGGTGTGAGTGGCCGGGAAACCCACCTGTTCCCGTCAGGCCTCCACTGTGTTTCCCCTGAACAACACCCGAAGAACCAGCTGTGGTGAGCCTGGGCGCTCCTCGACTCTCTGCAGGCCATGCCAGCCATGCCAGCCATGCCAGCATCCCCCACAACCCTCTGGACCAGGACCTGCCCCGTCACCCCTTCTTGCCTGGGCCTCAGTGGCTGCCCCCACTGCACGTCCAACTGCCTGGAATGGGCCCTGGATGTGATTCCTGAGAGAGACTCAGGTCTGGCTGCAATACCTGGAGCTTTTCTGGGGAAAAAAACAAATTCTTCAAATTCTCTGCAGGACCTGTGGCCCCAACGCCATTGCTGGCAGAGGCACCTCTGCCGGGGCACCTGCCCAGACTCCACGCCAGCACACAGCACCACCGCCCCCCAGGCTGGCTCAGGGTCCCTTCCCCACCCCCAGCTCTGGTCCTCAGTTTACCCACCTCTCCCAGCTTACTCTAGGCCAGGTCACCTTCCAGCCTGGTCTCCGACACCTCCTGGTGACCTGGCCCCACCCCCCACCCAGTCCTGCTCTTCACCTGGAGCCCTGGAAGCCCTTCATCTCACCCTGGGCTGCCCAGGGCCCCCTTGCTGTGAGCTGCAGCTGCCCTCAGAGGCCATTTGACTTGTGCTTTTGGGGCCCTGCCGGGCTCCCCAAAGGGAGTCCTAAATGTCACCCCCATGAGAGGGATGAGGATTCCTGGGAGAGAGGTGGTCTCATGAGCCTCAGCTCCAGCTTGACCTCCACCCCCACTTGACCAGCAGCCTCCAGAGTCTGAGTCGGCAGCCCAGGGTCCCCCCACCCTCCTCAAAGCCCCCTCACCAGCCACCCTCGGAGAGCAAGCCCTTGCTAACTCCCCATCCAGCTGCGCTCACTGAGGGCAAAAGGCGGCCCAATAACCCCTGGCCCTGGGCAGTGTGGTGCCCCACGGCTGCCCGCCCGGAGCAGTCCAGGGGGCCTAGTTCCCAACAGCCTTATCTGTTTGCATTTCACTCCGCATCCGCTGGTTATCAGCTCCAGAGCCCGGGCGGGGCAGTCAGCCAGACACCCAGCCGTCCCGGCAGCCTCTCCCTGTGCTCAGATGAGGGCGCCTTGGGTTCAGGCCTGGAGTTGGCAACGCATGGACATCTCCCCCAGGACATCGGAGGTGAACCCCAGCCCTCAGGATCCTGGTCTTCCCCTCGGGGCTGGTGGGGCACAGCTACCCCCACTGTGAGGGCCTGGCAGGGCTGGCCTGCAAGGAAGGCTCTGTCCTGAGAGGGTCTGCCCAGGGCCCCATGCCAGGGGGCGAAACTCTCAGGGCAGGGAGCAGCTGGGGGCTCTGCACCCTCACCTGTGGCACACAGCCACCTCCCATGGGATGGGAAAAGGGGAGAAGGTATTTGGGGTGCCAGCTGGGGAGATGACTCAGCCACCTACCCTGGGGCTCAGAGGTACCAGAGTCAGGTGTGAGAGGAGTTCAGGCCAGGGGCCTCTCCTGGGTGCCTGCCCAAGGCTACCGGCCGGCAATGCTCACCCGGGGAGGTGGGGGTCCCGCCCCAGCTAAGCTCCCACCTGGAGGGAGGAGTGGCCTGGCCAGGACCCCTCCTGTGCTGCTGCCTCAATGGCCCCGGCAGCCCGTATCCTGCCCCCACCCCAGGCTGAAACGTGCCCGCTCCTGAGGGCCCCAGCCTACCCTGACCTGCTTCCTGCACGGGGCATAAGTAGACAAAAAGGACAAGGGCCCCTCTCTGGAGGAGGGCAGGTGGAGAGCTCCCCAGCCCTTTCTGGAACATGAGGCTACCAGCCTGGGCTGAGCCCAGCCTCAGGCAGTGGTTCCTGCTAGCTACTCCTCTACCCACCCCGGACAGGCGGGCCAGCCCACCATCCCAGCCACCTCCAGGCCCAGCAGCTACCAGGGCCCCTCCCGCAGCCAGACGAGACCTTCAGTCCACTCAAGGCCACACAGTGGGCTGTGGGCAGCGGACAGCACAGGGCTGGGGCTGGGCTGGGGGTGGGGGCTGTGCGCACCTGAGTGTCCGGCTCCCAAAGGGGGTCCCAGGGATACGGGGGAAGGGCAGTGCCCCCAAATCCCAGCCCAGGCACCAAGCAGTCAAGTCTGAAAGTGCAGACCAGTGGGTGCCCGGGGAGCCCTAGCCCTCTGAACATCACTGGACAGGGGCTGTGGGGTCTCATTGAGGGTGGGCTGGTGGTCGCCCGGGTGAGCTGCACTGCCCGGCCCTTGCAGCTGCCCTTCCGGGGTCACGCTGCCCCTCCCCAGGCCTTGGGGAGGGCCCTCACCTGTGGCATGCAGCTGGCTCTGTTTCTACCTCCGGCAGGGTGGACCCCAGCAGCTGGGGTCAGAGGGGTCTGCAGGGCTGGTGGAGAAGCAGGAGTTGTCCAGGGAGGGGGATAGAGGCCAGAGGTCAGGGAGTGTCAGAGCCAGGCAGGGCCTCCTCTGAGGTGCTAGGGAGAATGAGGGGGTACCACACACTCGGGGCTGCAGGGCGGGGGCCACGGCAGGCCAGATTCGATGGGGGTGGCTGCAGGCAAGAGCTGGACTAGGAACGTTTCAACATACTCAGGAGGCAAAACCGCAGGGTACTGGCAAGCTGGACAAGTCCATGGGGAGGTCACCAGTGACGCTCAGGGACGGGGGAGAGGGAGAGGACCCAGGGCCAGCCCCACCCAGCCACACAAGGGCCTTGGAGGGAGGGTGGGGCAGGTGACCTCCCCCAGGCCTGACGCCCCTTCCCTGCCATCCCCCTGCCCCTTGGGGGACCTTGCATCCAGCCACTCTGTCCCCAGGGTCTCCAGGTTCCCACCGCCTCCCCAAGCAATGGGCCCCAGGACCTGGCACAGGGTCAGTGCCTCCCAAGACATCGGGCATCCGGATCAACAGGAAGCCGTGACGCGCCCCCTCGGGCATGCACCTGGGCACTGGCTGGCCATATTGAGCTCTGCCGGCCAGCACTGGGCCCGCGCCTCGGATGGGGAATGGCAGCGATCCAAGCCCGGGTGCATTCCCACTCCCGGGGTTGAAATCTTTCCCAAACACTCCCCAAACCCACAGTTTTCAATCCTTTGATCTGATGGGGACCAGCTGCCAAGCCTCAGGGGGTGAAGCCCCACCTGTTCTCCTCCAGGGGACGTCACACCTGACCACAGGGCCCAGCGGGGCAGGGGCAGGGAAGGGGCTGGCCAAGGGGCAGGGAAGGGGCTGGCCGAGGGGCAGGGAAGGGGCTGGCCGAGGGGCAGGGGGCCACCAGCAGGTCCATCCCAGCGCCTCTGTGAACACAAGTCCCAGCAGACCCAGGGCCTCAGCCTCCTGTGAGGGGAGCCAGGCCCGAGTCAGTTCCAGAGCCTTCTGGAGACACCTGCAGGGGTGAAGGCCTCAAGTCCAAGTGAAGGTCTGCTCACACCTGTCCAGGGAGCCCTGCGGGTCTAGGAGCCAGCGCCCACCCTAACGGTTCAGCCGGGAAGCTGGGGCCCGGGGCCCACCCTGACTCCCGCTTCACAGCCACACCAGGCCTGGAGTGACCGCTGTTCAGGGCCAGGCCACTTAGACGGACATAGAGGGCGGGGCCAGCGCTGGGCATGAGAGGGGACAATCACCCACTTGTCCAGTCCTCAGGCCCTGTTCTCCAGCCAGGCCCACAGGACATGGCTCCTATCACCAGGTTGCTCCAGGAACAACACCTCACACGCTTATCTCCCCCACTGCTCAGTGCATTCAAGCGCTCCCCGGCCAGGACAGAAACACCGCTCCCAGCCATTTGCCACCAAGCGAGTGCATTGAGAGAGAGAGACCCCCAGGCTCCGGAGGCCCCATGGTGCCACGATGGAGCCCCCACCAGGGCTCGGGGCCAGGGCCTTCTACACACTCGAGTGGCCCTGAGATCATGGGGACAATAAATTCTGGGATGCACAGCTTTCACCAGAAATTCAACCTATACACACACATGCACACACACAGGCACACACAGGTACACGTGCACACACATGCACACACACGCAAACACACGCACTCACAGGCACACAGGCACAGGCACCCACATAGGCACACACAGGCACGTGCACACACACGCACACACATGCACACACGTGCACACACAGGCACACATGCACACACACAGGCAGGCACTCACGTGCACACAGGCACACACATACACACGCACACACAGGTACACGTGCACGCACACATATGCATATGCGCACACACACATACACAATCACCACACACCTGCAAGCGGGCATCTTCACCACAGGCCCAGTGGGCAGCCCCATTGCAGGCTGGTGGTATCCAGCCCCCACCCGCCCCACACCTGTGCAAGTTGCAGGGATCCCCCAATTCTAGAGGACGCTGGGGACTCACATGCTGAACGCCACAGCCATAACCTTCAAGGTCAGGGGTCTCTGCCACTTTACAGCTGGGAAATGGAAGCCTCAGTGGCCAGGACCCGAAGCCCTACAGGCCTGGCCGGGGAACCAGTGTCCACTGGCTCTCACCCCCAACCCACCCCTGCCCCTACATTCAAAGCTTCATAGGATCCCTCCTGAGAACCTGAGCTCGGTTCTCACAAGCCCAGACAGGTGGTCAGACAAGCACAACCGCCGGGCTGACATGGCCACAGGGCTCCCAGCCATGACACCTGCCCATGAGGTCCCTTTTGGCACCAGCTGCCCTGGTGCAGTGACCCACCCAGGGAAGGAGGCCCTAAGATCTCTGCCCCTCATCGTCCCCACCTCGAGCCCGGGCTGAGAGGCCCCAGCTCAGAACGAGGGCCAGCTGTGAGCCCTGCGTCCATCCAACCTCTCAGCATGACAGGGCAAGGGCCTCACTCCTGTGCCTCAGCTTCTCACCTGAACCACAGGGACCACTGAGCGTGTTAAGAAGGGACAGCCAAGGCTGGACACGGTGGCTCACGCCTGTCATCTCAGCACTCTGGGAGGCTGAGGCAGGAGGATCTCTTGAGTCCGGGAGTTCAAGGCCAGCCTGGACAACAAAGTGAGACCTCGTCCCTACAAAACCGAAAAATTAAAAAGAAGAACAGATGAGAGTAGAACACCCAGAATGCCTGGTGTGGGGCTCCTGGTGGGGGGCAGCACACGTACTGCAATTTCCTACAAAAGCAACTTATTGTAACTTCAAGCAACGTTCCACAAAACTGAAGCTGATTTAAGTGAAACACGCGACACCTACTGTGTATGGCACGCGTGGCCCTGGGGCCTCTTCCGGGGGCAGGTGGGGCAGCTCCCGGGCGTGTGGGCACAGGTGGGACAGAGGTGGCAGGCCCGGGTCCCAGCCAGCAGGCTCAGCTCACCTGTGGGATGGGGGTGCAGCCCCATGTGGGGAGCCCGGCCCAGGGAGACCAGGCGGCCTCGGAGTCCCTCCTGGCTCAGGCCGGGATGCTGACGTGTGGTGGGAGCAGCCCCGAGGCCAGCGAGGGCTCCTGTCGGAGTCGGGGACCAAAATCCCCTTTGGGAGGGGTCCCTGGGCTGCCAAACGAAGCTGGGGCAATCCTGGTGACCACTCAGACCTCCACCTCCCTCCCCCCCGCCAGCCACCGGCACCACCCCGATGTCACCAGACCTTGCCCTGTCCCCGGCCCCTCAGACGTGGCACGTGCCTCCACAGGCAAGGCCCCCTGGTCATCCCAGTCCCTGCCCCTCTGCCTGAAGGGGTCAGGAGCATACCGGCGACCCCACAGCCCCGCAGAGATGCCCCAGCAGACGAGCAGCCCCCGAGTTCCTGTCCTCAAGATGGCTGCCAACAGCGCTCGAAGGGGGAAGAAAACAGCTGTGGAGGGGTCTTCAGGAGCAAGCCTGGGACCTGGCGGGCTGCAGAGACACGGTAGCTCCTCAGGCCTCCAGGGCAGCCTGTCTAAGCCCCAAGGCCGCTGCCTGTCCCAGACGGCGGAGCCCCTGCTCCCCAACACCCCCTGGCAAGGTCCCTCCCGCTGGGTGATCTTTCCTGTTGGGCAGGGAACTCAGGGGTGGGCCCAGGGCCCTTCAGGGGGTGCTGGGATTCAGGGTGAGGGGTGGGCCCAGTGCCCCTCAGGGGGTCCTGGGATTCAGGTGCAGCAGGGTTCCCCCCAAGCTGGGTCAGCACTGGGCTCCCCGGAAGGGGCAGAGCAGGTGCCCCAGGGCCCCCGACCTCCCCCAACAGGTCCATCCCGGCCACCAGGCGTGTGGCTGACAGTGCCACGTTGACCCAGCAGCGGGGAGGGCCCGGGCCAGGATGGCCCCCATGCAGGGGGTGTTTGCAGGACCTTTGGGGGCGTGCGTGCGTCAGCCCCCCGCTGGGAATGGGTGATAATGGGGCCGCTGCCTGCAGGATTTTCCAAAGAAAGCCGAGTCCTGATAAAGCAGGCCCAGATCCTGTTTGGCCACCGCGGCGCCCGCCGGCAGTGGTGATTAAGGGGCTGGACCGCGGGGCGCAGGCAGGTGCGGCGGGGGAGGGCCCGCCAGCCTATATAAGGCACCCAGGACCGGCCGTTGGAGCCGCATGGATGGCAGCAGCAGGCCTGCCGGGCCCAGCGCGAGCTCCTCTCCACTGTGCACCATGGTCCAGCGGTGGCTGCTGCTGTCCTGCTGCGGAGCCCTGCTCAGCGCTGGTGAGTGAGGTCGAGGGGCGCCAGACACTGCGGTGCCCTCAGAGGGGCCCTGTGTGCGGGGGTCTCTGGGCCTTCTCGCCTCGACAACTCGGCTGGCCCACATGGACGCTGATGGACGGGAGGCCCCAGCTCGGCTCCGTGACCAGCCCCCGCTGCCAGGCCCGGGTCCCCCCAGCAGCCGCGGTGCTGGGCTCTGCCAATTGGGGTCAGGGACCCCATGGGGCCTGGGCAGGGACGCCCTCCTGTGAGCTGGCACAGCAGCCAGCGGGGGAGGACGCTCAGCTGGAGTGGGGTCCGGCACTCCCGCGGGAACAGTGGGCAGGTGTGCTGGTGCCCAGCCCTGGCGCTCTCCCTCCCCGAGTGGGGTCCTGAGTCCTGAGAGGTCTCTGGAGTGTGGGGGACAGAGGCACAGTCTCTGCTGGGCCCTGGGCCTCGTTTCCTAGTCTACAGAAGTGGGGGACGCTGCCTCCCCTGGTGTGGCCGCCGTGGGGGGAAGAGGGGGGAAGGTGTACGGCCATCCTGGGCTCAGAACCGCCGCAGGCAGCCTGCCCTCTCCCCCGCGCTCCCCTACCCAGCTCGGGCAGGATCCAGGAGGGACTGACATCCTGGATCCTCTGCCAACCGCCTGCCCTGCGGCTGCTGCAGGTGACCATCAGTCCCTCCCCAGGCCCCCAGAAGGAGCCAGCCCCAAGGGGTCCCTCTGTGGCCGCAGCCTGAGACCTGGGGAGACCCCTCTTGCCGACCAAGGCACCAGCCCAAGGGCCTCTGTGTTCCGTGCTCCTCCTTCCTCTCCAAGCTGGCCCGACCCTCCTCCACAGCCGGGAGCCCCCTGGGGTGGACGCTGGCGTGACAGAGCTCGCCCTCGGAGCTGCTGCCAACCTGGGCGCCTCGGGCTCAGAGCACAGTGGGACCCCCCCAGGGGTGTCCCACTGTAGGGCGACCCAAGCCCACCCCACCCCTTCTCTCCTTTGAAGCCCCTTCCCCACCACGCCGGGCACCACCCTTCAACCGTGGGAGATGTGGGGGTCTCTGAGCTCGCTCCCCACCACGCCGGGCACCACCCTTCAACTGTAGGAGATATGGGGGTCTCTGAGCCCGCTCCCTACCACGCCGGGCACCACCCTTCAACCGTGGGAGATGTGGGGGTCTCTGAGCCCTCCCAGCGGTGCCCTCTGCTTGGGACCCCAGCCCCTACCTGCACACCTGGCACAGCTTGGGGACAAGTGCCAGGAAGTGGGGCTAAACTTGCAGCAGAGTGCGACCCCTAGTCCCTCGGGCCACCACCCTGGAGCCAGGGAGGGAGGTGTGGTGAGGCCCAGAGAGGCTGGAGGTCTGGGCTGTGGGCAGTGCAGAGGGTGGAGGGCCAAGTGGGGGTGTCCACCCGTCACCCCAGCAAATAATCTCTGAGCGCCATCTCTGCCAACATGGGAGGGGCCTCAGCCAGCAGAGTGTGGGGTCGGACAGACGGGCTGCAGGCCTGGGCCGCGGTGGGCCGGGAGGCAGGGGTGGGCGGCCGCCAAGCGTGCAGAAGGAACAGTGCGCACCTGCCGCCTCGTGCTCGTCCAGGGGCTGAGAGGCCGGGGGTGGCGGACCAACCCGCCCAGATGCCCATGCGCCTGGCCAAGGGATCAGCCGAGGGGAAGCACAGCCAGTCTGGGCAGGAACGCAGGAGTCTCCCGCTGGACTTCAGAGCTGGAGGCAGCCGACTTGGAGCCAGTGGACTCGGGGAACCTCCTGCGGGTGGGGCAGGGCGAGGGCGGCGGGGGGCGCAGGGGGTGCAGCAATGAGGCACCCACCCGGGGCAGTGAAGCCAGCCTGGCAGGGCTGAGGGCACCGAAACACAGGCCCGAGGTGTCTGTGCTACAGCGGGGACGGCCCCCAAGTGCCACCCCCCATCGGAAAGGTGGAGAAACTGAGTTGCAGGGGGCATTGCCCAGGGGAGACCGGTCACAGCTCTGCAGCCTCCAGAGGTGCTGGCCCAGGGGCAGGCAGCCAACTGCTCCTCCCGCTCAGAGCTCTCCCACCCCTCCCCCACCAGAGGCCAGCGAGGGCCCCATCCCAGGAACCACTGAGTTCCATGGCTGAGGGTTCGGTGTGCTGCGCACTCCTGCAGCAGGTGCTCTGAGCCCTGTGGATCATCCCTGGAAGGAATGGCGGGGGGCTGAGGACCATGACACCTACTGGGACCCCCAGGAGGGGGATGAGTGAGGGGGTAGGTGCTCGCCAGGCTCAGGGCCCAGCATGAGCCACCCCCACACCAGTCTGGAGTAAACTCAGCTTACACTGGGGATAAGCCAGGTGCAACCCATCAGAAAACGATCTCAAGGCCAAAGGGGACCACAGCCAAATATGTGTCCCACATAGCCAAGGTTGGCATTCTTCTTAAATCCAGTCACTCAAATACCCAACCTCCTGCCTGTGCCAGACAGGACTCACCCAGGCGGCCAAGGGGCAGGCAGCCTGGCTCCTCCCTGGACCGCGGTTAACACCATCTCCCAGCTGACAGGCCCCTGCCCCTGCGTCACCGGAGACACAGGTGTCCAGCGGTAATGGGGGCAGCATCAAGTAAGTCCCAGAAAGTGGGCAGAGCCTGGGGTGAGAGCACAGGTGAGGAGTGGCAGGAATGGGATCTCTGAGCTACATCTGGAAGGAGGTGCTGTGAGTGCCCTGCTAACCAATGGGCAGGGGCAAGGAGGGTCCCGGCCCCAAGAAGGGCCTGGAGAGGTCACGGGTCCTGCTCAGGTGCCGCACCACCACTCAGACATCGGGGGCTCGTGGGAGCCACAGGAAGGGTCATAGTCTCGGAGGCAGGGTCCGGGGAGTTACCCAGAGGTGGGAAAAGTCTCCCTCTGGGTACAGGGGGTGGGACGTGGGGGGTGTTGGCCCCACCCCAGCCTCTGGGAGTCAGGGTGGGACGTCCCCCGCTGCCCTGCCCTGGAGTCACCGTGACTGGGCTATCTGGATGTTTCTCTGACAACAGTGGCCTCAGTGCCAGGCCTGACATCAAGGCTGTCTCAAGGCTGACGTGCAGGAAAGCGGCCATGTTTAGAGCCCCGGAGCCACCGAGAGCAGGGAGAACCGGCTGTGGGGCCTTGGCGCAGACCCCTCAGGGAAACCAGGCGGCCAAGCTGGGGAGGCGGGCACAGCCCACTTTGTTGGCTCCGCCGCCAAGCCCCTGCCACCCGCACCAGCCCCTCCTAGCCCCACCCAGAAGCCCCAGGGATGAGTACCCTGCACACAGGGTGCCCGCCATCTGCCGAACCCCGAGGGGCTGACGGCTGAACTGGGACTGAGTGGACAAACGAGGGAGTGAACGAGAGCAGGGAAGGAAGCTGGGGCTCGTGAAGGACAGCATGGGAGGCCAAGCGCTTGGCTTGCTGTTGAGGCCTCGAGCCCCACGGGCCATGGACACTTCTCGCACGCCGAGTGTGTGCAGGGAAACGGGCGGAGCAGCCCTGAGCAGAGGTGAGCGGCGCCCTCAGGGACGACGGGGTAGCCCCACACCGACTGCGGGTCCCGTCCACACAGGTCTGGCTAACACCTCCTACACCAGCCCAGGCCTCCAGAGGCTGAAGGACTCTCCACAGACAGGTAAGAACACAGCGGCCACTGATCCTGCCGCCCAGACCACCCAGGCCCGGTGTGCAGGAGAGAGGGGCCCGGAGCCCAGGTCACCCCCAAGACACACACATCCAACACACATATATGCACCAACATGAACACACATGCACATACACCCAACACACACACATACCCAATATACACATGCACACACACCTGACACACGCATACACATGTACATGACACATGCATGAGCACACGTCACACACACACCCAACACTCTACACAGACACACAACCCAACACACATGCACACACACCCAACACACACAACCTACACACAAACACACCTGACAAACACATGCACACACACCCAACACCCATGCACACACATCCCAGACATGCAAACATGCACACTTACAACACGCACGACTTACACATGTGCACGCACCCAACACACACACACCCTACACACACATGCACCCTATGTACACACCCTACACACCTGAGACACGCACCCAACACACACATACACACCCCGAATGCACACACATGCACTCGACACACATGCCCAGCTCACACAAACACACATGTGCATGCAACACAATCACACACACCCAACACACATGCAGGTGTATATCTCACACGCCTACACAGCCCTCCAACACACACACACCCACAATGCACACATGGACACACCTGACACGTATGCACACACCCGAGACACGCACATACGTGCACACACGTGCACACACACAACACACATACGTGTACCCACACACACGTGTGTGCACATGCCCACAGCGGTGCTGACTCCTGGCCAGGCATATACCATAGCACTCAGGTTCATCGGATGTCTGGGGTTTCCACAGCCTGGCCCCAACTCAAAAACCCTGGCCCAGGGAGACGAGTGACCTCTCTGCCTGCCCCAGCCCTGCCTGGCCAGGATGGTGGGGACACAGGGCTGTGTGAGCACTGCTCTCTCTGTAGCCCCGGACAAAGGCCAGTGCTCCACGTGGGGGGCTGGTCACTTCTCCACCTTCGACCACCACGTGTACGACTTCTCGGGGACGTGCAACTACATCTTCGCGGCCACCTGCAAGGACGCCTTCCCCACCTTCAGTGTCCAGCTGCGGCGAGGCCCAGACGGGAGCATCTCGCGGATCATCGTGGAGCTGGGGGCCTCCGTCGTCACTGTGAGCGAAGCCATCATCTCAGTCAAGGACATCGGGTAGGTCAGGTGGGCCGGGGCCCGGGGGCTCGGGGGCCGGAGGACTGAGGATCGACCACCGACTTCCCTTGCCCCACAGGGTCATCAGCCTGCCCTATACCAGCAATGGACTCCAGATCACACCCTTCGGCCAGAGCGTGCGGCTGGTGGCCAAGCAGCTGGAGCTGGAGCTGGAAGTCGTGTGGGGTCCTGACAGCCACCTCATGGTGAGGAGAGAAGGGCCAGGGTGGGCCTGGAGACCCGCAGCACGGGGGGGCAGGTGGGACTTGGGAGGGGCTGCCCTCCTTGGGGGTCCCAGCCAGCCCTCAGGCTGCCATGCAGCCAGGCCCTTCGTGCCAAGCAGTGCTGACCCCTGACCAGCAACATGAGCCAGGACTGGGTTTTGTGGGTGACTCGGCTTCTCCACTGGAAAATTAGCCTCCCATAAGAAGAGGCAGATGAGCAGGTGGGGGGATGGTGGGGGCTCTGGGTCCAGGAGCAGGAACTGAGAGCCCTCCACAGCAGATGAGGGGGCCCCTGGCCCCCGGGCCCCCAGCAGAGCCGTCTCCCGCAGGTTCTGGTGGAGCGGAAGTACATGGGTCAGATGTGCGGGCTCTGCGGGAACTTTGACGGGAAGGTGACCAACGAGTTTGTCAGTGAGGAGGGTAGGTGGGGGCAGGGCTGGGGGGCCTCTGGGGGGGCCTCTAGGTGGGGGGCAGGGCAGGGGGGCCTCTGAGGCCCAGCCCCCACGGTGCTGACCCCCATTCTGCACCCCAGGCAAGTTCCTGGAACCCCACAAGTTTGCTGCCCTCCAGAAGCTGGACGACCCCGGCGAGATCTGCACCTTCCAGGACATCCCCAGCACCCACGTCCGGCAGGCCCAGCACGTAAGCAAGGGGGCTCCAGGTGGGGCTGACCCCAGGTCTGACAGGGTCGCCGAGACCACCAAGGGCCCCCACAAGCAGCCGCATCACAGACGCCCTGCCCGACCTCCCCAGTCGTGGTGGCATGGGGTGTGGCCTTTGCCCCCATGACCCTGAGTGGCCCCCCCAGGCCCGGATCTGCACCCAGCTGCTGACCCTGGTGGCCCCTGAGTGCAGCGTGTCCAAGGAGCCCTTCGTGCTAAGCTGCCAGGCGGACGTGGCCGCAGCCCCCCAGCCAGGCCCACAGAACAGCAGTTGTGCCACCCTGTCGGAGTACTCCCGCCAGTGCAGCATGGTGGGCCAGCCGGTCCGCCGCTGGCGGAGCCCCGGCCTGTGCTGTGAGTCCAGGGAAGGGAGAGGGAGGGGCAGGAAGGCCGAGGGCTCCAGACCCAGCTCTCCCAGCCCCTGGACTGCCTGACGTGACGCCTGCATCCCTCCTGGTCTGAGAGACAGGAGATCCTCGCTGCTGCTTCTAGATGGAGGAAGGGCTGGGCTAAGTCCTCCATCAAGCTGGGGTGGGGCAGGGAGGGGTGGGGGGGGTGGGACCCTCTCACCGGAGCCGCGTGTGCCCACAGCCGTGGGTCAGTGCCCGGCCAACCAGGTGTACCAGGAGTGCGGCTCGGCCTGCGTGAAGACCTGCTCCAACCCGCAGCACAGCTGCTCCAGCTCCTGCACCTTCGGGTGCTTCTGCCCGGAAGGTGAGGGCAGTCGCAGG
Organism: Homo sapiens; assembly: GCF_000001405.40. Taxonomy (NCBI): domain Eukaryota; kingdom Metazoa; phylum Chordata; class Mammalia; order Primates; family Hominidae; genus Homo; species Homo sapiens. The sequence continues at coordinate 1,030,195 of NC_000011.10, read as the reverse complement.
CACTCTCTCTCCCCGGGACCCCTAGAGAGAACCCAGAGACAAGGGGACGTCAGACCCCACCCACCCCGACCCAGGTCACCCCAACATTCTGCTGCCTGAGTCCCAGCTCTGGCGCCTCTTGCCCTGGGACAGGCTTTTCCCGCCTGGACGCTTACAGCCTGCAGGTCCCCCAGCCACGGCCACCCCTGCAAACCCACGGGCGGTGAGGGCTGCTCACTGCGGTCTAGGAGCTGCCGAGGGAAGGCAGGGTTTGAGCCGGGCCCAAGGGACAGTTACACGTCCCTGCCTGCTGGAGGCCACCACTCACCAGGAACCTGGGCCGGGCACATTGGCACGAGGGGCTGTGCACGCCCAGGGCCTGACATAGAGTTGCGAATGCAAGTGCAGCTGGAGAGAGGTCATGGCCCAGGCTAGAGGGGGCGTCTCCCTGGAGCCAGGCTGGAGGGGCGTCTCCCTGGAGCCAGGCTGGAGGGGGCGTCTCCCTGGAGCCAGGCTGGAGGGGGCGTCTCCCTGGAGCCAGGGAGGGGAGAGTGGGAGGCAGTCAGTCCCACCCAAGCCCCAAGAAGACCCTCTCCTGCAGGTACGGTCCTGAATGACCTCTCCAATAACCACACCTGCGTGCCCGTCACCCAGTGCCCCTGTGTGCTCCACGGCGCCATGTATGCCCCCGGGGAGGTCACAATAGCTGCCTGCCAAACCTGGTGAGTGAGGCGCCGGAGGGGGCTCTGGCCGGCCGGCAGGGGTTCCACTGGCCTAGGGCAGGCAGGGGTGTGCTGTCTGGCTCCAGCGGCCCTGCCCACCATGCCGCTACCCCCACGCCCACCCACAGCCGGTGCACCCTGGGCCGCTGGGTGTGCACGGAGCGGCCGTGCCCCGGACACTGCTCCCTGGAAGGTGGCTCCTTTGTTACCACATTTGACGCCAGGCCCTACCGCTTCCACGGCACCTGCACCTACATCCTCCTCCAGGTAGGACGAGCCCTGTGGCCCGTGGGGAGGGGCGCTCCCGGTGACCCCACCCGTGTCTGAGCCCCGCCCCCTCGCAGAGCCCCCAGCTTCCCGAGGACGGTGCCCTCATGGCTGTGTACGACAAGTCCGGCGTCTCACACTCCGAGACCTCCCTGGTGGCTGTGGTCTACCTCTCCAGGCAGGTAAGGCCTTTCCTGCGCCCATCCCTGCCAGCAGGGCTCCGCTCCCTGGTGCCTGCACCCTGACTCAGGCCACCCTCTCTCCAGGACAAAATTGTGATCTCTCAGGACGAGGTGGTCACCAACAACGGAGAAGCCAAGTGGCTGCCATACAAGACTCGTACGTCCTGGCCCAGTCTGTGGCCCCCCAGAGTTGTGCCTTCGGGGCGGGCTGCAGTGGGTGGGGAGGGAGCCCAGACGGCCCACTGAGCACTGCGTCCTGCAGGCAACATCACGGTCTTCAGGCAGACGTCCACCCACCTCCAGATGGCCACCAGCTTCGGGCTGGAGCTCGTGGTCCAGCTGCGCCCCATCTTCCAGGCCTATGTCACTGTTGGGCCCCAGTTCAGAGGTCAGACCAGAGGTGAGTCCCTGCCTCTCCAGGTGGCCCTGTTGCCTCATCCCTACAGGGTCTGGCCATGACCAGGGGAGGAGAAAGGTCCAAGAGAGGTTCACACAACCCTCTGTGTCCGGGGAGCCCCCAGGGGTAACAGGCACGTGTGGCCCACGCAGCCTCTCACCCAGGGTGCTGTTAGAGGAAGGACGGGAGCTCCAGGGCGTGTGGGCAGGAATGGGTGCAGGAGGGATGGGTTCAAGTCGAGCTCACGCCCCGCCGGCTCAGGGCTCTGCGGCAACTTCAACGGGGACACAACGGATGACTTCACCACTAGCATGGGTATCGCCGAGGGCACCGCCTCGCTGTTTGTGGACTCCTGGCGGGCGGGGAACTGTCCGGCCGCTCTGGAGCGTGAGACTGACCCCTGCTCCATGAGCCAGCTCAACAGTGAGTGTCCGGCCCCCCACTCCCCTGGCTGCCCCCCCAGCGCCCACAGTTCTGACAGACCCCTGGACTGGACCACAGGCCCAGCTGCCAGGGTGGGGGGTCCCTGGGAGGAGCCGTAGCTGGAATGGGAGGGGCCGGGACTCACGCCCGGGCCTGTCATCCCCAGAGGTGTGTGCAGAGACCCACTGCTCCATGCTGCTGAGGACAGGCACGGTGTTCGAGAGGTGCCACGCCACAGTGAACCCTGCACCCTTCTACAAGGTGAGGGCCCGAGGGCGTCTTGGGAGGGCTGCAGGGGAGGCTGTGGTGGCTGACAAGGTCTCAGGCACCCAAGGGCATAGGTTTGGGACCCCCATGTCCCCAGGGCAGGGTGCCTGCCACCAGCCCATGCTGGCTCTCTGCCCGCAGAGGTGCGTGTACCAGGCCTGCAACTACGAGGAGACCTTTCCCCACATCTGTGCCGCCCTGGGCGACTACGTACACGCCTGCTCCTTGCGGGGCGTCCTGCTCTGGGGCTGGAGAAGCAGTGTGGACAACTGCAGTGAGTGCCCGACGGGGCTTAAGCGGGGTCACGGCAGGCTGGGCTCACGAGGGGGTGTCCTGGGACCCCAAGCTCTGAGGCTCTGCAGTGCCCGGCAGGCAGGGGAACCCGAGATTGCCCTCCCGGCCGCCCCCTCCCGGAGAGTCTGATGCCCGGGTCCCCCACAGCCATCCCCTGCACGGGTAACACCACCTTCAGCTACAACAGCCAAGCCTGTGAGCGCACCTGCCTGTCGCTGTCGGACCGTGCCACCGAGTGCCACCACAGCGCCGTGCCCGTGGACGGTTGCAACTGCCCCGATGGCACCTACCTGAACCAAAAGGGCGAGTGTGTGCGCAAGGCCCAGTGCCCGTGCATACTGGAGGGTTACAAGTTCATCCTGGCCGAGCAGTCCACTGTCATCAACGGCATCACCTGGTGAGGGACCGGGCAGGGGCCAGGCGGGGGGTCCCTGCCAGGTCCCGGGGTCTCACGCAGCCTCTCTCTTGCAGCCACTGCATCAACGGGCGGCTGAGTTGCCCGCAGCGGCCACAGATGTTCCTGGGTACGTACAGCAGCGCTGGCCGCAGGCTGGGACTGTGAGGGGCCCCGGCTTCCTCTGAGTGTCCTGACCGCGCACCCCTCTTTCCTGCAGCCTCCTGCCAGGCCCCTAAGACCTTCAAGTCCTGCAGCCAGTCCTCCGAGAACAAGTTTGGGGCAGCCTGTGCCCCCACATGCCAGATGCTGGCCACCGGTGTTGCCTGCGTAAGGGGGCGCGCGAGGAGCAGGGACAATGCCCGGGCCCCAGCTGAACCATGAGGGGGTTTCCACAGAACTCCGGGAGACCTGGCCGCATTCTGCCCTGCAGCGGGTGCCTGGGGCTGGCCACGAGGTGGAAGCGGCCCTGTGGCCAGGCAGCTGGAGGCCCCGGGGGCTCGTCTGCAGGGCTCCCTAAGGACAGTGGGCACCAGCTCGGGGAGGGTGGGCTGCCCATGTGTGGGAGTGGGTACAGCAGCCCAGCCGTGTGCACTGGGTCCCAGGACCTTCCACGAGGTGGGGGAAGCTTTGCTAAGGCAGTAAGCCCAGCTGCCCACAAAGGCCACAGAGCAGGGCTGTATTCAGGGAGAGGACCTGGGAGACACGCCGGGCAGTCTCAGAGGGGCCCAGGGCTGGGCAGCAGCTGGCTGAGGCCACCCTCCCAGGAGCTGCTGACCTGCCTCCCTCCAGGTGCCCACCAAGTGTGAGCCTGGCTGTGTCTGCGCCGAGGGCCTCTACGAGAATGCCGACGGGCAGTGTGTGCCCCCCGAGGAGTGCCCATGTGAGTTCTCGGGGGTCTCCTACCCTGGAGGAGCTGAGCTCCACACTGACTGCAGGACCTGGTGAGACAAAGCCTCGCTTCAGACGCCCTGGGCTCCTGGGGCCATCTGGGGCAGGCGGAGGCTGCCCGGGGTGGGGCTGTCCCAGAGGCGGGGGCGTCCAGAGGTGCAGTCTGGCCTCTCCAGGGACCACACCCAGTATGGCAGGAGGGCCGCAGGCCCACCACCCACACCTGCTGTCTCCACAGCTCCTGCTCAAGGGGGAGGTGGGCCTGTCAGCAGGGCACCCACTGCCCATCCACCTGCACCCTCTACGGGGAGGGCCACGTCATCACCTTCGACGGCCAGCGCTTCGTATTCGACGGCAACTGCGAGTACATCCTGGCCACGGTAACCATCGGGTGCCAGGCCGCAGGGGCCGGGGACCCAGAGGCACGGCCTCCAGGGCTCCTCCTCAGCGCCCTCTCCCTGCAGGACGTCTGTGGTGTCAACGACTCACAGCCCACCTTCAAGATCCTGACAGAGAACGTCATCTGTGGGAACTCCGGGGTCACATGCTCACGGGCCATCAAGATCTTCCTGGGGGTGAGCAGCCGGGCAGACTCTGGCAGGGCAGGACGGGCGGTAGGGGGCCCTGCCACACAGCTGGATCCCGCGCACTGGAGCCTCCAGGTCCTGCCCCGAGATGCAGCCCTCCCCGCCTGCCTCTCCTTGAGGGGTGCCTGCTGCCCCTCCCTGGCCAGACGCTCAGGACCACGGGTGCTTGTGCCCCACAAGGTTTCAGGGACTGCAGAATGTCTCCCGGGCAGAGGGGAGGGACTCTCCAGGAAGCCCGAGCTTCAGCCCTCAGCCCTGTTCCAGGCATGCCAGGCCCTTCTGCCCCAAGCTGGCTCTCAGCAGGCGCTCCTGTGCATGGCCTTAACAGACCTGGGCAGCTCTGTCTCTGAGAGCTCGGTCCAGCACGGCTGTGCCAGGGGCCGGGGGAGACAGACAGGCAGTCCTATGCCAACCCCACCCCACAGGGCCTGTCCGTGGTGCTGGCGGACAGAAACTACACGGTCACCGGGGAGGAGCCCCACGTGCAGCTCGGGGTGACGCCGGGTGCGCTGAGCCTTGTCGTGGACATCAGCATCCCCGGGAGGTACAACCTGACGCTCATCTGGAACAGGCACATGACCATCCTCATCAGGATCGCCCGTGCCTCCCAGGTACCGCACGCCCTCTGCCTCCTCCCAGGCCCTCCCTGATGCAGGGGTGGAGACAGATGGCACGGCCCCTGGGCCCGGCCTGATGCCACCGTCTGCAGGATCCCCTCTGCGGCTTGTGTGGCAACTTCAACGGGAACATGAAGGACGACTTCGAGACGCGCAGCAGGTACGTGGCATCCAGCGAGCTGGAGTTGGTGAACTCGTGGAAGGAGAGCCCGCTGTGCGGGGACGTGAGCTTCGTGACAGACCCCTGCAGTCTCAATGCCTTCCGGCGCTCCTGGGCCGAGCGCAAGTGCAGCGTCATCAACAGCCAGACCTTTGCCACCTGCCACAGCAAGGTGGGCACCGGGCACGAGGGCTGTGCGCCTGCCCCTCCACAAATGTCCGGTGGGGGCGGGGGAAGGGGCGGGGAAGCCAGGCACGGTTCTCCCTCCGTGGGATCCCAGACCAGCCAGGTCAGGGTGCAGAGAGTTTCAGACCCTCTGCCTGAGTGCAGGGCCCTGATGTGGGGCCGACTCGTGCACTGTGGCTGTTAAGCAGCCCCCCGGCCTCCACCCACCAGATGCCAATAGCACCCCCAGACAGTGCCACGAGTCCCCTGGGGCAGCATCGCCTGGTGGGCCCCCTGCTCAGGAGCTGGTGGTCAGGGAGACCTCCAGGATGCAGGGCGTGCACTTCCCAGCCCAGGGCGTGATCCGGCCATCGCGGCGCAGTAAGAACTGAGAGGATGGGGGCACCCCGCGGGGGAACAGCATGGCACTGGCCCGCTGAATGTGAGCGTGACGTGGGGGGAGCAGAGACCCTGGGTGGGACTGCAGTGGCCGTGGTTAGCGGCAGCGGCATCTTGGTCCCGATGGCGGGTCTCAAGGCGTGAGCTCGGGTCAGGCCTCCGTGGCAGCATCGGCTCCGGGAGCGTGGCTAGCGGTCAGGGCTGAGGTCCACGTGGTGCCGCTCACCCAGTCCCAGCGCCCTTACCGCCACACTCCGGCCTGACCACACTGAGGGCCCTGCAGGTGGCAAAGCCTGATGCCCCGCCATCCCCCGGCAGCCAGACACTGACTGGCACACACCCCTGCAGGTATACCACCTGCCCTACTACGAGGCCTGCGTGCGCGACGCATGTGGGTGTGACAGTGGCGGGGACTGTGAGTGTCTGTGCGATGCCGTGGCTGCCTACGCCCAAGCCTGTCTGGACAAGGGTGTGTGCGTGGACTGGAGGACCCCGGCCTTCTGCCGTGAGTGACCACCCCTCCCACAGGTTGCTCCAGCCCCTGCCACCCAGCGCCACTAAGGGCCGGCGCAGGGCTGCCCTTGCCCACAGGCCCCTCTCCCTGGACAGGCGCCGGGCTGTGCCCTGCGGGGCCACCCTGGCCCTCCCGCAGCCCCCAGCTGCCCAGGGGAGGCTTCACCAAGAGGGCCCAGACCTTCCCCGCCCACACTCAGGTTCCATGCATGCCCAGGGGAACCACCGGGTCAGGGCCAGGGCCAGGGCCAGGAACCCCACCAGCTGACAGCTCCCTTCCTCCCAGCCATCTACTGCGGCTTCTACAACACGCACACGCAGGACGGCCATGGCGAGTACCAGTACACACAGGAGGCCAACTGCACGTGGCACTACCAGCCCTGCCTCTGCCCCAGCCAGCCACAGAGCGTCCCAGGCAGCAACATCGAAGGTGCCAGGTGACCGGGAGGCAACGCAGATACACAGGGGGACCCATTCACTCATTCATGCACATTCATTCATTCACACGCATTCATTCATTCACACATTCATTCATGCTCATTAATTCACACATTCATTAATTTGCACACATTCATTCACACACACTCACGCACATTCACATTCATTCATGCAGATTCATGCATTCATTCACGCATATTCATTCATTCACGCACATTTGTTCATCCACTCACACACACTCATGCACATTCATTCACACATTCATTCACGCAGTCACTACACACACATTCATTCATGCTCATTCACGCAGTCACATTCCCGCAGATTCATGCACATTCATTCACGCACATTCACTCACGCACATTCACGCACACTCATGCACATTCACTCCATTCATCCATTCATTCACCCACACACACTCATTCAACATATTCACGCTCATTCACATTCATTCACGCACATTCACTCAACACATTCACATTCATTCATGCTCATTCACACATTTACTCACCCACATTCATGCACATTCACGCACTCATGCATTCATTTACGCACATTTGTTCACTCACGCACATTCACTCATGCACATTCACGCACATTCATTCAACATTCACTCACGCACATTCACCCATGCACATTCATTCACACATATTCATTCATTCATTCATGTTTGCTTATTCATTCATGCACATTCGCTCATACACACACGCACATTCATGCATTCATTTGCACATTCATTCTTTCACACACACAGTCACTCAGCAGATGGGTCCTGAGCACCTCTGTCCTCCAGGCCGGCTCCAGGTCAGGGGACCTGGCCTTACACAAAACAAACAGTCCTGCAACCTGGAGCTTCCCTCCCAGCCAGGGAGAGGTGCTTAAGGAGGCAGACCCAGTGTCGGCCGAGGCGCCCACCATGGAGAGGAGAAAGGCAGGCTGGGGTGGGAGAGCCACAGGCTTCTGTGCCACACAGGGTGGTTGGGGCCCTTGGTGGGAGGCAGATGTGAGGGCGAGGATGGGAAAGGTGAGGAGGGGAGCCAGGAAAGTGTCCAGAGGAGCAGCCAGGAGCAGCCTTGTGCCCAGAACCCTTAAGAAAGCCAGGGCAGCGGGCAGAGCCAGCGAGTGAGGGGCGCGGGCTGCAGAGGGCAGAGGGAGCGGTGGAGGGGTGCGGGGCTGTAGAGGGCAGATGGAGTGAGTGAGGGGCGCGGGGCTGTAGAGGGCAGAAGGAGCGAGTGGGGCGCGGGGCTGCAGAGGGCAGAGCAAGCGAGTGAGGGGCACAGGGCTGCAGAGGGCAGAGGGAGTGAGTGAGGGGCGCGGGGCTGTAGAGGGCAGAGGGAGCGAGTGAGGGGCGTGGGCTGCAGAGGGCAGAGCGAGTGAGGGGCGCGGGGCTGCAGAGGGCAGAGGGAGCGAGTGAGAGGCGCGGGGCTGCAGAGGGCAGAGGGAGCGAGTGAGGGGCACCGGGCTGCAGAGGGGTGTGGGGTACACAGACTTGTGGGGTGGGGTGTGGCCGGGAGGGAGGGGTCTTTGTGAGGCCTGTGGCTGCCCCAAGGCAGAGGTCTGAATGCAGAGGGTCCTGGGATTAACAGGTCCTGGCCCAAGTGGTGGAGGAGGGTGGTGTCTGGAGCCATCCGGACACACAGAGGACAGATGTGTTGGGGCTCAGGAGGGCAATGCAGGGCACCTGCATCGGGGAGCACAGAAGAGGGGCCAGTGTCTGAGGTCCAGGGGGAGGTGAGGACTGGAAGATGGCACCGAAGCCCCAGCCCCGGGTGATAAGCAGGGTATGAGAGACCAAGGCCTGAGGAAGGCATGGCAGGAAAGGAGGGGCTTAGAGCAAGGTGCGCGGGTGAAACTGTAATCCCAGCACTCTGGGAGGCCGAGGCAGGAAGATCACCTCAGGTCAAGAGTTTGAGACCAGCCTGGCCAACGTGGCGAAGCCCCATCACTACTAAAAATACAAAAATTAGCCGGGCGTCATGGCACATGCCTGCAATCGCAGCTACCTGGGAGGCTGGGGCAGGAGAATCATGTGAATCCAGGAGGCAGAGGTTGCAGTGAGCGAAGATTGTGCCACTGCACTCCAGCCTGGGCGACAGAGCGAGACTCTGTCTCAAAAAAAAAAAAAAAAAAAAGCAGAGAGGAAGGAGGCCGCCAGGGCAGGAAACACGCAGGTGGGCCTGGCTGGCCACCAGTCACACAGACCCTGGCCGTTCTCCACCCTAGGCTGCTACAACTGCTCCCAGGATGAGTACTTCGACCACGAGGAGGGGGTGTGCGTGCCCTGCAGTAAGTCCAGTCGGCTGCCCTGAGAACCCTGCCCCTGCCTGCATGCAGGCAGAACGCACGTCCACATCCCACAAACAAGGGAGAGAGCCCTCGGGGGCTGTGAGCCCTTACGTGAGCTCTGGGACTCCACTCTCCAGGACCCTGGCCCCTTGGGTCTCCAGAGACTCAGGCAGCCTCCAGCCCATGGCAGCAGAGAGAAAAAAACACAGCACTGAACCCCACTGGGCCCTCCCATCCCCTCTTCCACCAGCTCCCAGCTCCCCCTACCCTCACCAGGCCTGCCAGGGTGCCTGGGGTATAGAGTGGGAATCATCCTGGGAAGGAGAAAGGGAGAGAGGGGAGGGTGGGCTCCCAGCCCCTCCAGTCCCCTCCACCACAGCCTTGGTGAGCATCTCTGACTCAGGCCCTCGGAGCTCCCAGAGGCCCCACGGGGTGGGGAGGCTTAGAGAACCACAGGGAGCTGACCCCATCTTCTTGCAGTGCCGCCCACCACGCCGCAGCCACCCACCACGCCGCAGCTGCCCACCACAGGTAATTGCACGCACACTAGGTGCCAAGGTGACGCAGGCCCTTTCCTGGGCTCCCCTCGGTTCCCTGGACAAATCTGTCGGGTGGGAAGCAGGGAGGGGGCAGGCAGTACCTGTGCCCTTCTCAGGTCTAACCTGGCAATCAGAGTTGGGGAGGAGCTCAGCCCACAGCCAGGAAGCAGCCTGGTCCCCATGGCCCTGGCTGGACCCACGGATGAGCACAGAGTGGGGCCTCAACAGGTGACCCCCGCCATGCAGGAGGCCCAGCCAGGAGCCAGGCTGCACTCAGAGTGCCACAGGCCAGCCCTCAACTGCACATCATTGGCCCCTGCAGGGCTGCCCGGCTTCAGGGCCAAGCAGGCAGAGGGGAGGGTGCTCCCCAAGGATATGCCGGTACCCTGCAGCCCTGATGGCATGTCCGCCCACCCAGGCTCACGGCCCACGCAAGTCTGGCCCATGACGGGAACCTCCACCACCATCGGGCTTCTCAGCTCCACCGGACCCTCACCCAGCTCTAATCACACCCCTGCCAGCCCCACCCAGACACCCCTCCTTCCAGCCACGCTCACATCCTCCAAGCCCACAGCCTCCTCGGGAGGTAAGGAGCCTCCAGCTGAGCCCATGGAGAGGGCAGCTGCAGGAGGTCCTAGGTACACCTCTGGGGTGGGCTTAGGGATGGCCCTGCTTCCTGGCTCACATCTGCCACTAAGCAGATTCCCAGCGTAGAACTTCCTATGCTTGGGAGCCAAACTGGGGATTTTTCGGAAAAACTTTTAAAGACAAGCTGGTCATGGCATGGGGCATTCCTTGCTGCTGGCTGCTGTCACTAGAAACCGTGTGGGACCTGCAGGGCCTCTGCCAGGCAGCCTGCCCCTGCCCCACACCGAGCAGGGCCCCATCTGCTGCCCAGGGACCCTGGAGGGGACAGGACGACAGTCCGTTCAGCTAAGCAAGGGTGGGCGCAGGAGCAGCCGCAGCCCCATAAGCATGTGGTCACTGCCCCAGCTCTGGCCACCACAGCCAGGAGTACGGTGGGAGGACCTAACAAAGGCAAGAGGAAGAGCCCCTCCAAGGAGGCTGAGTCCCGGACAGCAGGCCAGGGATCCCAGAAGCAGGGCAGGGGGCTGGGACACAAGCCTTCGAAATGCAGGCCCACAGCAAGGGGATGTTCCGGGCGGCTGTCCTCTGCAGAACCACCTAGACCAACCACGGCCGTCACCCCACAAGCCACATCAGGGCTGCCTCCCACAGCCACACTGAGATCGACAGCCACAAAACCCACAGTGACCCAGGCCACAACCAGGGCCACGGCGTCGACCGCCAGCCCAGCCACGACGTCCACAGCTCAGTCCACAACACGGACCACAATGACACTACCAACCCCAGCCACATCAGGGACAAGCCCCACGCTGCGTAAGTCATGGCGCCATGGGATGCCAGCACTGCCGAAGGCACCCGGTCCCACCACCAGCTCACATTCAGTGATTCAGCCATAAAGAAGACCCCGTATTTCCCAGAGGGCAAGCGAGAAGGCAGCCCAAAAGTGTAGGCTGGAGCTGGAGGCAAGGAAGGCCGCCTGGCACTCACAAAGGCAGGCCTGGGGAGCAGAGGTGCAGGAGGGTGGGGGCCACCACCACGGCCACAGGGAACCAGAAGGGGATAAAGTAGGGCCTGGGTTCCAGTCACAGAGCGGCAGCTGCACTGAAGGAGTCAGCACGCAGCTCAGGGCAGGATGTGGAGCAAGTCCAGGTGAGATGGAGACAATGGGGCAGGCTGGAGTGCCCAGCAGGGGCCATGTCACAGGAACAGAGGCACAGACAGGCAAGAAAAAGGTCACATAGACAAAAGGACGGGCCAGCGGAGGTCAGGGTAGAGAAACAAAAACAATAACGATGACAACTTCACCAATTCCCACAGCAAAATCGACCAATCAGGAACTGCCAGGAACAACGGCCACCCAGACGACAGGCCCACGTCCAACCCCAGCAAGCACCACAGGCCCAACCACCCCACAGCCAGGACAACCCACGAGGCCCACAGCCACAGAGACCACTCAAACAAGAACGACTACTGAATACACAACGCCCCAAACCCCACACACCACACACTCCCCGCCTACGGCGGGGAGTCCCGTCCCTTCCACAGGTCCTGTCACTGCAACATCTTTCCATGCCACCACTACCTATCCAACCCCATCACACCCTGAGACCACACTTCCCACTCACGTTCCACCTTTCTCCACCTCCTTGGTGACTCCAAGTACTCACACAGTCATCACCCCTACCCACGCACAGATGGCCACATCTGCCTCCAACCACTCAGCGCCAACAGGTACCATTCCTCCACCAACAACGCTCAAGGCCACAGGGTCCACCCACACAGCCCCACCAATAACGCCGACCACCAGTGGGACCAGCCAAGCCCACAGCTCATTCAGCACAAACAAAACACCTACCTCGCTACATTCACACACTTCCTCCACACACCATCCTGAAGTCACCCCAACTTCTACTACCACGATTACTCCCAACCCCACTAGTACACGCACCAGAACCCCTGTGGCCCACACCAACTCAGCCACCAGCAGCAGGCCACCACCACCCTTCACCACACACTCCCCACCTACAGGGAGCAGTCCCTTCTCTTCCACAGGTCCCATGACGGCAACATCCTTCAAGACCACCACTACCTATCCAACCCCATCACACCCTCAGACCACACTTCCCACTCACGTTCCACCTTTCTCCACCTCTTTGGTGACTCCAAGTACTCACACAGTCATCACCCCTACCCATGCACAGATGGCCACTTCTGCCTCCATCCACTCAATGCCAACAGGCACGATTCCTCCACCGACAACGCTCAAGGCCACAGGGTCCACCCACACAGCGCCAACAATGACGCTGACCACCAGCGGGACCAGCCAAGCCCTGAGCTCATTAAACACAGCCAAAACCTCTACATCCCTACATTCACACACTTCCTCCACACACCATGCTGAAGCCACCTCAACTTCTACCACCAACATCACCCCCAACCCCACCAGTACAGGAACCCCACCAATGACAGTGACCACCAGTGGGACCAGCCAATCCCGAAGCTCATTTAGCACGGCCAAAACCTCTACATCCCTACATTCACACACTTCCTCCACACACCATCCTGAAGTCACCTCAACTTCTACCACCAGCATCACCCCCAACCACACCAGTACAGGCACCAGAACCCCTGTGGCCCACACCACGTCGGCCACCAGCAGCAGGCTACCCACACCCTTCACCACACACTCCCCACCTACAGGGACCACTCCCATCTCTTCCACAGGTCCTGTCACTGCAACATCCTTCCAGACCACCACTACCTATCCAACCCCATCACACCCTCACACCACACTTCCCACTCACGTTCCATCTTTCTCCACCTCCTTGGTGACTCCAAGTACTCACACGGTCATCATCCCTACCCACACACAGATGGCCACTTCTGCCTCCATCCACTCAATGCCAACAGGCACCATTCCTCCACCGACCACGATCAAGGCCACAGGGTCCACCCACACAGCCCCACCAATGACACCGACCACCAGTGGGACCAGCCAATCCCCAAGCTCATTTAGCACGGCCAAAACTTCTACATCCCTACCTTACCACACTTCCTCAACACACCATCCTGAAGTCACCCCAACTTCTACCACCAACATCACCCCCAAACACACCAGTACAGGCACCAGAACCCCTGTGGCCCACACCACCTCGGCCAGCAGCAGCAGGCTACCCACACCCTTCACCACACACTCCCCACCTACAGGGAGCAGTCCCTTCTCTTCCACAGGTCCTATGACTGCAACATCCTTCCAGACCACCACTACCTATCCAACCCCATCACACCCTCAGACCACACTTCCCACTCACGTTCCACCTTTCTCCACCTCCTTGGTGACTCCAAGTACTCACACAGTCATCATCACTACCCACACACAGATGGCCACTTCTGCCTCCATCCACTCAACGCCAACAGGCACCGTTCCTCCACCAACAACGCTCAAGGCCACAGGGTCCACCCACACAGCCCCACCAATGACAGTGACCACCAGTGGGACCAGCCAAACCCACAGCTCATTCAGCACAGCTACAGCCTCTTCTTCCTTCATATCCTCCTCGTCTTGGCTGCCTCAGAACTCTAGCTCAAGGCCACCGTCATCACCTATCACCACACAACTCCCCCACTTGAGTTCTGCAACCACTCCTGTTTCCACAACTAATCAGCTGTCCTCCTCATTTTCTCCCAGTCCTTCTGCCCCCTCTACTGTTTCTTCTTATGTGCCCTCCTCCCACTCCTCTCCCCAGACTTCATCGCCTTCTGTTGGCACATCTTCCTCTTTCGTGTCCGCCCCCGTGCACTCCACAACCCTGAGCTCGGGGTCACACTCCTCATTGTCCACTCATCCCACGACTGCATCAGTGTCTGCATCTCCTCTTTTTCCTTCTTCTCCAGCTGCCTCTACTACCATTAGGGCCACTCTCCCCCACACTATCTCCTCTCCTTTCACCCTCTCTGCTCTACTCCCCATATCCACTGTTACCGTGTCTCCCACCCCATCCAGCCACCTAGCCTCCAGCACCATTGCATTTCCGTCCACGCCCAGGACCACGGCCAGCACCCACACCGCCCCTGCCTTCTCCTCTCAGTCCACCACCTCGCGGTCCACTTCTCTCACCACCCGAGTTCCCACATCAGGCTTTGTGTCACTCACCTCGGGGGTGACGGGTATCCCCACCTCTCCAGTCACCAACCTTACCACCAGGCACCCTGGTCCCACCTTGTCGCCTACCACACGGTTCCTGACCAGCTCCCTCACTGCCCATGGAAGCACCCCTGCTTCTGCCCCGGTATCTTCTCTCGGGACACCTACGCCCACCTCACCCGGTAAGTGGCATCTCTGTGGCCCTTCTCCTGGCCTCACCTCTGTGCTCATGACTCCCAGGCAGCCCCTGCCTCAGCTTACCCCTCATGGTCCTGTGATCCCAGGACCACACGCCTGTTCCCTGCCTTCCCTACACACCTGCCAGGCGTTTCCACTCTCCTCTCCTGGGCACCCTCTATGCCAACGCTGTCCTGGCCAAGCAAGTGCCTGGCCTCCCCGTTGGGCCTTGTTCCCCAGCTAACCTTGACCTTTCCCTGCACTGGCTCACTCATGCCCGGTCACTGCTGCACTCCTGGCCTCCCCTCAGAGTGTTACCTGCCAAAAGCCTTCCCTGGCTGCCCCTTTGGTTGCTCAGAGGATGTCAGGGCTGGCCCAACCCCAGGGTTCAAGCAGCACAGCCCTTCCTCCAAGTGCAGAGAGAGACACAAAAGTCTGGCACATCCCCTGCCTCGCCCCAAAGGACCTGTTGAAGGTGGAGCTGGACCTGGCAACCAGGGCACCTGCTCCTTCGTGCTCATGCCAATTCTCTGGGCCACGGTCTCTTCCCGGCCCATGCCTGTGAGCGAGTCCACTGCTCCCCAGGCCATGGGATGCCTGGGGACAGAGCACACCTCAGGCCTTATCCATGTCCACCTCACCTCACCTCGCGTTCCAGGGATGTCCCTCCCTTCCCTCCTGGGTGTTCCTCTCACAGCAACCACCCAGGGACTGGGTCCCTCGCATGCATCGACCTCCACCAGGCGACAACGCCACAGTTGCCTTCGTGGTCTCTCACGTGGGTGGCAGCTCGTTGCTGCAAGCTGAGGGAATCTTGGTTCGGGTCCCTCCCTGAGACCGGGACTTGGGTGCAAGGTGTAACCAGGGAGGTGACCCCAAGAAGCAGAGGCGAGGGAGCAGGAACCAGCTGGGAGGGGAGGGCAGCTGGGGACGGCAGGGCCTATGGAAGCACCCAGAGTCCTGACCCTCCCGGAGAAAGCCCTCTGCAGCGGGCAGGTAGGCTCCAGGTGACCTGTCTTCTCTGCAGCCAGGAAACGAAGCTGGGAGCAGCCAGGGGAGGGCACACGGGCAGCAGAGTCCAGCCTTTACCCCAGGACTCCTTTTCCACTTTTAAACCCACGCTCTCCAGTGGCGGTTTCTAATGCCAACGCTGCCACTGCCTGCATCGGTCCACCCTGCTCTGTGCTGCCTGCCACGTACCCAGGCCTCTCGCTGAGGCTGGCTGTCTCTGGGCCTTCCCCGCGGGCCCCCACCCCGCCCCTTCCAGGAGCCCAGACCACGGGGCCTGCTCCACTTCCCTCCTCCCCAGCTGGGGCACACGGAGCTCCTGCAACACCATATGTCCCGCTCTGGGGTCACTGGCACGGTGTCCTCGGCCCCCCTGCAGGTCCTGGGTCTGGCCAACCAGAGAGGCCCATGCCCACAGGTCAGTGTTGAGGCCTGGGGTTGGTCATCAGGGAAGCTGGGGCCCAAGGGTGGCTCACACAGGCCCAGGGCTCAGTATCTGCTGAGTCCGCTGAGAAAATTCTCTACCTTATGGACTCCAGCAGAGCGACTTTGAGGGGAAAAAACAAACTAGGATGCGGCTGGCCTTTGCCTTTGTGTATGGCTGAGGTCTGAGCTCTGTGGGGCTCCACAAGGGGAGACCACACCTTGGGCAGGAGAGTCCAGAGACAGGTGGGGACCCCGGTCTCTAGCCAGGGTTTCCCTCCCTCCTCGCTCCATGCCCACCCTGGGCGCTGCTGACCGTCCACTCGGCTACCAGGGGTCTGCAGTGTGCGGGAGCAGCAGGAGGAGATCACGTTCAAGGGGTGCATGGCGAACGTGACGGTAACCCGCTGTGAGGGCGCCTGCATTTCCGCTGCCAGGTGAGTCCACAGGTGGGAGGCCTGCCCCACGTCCACCAAGGTGCTCACAACCCCACCCCAGAGAGGTTCGGGCACCCCACCCAGGCGCCTGCTGCCCCATCAGGTGAGCCACTCTGCGCTCCATCTGCCCAACACCGCCCTGGCCCCTGTGAGCCGGGAGCTCAGCGGGGAGGTCCAGGCCTCTGCGGAGCAGCTGCCCTGGGGAGGGAGGGGCCTTATGCCCCTGCAGCAGTCATGACCCTGCTCTGTCTTGACTTCTCGGCAGCTTCAACATCATCACCCAGCAGGTGGATGCCCGCTGCAGCTGCTGCCGCCCCCTCCACTCCTATGAGCAGCAGCTGGAGCTGCCCTGCCCCGATCCCAGCACGCCTGGCCGGCGGCTCGTACTCACCCTGCAGGTGTTCAGCCACTGCGTGTGCAGCTCTGTGGCCTGTGGAGACTAGCAGGGTCGCTGCCTGCTCTCCTGGGGCTGAAGGACTGCAGATGACAGACAGGAAAACACCCACCAGCCCCCTTCCCGCTTGTGCCAGCAGCTGCTTTCCTGGTCACCAGGCCTGGCCCCCAAGTGCCCTGGGCCGTGGCTCCCTGGGGCACCGGTTGGAGAGGGGCTGCCAAGCAGGGGCTCAGACTACCACACTCCTGCAGACCCTGAGCCAGCAGAGAGGGACTGAGGCGGACAGTGGTCACGGACCTCCCAGGCACACAGGGCACTCCCGACCACCCCTGCCCACCGTCCAACACCTCCCAGCCCCTGAACTTGGCCCCAGCCCTGCTGGGCCCAGAACCCTGCAGATGAAGCCACAGAGCAGGCGCTCGACCAGACCCATCAGGGGCGAGGAGGGCACGGAAACCTGTGCCGAGATGGGGGCAAGAGGCCCAGGCAGCCACCAGCACAGAGAAGAGGAGATCCCCAGAGTCAGGGAGGGCAGAGGGTGGCAGCGAGGGCAGGGCAGCCGCCCCCGCTCCCAGCCAGGCAGAAGGCCCCCACCAGCACCACACCCATCCCCAGCAGCCTGTCCTTGGGAGAGGGCGTCACCCGGTCAGAGACTCCAAATAAACCGGTTCTTGTCAAGGCACAGAGGCTGGTCCCTGAGCACTGCTTTTGCCTCTCCCCAGTCCCTTAGTAGGCACCCGACCCACATCTGCACCCTGTGGGCCCCTGGGATCTGCAGTTGGGCAGGGCTGCCCCCAGCAGGGTCTGGGCTGGTAAGAGAAGCTGCCTCTGGCTTTGGGCCCCTGCCCTCCCTCCATTAGGACTGTTCCGTCTCTGGCGAAGCCCACCGTCCTCCGGGGGCCACCCCCATCTGCCCGAGAGCCCCTTCTGCACCATCTGTGGTAGGATCAACTGGAGGATCCCCACGGGGCCTCCCGTTCCCCAGGAAGGAGCCCTGGGCTGCACCTCAACACACTGTACAGTGGGGAGCCCTGCGGCCAGGCTGGAGGGGTTCCCGCATGACCTGAGTCCCAAAAAGCTCCACCACACACCCAGAATCAAACCGGCGGAGCAAAGGGCAGGTCACTTTCTGATGCCCGCTGCCCGTGAGCCCACTGCTGAAGGACAGGTCGGGGACCTTGGGGTCTGTGCCTCACGCGACCCCCGGGGAGCTATGAGGGTTACATGGGATGCTTTCCCCCCAAAGAAAGCGCGTGATCCGGGGTGCAGTTCTAGCCTTTATTTTTCTTTGACGAGGAGTGCCACACTGAGGGCCCCTCTGCAGCGCCGCACAGGGAAGCGGTGCCTCGGGGAGCAGCCTTTCCTCTGATGGCGGGAGGGGTCAAGGGATGCAGGAGATCCACGGCAGCACACGCAGCCTGCAGGCGCAGCACACAGGCAGAGCACTGCCCAGCAGCTGGAACATGAGAATGAGGGCCACACCACCCAGCTGCAGCACAAGCCCAGCACGGCGTGTCACGGCACCTGGCACCACCAGACCCAGAATGGCCTGTGCGAGAGGCGCACGCCACTGACGTGGCTATGCTGTGATCAAAGCCCGACACGCCGGAAGAAGAGCCGCAGACATTGTGGGGTGCACACACTGCAGGGGAGCTGTGGAGACCCTGATGGGTCCATGAGCCCCTGCAGCTGCCCCAGGGACCCGCACAGCAGGCAACTGAGGGCCAGGGTGAAAACCCTCAAGCACATGTGGCCACCCACCCTCCCTGCCTCCACAGCATGTCAGGAAGCCAGAACCTGTGCTGGGTGTGTTTAGGACAAACAAGGCCACCATCCTGGGGACAGAGCGCAAGGCCCCAGCCTTGGCTCCTAGGCCGGCCCCACTCTCTCGCCTCTCAGGTGTCAGACGTGCAGCCTGGGTGCTGAGTCCAGATGACAGGTGAGACACAAGCCGCAGGTGGCACATGGCATGCGGCCAATGGCCCCTTCACTTCCTGACCACACAGAGGCGTCCCTCCTCCACAGCCCCTCCAGGGACGACTGGACGGGGCCGGTGGAAGGACTCAGGCCTGCACCGTGGCCTGGGGACGCCCACTCTGACAGGAAAGAGACGAGCACACCTCTGAGTCTTGCGCCACCGGCCCACACTTTACCCTGGAGTCCTGGGGGCCCTGCGGGGCCGGCAGGACGCTCCTCCCCTGGCTGCACATCCAAGGCCTCGGCGACTGCAGGAGCATAACAGACGCCCTTCACAAACAGGAGCTGGGAAAGGAGAACAGTTACATCCGGCCAGGACACGTGCTTTTGCCAGAAGTCATTACAAATACAAATGTTTCTAAATTCTAGATTAAAATCCTGCCTGGGAAAACAGTCCAGCTGGGACTGCAGCAAAACCAGGGTCAGCTGTGCTCCTCCCAAGGGCCCAGGACGACGCCAGGTGTGCAGCCACCAGGACGGCCACACACCAAGGCTCAGCCCACGCCATGCACAGTGGCACTGCTGCTCCCAGAGGCTCCGAGGCGGGGTGGGCGGCAGCACGGGCCATCTCAGTGACACTCCCACAAACGCCACGTTCACGCCAACTTCTAATTTCCCTTTAATTTGTAGATTTAACCACAGAACTGTCTCGATTTTTATAAAAATTGATCCCAAGATCCACCTTCTGCCGTGGCTGCCACAGTCCAGGCTGAGCTTTTCCTCCTGAGCCACACACGTGTGTTCCCGTCCAGCCCAAAGGGGAGAGGTGTGGGGCGGCGGGGCGGGGAGGCGCCTTGTGCTGTGGCACTGGACACGGTGCTCATCTGCAGGATGGCCACGAAGACAAACGGCACAGACGAAGACAACACAAGACACACGAGCCTGGTCTTCCATCCTCAGGACTAAAACTGCGCTGAGAGCAATTCACATAATCTCTGAGAAACGGCTTCCTTACTTGTGCGCAGCGTGAGCCGGTACATCTGAAACAGAGAGCACAGCAGGTCAACGGGCACGCCGAGGCTCACACAGCCCTCGGGTCCAGGATCCGCCATGCAGAACCCTGTGGGCCATGCCCAGGGACCACTCTCTGGAGGCACCCACAACTCGGCAGAGGCCTGAGCACCACACACACTGTCAGCATGAAAACTGAGGGCTGGCATGGGAGCGCCTGGCGTCTCGTACGTAGCTGGCGGGAGTGCAAAGTGGCACGGCCACCTGGAGAAGCTGTGGGATGTTCTTGCAGCACTAACCACACACAGGCCCTGGGCGACAGCAGCACTCCTGGGTGCCACCCAAGTGAAACGGAGACAGGTGTCCGTCGCCAGAACGGGACGTGGTGAGAAGGAACAACGCGGTGACAGAGAGGAACAGCTGGGAGAGCCACCGCCCAGGGCCAGGCTGCTCCATGGTGGGACGATGCTCCACGGTGGCCAGCTGTGGGGAGGCTGGGATGCAACCATGTATTGACAGGGTGGTGGTTAAACAGGCACACAACATCTGTCACAACTGACTGAACTGCACTAGGGATGATGCTCCACGGTGGCCAGCTGCGGGGAGGCTGGGAGGCAACCATGTATTGACAGGGTGGTGGTTAAACAACATCTGTCAAAACTGACTGAACTGCACTAAAGAGCTACACATCTCACCACGTACATTGTGCCAGAATAAAAAGCAACTCAAGTGTGTTCCACCATTTCCTGAGGGCCTGACCTGGGCTTGCAGGTTCGGCTCCAAGCGCAGCAGGCATCCAATCTGGGTGGTTTTCGTGTGGATGATTCCAGCTCCCACGAAATTCGCAGGATTAGGATCAACTTCTTCAAGAAGTGCAGAACCAAATCCAATGATCTGTCCAAAGAAACAGGAGAATGAGGACCCTGGCGCGGGGTCGCGGGCAGCGTGTCCCCCGGGGCCGCCCCTCCAGACCCTGGCGCTGGGTCGTGGGCTGCGTGTCCCCCGGGGCCGCCCCTCCAGACCCTGGCGCTGGGTCGCGGGCTGCGTGTCCCCCGGGGCCGTCCCTCCAGACCCTGGCGCGGGGTCATGGGCTGCGTGTTCCCCGGGGCCGTCCCTCCAGACCCTGGCGCGGGGTCACGGGCTGCGTGTCCCCCGGGGCCGTCCCTCCAGACGTGTTACCTTGGCTTTGGTGACTTCTGTGTCCATTGGGTGCTTTGCTTTGAAGATGTTCTGCACTTCCTGCTGTGGACTGTGAGAAACAGCAAAGGCGAGTGTTCTCAGCCAGGCCAGAGACCAAAACCCACCTTTTCAAATGAGCCCCGTCCCCACCCCTGACCCCTACAGGAAACAGGTTTCTCACTTGCTCAACTGCTTCCAACGTTGAAAGAAATCCTGAGAAGCCATTTCTGTCGGCTGGAAGAATTTGTTGAGAGTGATGGGCAGCTGCACAGACACGTTCTGGAAGGTGCCCCCATACCTGCCAGCAGCAGCAGCAGCAGAAAGAGACAGTCAGCTACTCCTCTGAGAGCCCCAGGGACCGGGAAAGAGCCTGGAGTGAGAAGCGTCCCGATCTACTGCCACCCACCAGAGCGGGTCGGGGGGCCGAGCCTTCAGTCCCCACGGATCGTGTGTGGCTCAGTGTCCAGTGTCACCCACAGACAGGAGGACAGGCCAGGGCCGCATACTCAGGCAGGACGTCCCTGTGCCTCACTTCTCCCCATTCATCTGTTTCCCAGAACTCCAAGTCTGTGCAAATAGTGTGATGTTTTTTCTTTAAAAAGGCAAAGGCATTTGCACAAAGAATGAAACAAAAACTTGCATGTCTATGTCCCCGAATTCTACAGTATACAATCTTAAGTTCTCTGTCTTTTTAATGTTAGAAAGTGTGCTTTTCTCAACATTCCTAACCTTGCAGACACCCAGCAGGGGACGGGCTGACTGTATCCACGCTATTTGTAGTCACTGAAAAGTGAGAGTAATGAACAGTCGCAACAGGAAAATCCTATGCTTTTAAAAAATAAGCAAAGTGGTACGATCTGAGCTCAACTGAGCAAAAAACGCGCCCCCCAGGCCAGGGGGCCGAAGGAAACCAGCTGCCTGCACCCCACAGCTGTCGTCTGGTACCAAGCCGGGCAGGTGGCGCGGGGGCCCTGGCTGTCTGCCACCCCATGAGGTGGGCCCCATGGTGCCCAGAAAGATCCTAGCAAGGCCCCATGTGGGAGCTGCCACCTGCCGTCCCGGAGCCCAGGGCTCCGCCTCCCCTTGTTTCCTGCGCTCTGCAGAGCCGGGGGCAGCAATAGCTCAGGCCGCATCCATGCACCGTGAGCACCCGCACGCCCCGGGTCCCCTCAGGAAGGACACGGAGGCACAGTCATGGAGCCCAGGCACACAGCTCAGGCGCCCACACACCCCTTGGCCCGGGGCGCACAGGCGGCTCTTACCTGAACTGAATGTTGAGGACTGGCGCCTCCGTGAAGTCGGACACGCACTCTATGTTGACCACCTGCTGCACCTGCGCGCCCCCCTCCACGGTCGGGTCCACGGGCTTGGTCTGCAGGTTCAGGTGTGCGTGCGTTAAGGAATCCAGCTGAGCAAGTCCCAGTGGCAGAAGCGGAAACGGGCCGGGCTAGAGCCCCAGCAGGACCCGTGGAGGCGAGCACACTCACCACACTCTAGGACCACCAGCTACGGGTCGAGGGCAGCCACACCACCCGGCCCTGCCCTTCCACCCAGACAATCCTCAAAACACTGTCTGCTTCTCACGCTTCCAGAATGGCTCCTCCATTTTAAAAAGTCACTTAGATTATATACTACTTGTCTGTTTTCACTCTGAGCCTCGGCTCTGGGTCTTACACACACAATTTTTGTCACCGTTAGCAGAAACTGGTGCTTAGTAGGGCAGGAAAACTTTAAGAATCCCAGGAATAGCAGGCTCCTGAAACAGCGAGACACAGAAAAGAGCCTGCCCTGCTGGGACCAGGGTTGTTTTCATGCTGGAAAACAAGGGTTTGCCTACAGCCTCTCCTGAAGAAACAGTGACAGCAGCAAAGCTGGGTCCAGGAGGCAGCGGGGTGCAGGCCTCTCCTTCCCTCTGGGTCGTGTGCCGCCGGCCACTCAGCTGCTGGGCTCGCTGCCGCCTCGAGCCAAGTGGACCCCGAGGGAGAGACCCCTAAAGAAGGGCGCAGTAGGAGTCAGAGCTTCCACTCCAGATTCCAAACAAAGTCTTTAATACAGGTGCTCCTGCATGTGTATTTTTAATGACTGTTTTGAAACAGCTTGAACAGTCTGCATTAAAACATGTTCATGTTAAAATGAACAGACCAGCCAGTGGCAAGGAGGATGTTGCTTCACTCAGGTCGCTGACCATAAATCCCCAGGTGTCACCATCTCTGGTCAAGCTGGGGTCTTCACGCTAACTCTATTTGGCGGGCCTATCCTTAGAGGTAGAGACGTTAGCGTCTCCCTGTTTTAGCTGGGGAAGTTCTAGGAACGCTTCTGGCATTACGAAGGGAAAATCTTCAGTCTAAAAGCTCTGCCAGAAGCACACACAAGCTCGGCTGGGGTGCGCACCGCGCTCCAGTCCCCACTGGCGCCTCCCACACTCTGCAAGCAGCAGCTCTGTGAGGCTTCGGAGAGGAGGGGTTTAAAGATCACGTCACAGGAGAGTAAGAGCAGGTGAAAAGGAAAGGGACTCACACTGGCCAGATGGAAGGGGAGGAGGCATGTACACGGTATTTTTAGGTGCATGATCAAAAGCTGGCTCTCCAATATGGAAGACTGCCTGTTTTCCTTCTCCTGCCCAGCACCATAGGCAGATTACGACTGCCTGATTTTCATATAGCATCTGGAATTATCTCGCTATTTTAACAAAATAAGAAAACCAAAAAACTTCCTCAAAAGCCTCCTCTAAGCCCCACATTATGCTGTCTGCGGGCATGGGGCAATGAAGCCAAGGATATTAGGCTGAAGGTCGTCTGAACAGATTAGTGTTGGGGTAAAGTTTAGGAACTGCGTGGAGGTCTTATTACCATAAAAGATAAACATCCGACCTAGAAGGAACAAAAACAATTTTTTCACACACACCATTTCACACTTACCCTGAATATTTACCCTGAAAAACAAGAGCCCCCCACAATCTTCAGCTGAATTTAAGTTCACTGTTGTGATGTATGACTGTTGTTAAAATTAAGAACAAATTTTTTCCAGTTTTAGAACGAGCACACCAGTGCTGGTAACACGGGCCGGGTATCTCCTCCAGTCAGAGGTAACTTCCGCCCTCCAGCACCCTCCTCCCTCGGCCCCTCCTGCGCACCCACACGGGATGGGTGAGATCACACGCATATGCACGGGGAAGGACCCACAGAACGCCCCGTCTGCAGGCTGGGCTACAGCTGGAGGGGCCTGCCAAGCATCTTTTCCAGGGACGCCACAATCACACAGGCCTCTGCCGGCCCCGCCCCATGACTGCAACATGCAAACACACGCACCGGCCCCGGCTGCCTCCTGTCAGGGGACCCGGCTGGGCACGCGTCCAGCACAGCATCGGTGTTGCACACTAGCCCTCACTGCAGCGGCTCAGCCACGGCACAGGTGCACATTTAGGATGTGTCGCTGTTTTTATTTATATCACAGTAAAAAATCTTTGTGAACATCTGTATACCCCTTGAATTCAGAAAGGAAATCTCAAATATTTTGAAAACAGTAAACAGTTTGGCATCACTCCTCCCACAATTTAAAAACCCAAAACCAACACCTCGTGAAGCTATCACGGCCCAGAGCTTAAAAACTTAAACCAGGACTAAAGGCACCACCTGTTTTCAATGCAGCGTTTCCCACAGGAATCACTCTGACAACCCTCACTTTTCTAACAGACCCCTGGCGGGCAGAGGACTAATTCTCTTTTTTCACATTCTTTCTGTGTTTTTCACAGATGAGAGAGAGAGCAGTCCTGAGGAGGCTCAAGGCAGGCGCTGAGAGGAGGCAGGTCCGCAGCCAGGGCCCCTGCAGCCACAGGGTTCCGTGCACAGCATTTTTTTACACTCAAAGGCTTTTTTATGTCTTTCTCCTAAATTGTGGTAAAATACACTAACATTCACCTTCCTAGCCATATTTAGGTGCACACAAGGGCACAGGAAGTGCATCCACACTGTGCAGCTGCTGCCACCACCACCATCTCCAGAACGTTCTCATCTTCCCAAACGGAACTCTGTCCCCATTAAACACCAATTCCCCATCCCCCTGGCCTAGGCCCTGGCATCCCCCAGCTACGTTCTGTCTCTACGAAGTCACTGCTCTAGGGACCGCATGAGTGGAGCCACACAGGATTTGTCCAGGTGTCTGGCCCGTGTCACTGAGCACCATGTCCTCAAGGTGCATGTGTGCTGCTTTATGCATCAGAATTTCATTCCTTTCTGCCGTTTGATGGCTGAATAATATTCCACTGCGTCGACAGACCACATTTCGTTTAATTAGGCATCCACCCATGAACATCTGGGCTGTTTCTAACTTTCGGTGATTGTGAATAGTGCTGCCATTGGACATGGGTGGACAGGTACCTCTTTAAGACCCAGCTTTCAATTCTCTGGGGTCTGTACCCAGACGTGGAACTGCTGGGTCACAGAGTAATTCCATCTTCTTTTGTGTTCTGAGGAACTTCCCACAGTGCCCGCACTACTGTACATTCCCACCAGCGGCGTACAAGGCTCCAACGTCACCACGCCCTGCAGACACTCTTTTTCCTTTTTGGTTATTTATGCATACATAAATAATGATGTATGCATTATTTATGAATGAATGAATGAACGACAGGGTCTCGCTCTGTTGCCCAGGCTGCAGTGCAGTGGCAAGATCTCAGCTCACTGCAGCCTCAAACACCTGGGCTCAAGCGATCCTCCCACCTTTGCCTCCCAAGTAGCTGGGACCACAGGTGTGCACCAGCACGTCTACCTAATTTTTGTATTTTTTGTAGAGATGGGGTCTCACAATGTTGTGCAGGCTGGTCTCAAACACCTGGGCTCAAGTGACCCTCCCACCTCGGCCTCCCAAAGTGCTGGAATTATAGGCCTAAGTCACCAGGCCACCAGGCCAGTCTGTTTATTTATTTATTTACAGAGTCTCACTCTGTTGCCCAGGCTGTAGTGCAGTGGCATGATCTTGGCTCACTGCAACCTCCGCCTCCCAGGTTCAAGTGATTCTCCTGCCTCAGCCTCCCAAGTAGCTGGGACCACAGGCACACACCACTACACCCAGCTAATTTTTGTATTTTTATTAGAGACAGGGTTTCACCATGTTAGCCAGGCCAGTCTCGAACTCCTGGCCTCAAGTGATCTGCCTGCCTCGGCCTCCCAACATGCTGGGGTTACAAGCGTGAGCCACTGCACAGGCTGCTTGTTTGTTTTCTAACAGCCATCCTGGAGGGGTGAGGTGGTAGCTCACTGTGGTTTTGATTGGCACTTCCCTCGTGACTTTGTCCATCTTTTCAGGTGCTTATTGAGCATTCCTGTATTTTCCCTGGAGAATGTCGTCTTTTCAACAACTTTGCACCCACCCCCACCTCCCCGCCACCCCCTCTGGTTGTAGAGATGGGGTCTTGATGTGTTTGCCCAGGCTGTTCTTTTGCCCATTTTTTAATTGGGCTGCTTTCTTACTGAGTTATGGGAGTTCTTTTTATATTCTGGATATCTATCCCTTATAAGTATATGATTTGCAAATATTTTCTCTTAATTTCCCATATTTCTAAGAGACAGTTTCATTAAGTAATTAAAACACATACCTAAATTCTGCCGAAATTCAGACTTAAGTCCAATTTGAAGCAGCTGGTTTTCAAACAACACACCATTGTTTTTACAAACAAACCTAGGGGAAAAGGGACAGTATATGTGTCACTCAAAGCCACCTGCAGAAAACACAAGGGTTTGTTCTGGAAAAAAACTCACAGCACGAGGAGGCCAGAAAAACCTCTATGGCACACAAGGGAAGAAAAAAGTGGAAACTATTCCAAGGACTATCCTGACAAACAGCCACTGGAGGAGGACGGTGAGCAGGACGCAGGGACGCGGACACAGCCCCGGCAAGACCTGTGAAGTTGGTTGGTGCAGCTGCTTTTCAGGAACATGCTGGTCCACATGTAACGGCCTCTCACGGCCCCAGAAGGGACACGGGCGTGAGGCACGCACACAGCTTCTGGCCCCACCACAGACTCCATCCAACACGGGTGCTGAGCTTCCACCCAGCGAGGGCCTCGCCATCAGAGCCTGGCTGCTCCCCGCTGATGCACACGCATGCACGGGCACCCAGCCATCCACCCACCAGCAGCACAGCCCTGCAGGGCCCTGGGCGCCCCCATCTCCCCTCTGGCCTCTCCTCTCGCCCCATGCGTGGTTAGTGTCTACACCGCACAGGGAGCCCAGGGTTTTGCTCACCACAGGGCACCTATCTACACTACACAGAATTAGGGGAAAATAAAATAGCGTTGGTTAGCTTTCATTTGTGTTTCTCTCAGAAGAGCTTCAAGTTTTCTGACCTCCTCTAGGAAACTGTAACTCCACAGTGACCTAGATCCAAAAGAGAGGAGAGGGAGGCGGGGCAGTGGCACAGGGCTCCTGGGTGAACCCAGCACAGAGATGGATGTGGCACTGATTCAAACCACAGGGTGGGGAGGCAGGAGGTCATGGCACCGCCCCCTCCCTCCAACCCACCCCAGTGCCTAAGAAGCAAATGCTGCACGGCAGCAGCCTAATTCTGAAATCTCCACCTCCACCTGTGCTGACATGGCGGCGATCAAGGTCAGCCACTCCTGCAGCCAGTCTCCACTAACTGCACCACAGCTGCCACCCTGGAAGGTCTGAGTGCTGCCAACCTTCTCATCGGCATCCTGCTGTATGGAGACCAGGCCAGGAAGACAGAGGAAGCAGCAACAGACGGCAAGGGGCAGTGACAGGCGGCCCTTGGCTCGCTCTTGGGGCCAGGAGGGCGCTGCTCGCCACGCAATGCCCCACTCCAGCCTGCCACGGCCACGAGAGCCGCTGAGGCAGCAGTCCCTGCGCACACCTCTGGAGGCCACAGCCGCCCCCTGCACAGCCCGGCAGGCTGCTGGTCCGGCTGCAGCCACATGCGAAGCTTCAAAAAGTCAAGTGTGGTCTAAGCAACACACAACACAGGACAGCGATCCACAACACAGCCTGGAACATGTCTACTGGGCTTCACCTGGGACTGCTCACAGCAGGCGGCTAACAAAGCAGAGATCGCTTAACAGGAGGAGCCGGCCGAGGCGGAGGTCCACGTGCTCACCGCACCCCCGGGTCGCTGCTCCGCCCACAGCCAGCGGGCACTCCACGCGAGGGGCCACGGAGTTTACACTCAGGGTGTGGACTAAGCCACTTTAAAGTAAAATCTGTCAAGAACACGGGAGGGGCTCTGACGGACCACCCATGACGTGACAGAGAGGCCCTTGTGGTCAGTATCTCTGCTTGGTTCATCCCAACTACAACCTGGCCTGGAGGAATCTTTGGGGAAAATGCAAACCACTCTGCAAGGCCATGAGAATGCAGCCGCCCTGTCCTGTGAGCCGTGTGCCAGCAGCCACCACAGCCGGCTCGCCCTGAGGCACTCTGTGCCTCCATCCTACACCAAACACACGCAGACACCTGATGACCCTCTGTAGCCAGATCAAAGCCAAGACGGCCGCATGCACAAGAGCCCCGAGGCCTGGCCAGCTGCAGACAGCGCCACCCAATGTGAGGCGTGCACAAGGGCCATGTGCAGCTCCCAGCACAGCCGTATGGAGACAGGGCAGGCAGCGCCCAGCAGGGAAGGGCCACGGCTGCCACGGACTGCCCAGCCCCTGGTCCCTTCCTGCCACCAAGACACTGAGGAGCAGCCACCACCAGAGCCCTGCAACCTGGATTCTCAATCTCAAACACAGCGACTCTAAGAGCAGTAAGACTGTTTTCAGCCCAAGCGGCGACCTGCACCCACCACCACGCCGGCCTGCCTCTCCTAAGTCCTTTCCCAACACGTAACAGGAAACAGAACTCACGTGCAACATGAATACAAAGAACTGAAAAACACCAGAACTCTATTACAGTCTTCAAAATGGGGGGCCAAAAGGCCATTCCTCAAAGGCTCTCTAACCTCCATCTGGGACAGAAACCGGCACCTGCGCTCCCACCCCACAGGGCAGCAGGGGAGAGGCGTCAACTCCAGGAAAGGGGGCACCTCAGACCTCCGGCCAGACATGAAAACAAGCAGATGGCTGAGAGCAGCCAGTAAGCGGAATGCACAGCTGATGAGCCCAGCAGAGAGGGCTGGGGAGAGCACGTGCGGGGGAAAGTGGTCAGCACCGACGATCTGAAGACCACGGAGACACTGGCAGAGACCACTGCACACAGGGAGCCGGGAGGTGCCCAGGCACCGGACAGAAATTAGAGCAGGACAAGCAGCAAAGACAGGCTGCCCTCAGGGGGAACCACAGGGTGGAGGCCGAAGGCGTGAGCAGGGTGGGCCTCACAGAAGGACTTAGCAAGTGAGCAACTCAAGGACAAGAGACCGGGCCTCCAGGACAGACACAGACAAGACGGCTTAAGTCAGAATGAAAAGCAGCCCAACTAGACAGGAAAGAGGCGAAGAGAGGAGACGTGTAGCTACAAAGAGTGTTTATCAACACTCAAACAGCAGCTGAAACATGATCGGACATCACCGTGCAGACAGGACACAACCACCACCCAGACAGTGTGTTTCTTTCATGTCCTCCTTTTCCTCCTGAGAGTAATGAACACTGCAGTCCATATAAATCAAGGTTGTGAGAGGAATGACACAGCAAACCCACCCACAACACAGCAGCTCCCGCTCTCTCCCCCAGGCAGTAATCTGGGAGGTAAACTCCGCTGCCCACCTCTGTCCAGCTGGCCGCGGCCACACCAGAAGTCAGGGGGCACGGCAGCCCCGTGCCTGTCTGCAGGACTCAGGAAACCTGACTACCTGGCAAAGTTGTCTTCGGAGCCAGGAGCGAGAGGCGCGACCACAGAGGCCGAGTCTGAGAACACGTCCACGAGCAGCCCGCTGCCGCCGGAGGAGGGTGGGGGGCCCGCGGGGGCAGGGGGGGCAGCCCCGAGACCCAGCAGGTCTGCCGACGGAGAAGGCGTAGACTGGAAGAGAAGGAAGGAGAGCATCAGCAGAGAGCCTCCCTGGCCTGGCCAACCCCAGGCAGCTCACGCCTGCACGTCCTCCCCCATGGCACCCCCTTGGCATCCATGCACTCCCAGTGGCTGGGGCAGGTGGCACACAACTCAGTGAGTGACCAGAGAGTGAGGGCTAACAGCCACTTCCTGAGTATATCCCAGACTCCAGCCTAAAGATAACTGCACTTAAAACATCAGTCATAATTTCACTAAGGCACCCTACATTTTTTCACAAATGCTATTTGAATGAAAAAAATTCTCAAAAAAATTTTGCCATGAAAGACATAAAAAAAGGCCAGACGCGGTGGCTCACACCTGTCATCCCAGCACTTTGGGAGGCCGAGGTGGGCGGATCACGAGGTCAGGAGATCGAGACCACCCTGGCTAACACGGTGAAACCCCATCTCTACTAAAAAATACAAAAAAAATTAGCCGGGCGTGGTGGTGGGCGCCTGTAGTCCCAGCTACTCGGGAGGCTGAGGCAGGAGAATGGTGTGAACCCGGGAGGCGGAGCTTGCAGTGAGCCGAGATCGCACCACGGCACTCCAGCCTGGGCGACAGAGCGAGACTCCATCTCAAAAAAAAAAAAAAAAAAGAAAGAACTAAGATCATGCATGTTACTGCCAACTGTCCAATAAGAAAGTAAGCTTCCAAAGATGAAAAAGCAAATAACTTACTCGGGTGCATTATTAATCATTAAATTATTACTAAATCATTATTAATCATTAAAAGTCTACAGAACGGATACTTTTAAAAAATAATTGCTTTTTGGCTGGGCATGGTGCCCCACACCTGTAATCCCAGCACTTTGGAAGGTTGAGACAGAAAGACTGCTTGAGTCCAGGAGTTTAAAACTAGCCTGGGCAACATAGCAAGAGACTGTCTCTGTTTTTGTTTTTTTTGAGACAGTCTCACTCTATTGCCCAGGCTGGAGTGCACTGGTGTGGGCTCACTGCAACCTCCACCTCAAGCGATTCTCCTGCCTCAGCCTCCCAAGTAGCTGGGATTACAGGTGGCCGCCATCACGCCCAGTTAATTTTTGTATTTTCAGTGGAGACAGGGTTTCACCATGTTGGCCAGGTTGGTCTCGAACTCTTGACCTCAGGTGATACGTTCACCTCGGCCTCCCATGAGCCACCGCACCCGGCCCCAGTAATTGCTCTTTGATCCTGGGGCAAAGGCACAAGGAAAGAGCGCCTATGATCTCATGATTAAACTCTCACAACAGGGCACAAGCAGCAGCTCAGTCCATCGCATGCTCACCCATCCAACAGGGCAGCAGGCTCCCCAGCAATGCCCCAGCAGCCTGACTTTGGGAGCTCAGACCTGCTCTGGGCTCCACGGGTCCTGCCCCACAGCAGCCTGTGCACCAGAGGGACTCAGATGCTCCCTATAAAAAGGACACCCAGCCTGGCACGGTGGCTCACACCTGTAATCCCAGCACTTTGGGAGGCCGAGGGGGGCAGATCCCAAGGTCAGAAGATTGAGACCATCCTGGCCAACATGGTGAAACCCCGTCTCTACTAAAAATACAAAAATTAGCTGGGTGTGGTGGCACACGCCTGTAATCCCAGCTACTCAGGAGGTGGAGGCAGGAGAACTGAAACCAGGAGGCGGAGATTGCAGTGAGCCAAGATCGTACCACTGAACTACAGCCTGGCAACACTCACACTTTGACACTATACACCAGGGGCTCTTGGTGGAGAAACCCCCCACCCAGCTAAGAGCGTTCTGGAGATGTGGAGGGCTCTGACTATCACAAGGATATTGGCATTTCACAGGCAAAAAACAGAGACACAAGACACCCTAACTTGAAGATTCGTCTTGAGTAACTTTAGAATGTTCCACTGGACATCTAAGAAGGTAAAAAATTAGTTTGTAATTATCTGAGACTCCACCTGAATGCCATTTTACATTAATGCAAAGTTAAGGTGTCACACTGTACTTTCAAAAAAACTACATGTGTGGGTTTGTGATATATGAATTTTACTCAAAGATAAATGAGGCATCACAAAGTGTGTTATGCAAAAAAGGTGCAGGTCAGAATGGGGGCGGGGGGTCAGAATGGGGGCGGGTGAGAGTCAGAATGGGGATTGGGGGGCAGTCAGAAACGGGGCAGGCTCCCAGGCTCTGCTCTTGTGACGGAGCACCTCTGCAAGAGAAGACGACACGGGTCTCATGTGCTCCAAGGGTGGGAGGTCACAGAGGAGCTGGCAGAGAAGAGTCCCAAAAATATCCAAGGCGTGTCTCGATGAGACCATCTGAAGGCGGCGCTTTGCTCCCTACGCCGGGGACAGCGCCCGCCAACACTGTGGCCTCCACAGCCTGACAAAGCTGTGAGCTGCGTGGGAAGCCATCGGCCTTGGCCATGGCCATGCACCTGCAGCCCAAATGGAGACAGTTTCTCCTCTGCATCTCATCACAGATGTTACCCTGGTTCCTGCACTGATTCAAATACATCTATGGCTTTTATTTTATTTTATTTTATTTTTTTGAGACCGAGTCTCACTCTGTTACCCAGGCTGGAGTGCAGTGGTGCAATCTCAGCTCACTGCAACCTCCGCCTTCTGGGTTCAAGCAATTCTCCTGCCTCAGCTTCCCGAGCAGCTGGGATTACAGGCACACACCACCACACCTGGCTAATTTTTGTATTTTTAGAAGAGACGGGGTTTCACCATGTTGGCCAGGCTGGTCTCAAACTCCTGACCTCAAGTGATCCGCCCACCTCAGCCTCCCAAAGCGCTGGGATTACAGGTGTGAGCCACCATGCCCAGCCATCTATGGCTTTTAACTGCTTTCTAAAGTAGGAAAGCCCTTTGCCCTAGTAAAGGCATTTGTACCTGAAACGTTACCACAGATTGTAACAGCGAGGCCAGATGCAAGGCCCCAGGACAGTAGGGTCCTAACACCCACTTCAGGTTCTTCATCTTCCTTATCCTCTCAGGCCTGGGAGACCCTCCTCAGGGAGCAGGCCTGGCTCCTGGGCCACACCAGTTCACCTCCTCCCTCCAATAGCAGGACAACTTGAGGGGTGAAGGTTTTGCCTACAAGGGCCCCAGGCTCCTGCATGTGAAGCCAGGCAGCCTCTGATCCCCACACCCCTGTGCTCCCCAGCACACCCGGGGACACGCACACCACAGCCTCCCCCAAGGAGCTGTGTGCAGAAAGAGGATGCTCGGAAGAAGTAAAATGTCCTGGCCTCATCTATGATGTTAAATAAAAGACATTTTGGCCAATGTGACACCAAGATAAAGCCACTGTCTCTCGTGGGAAAGGCACATGTGCTGATGCCACCCTGAGGCCCCTTCACGGCCCATACAGAAGACCCTGAGCAAGAAAACTTCGCCAGGAGTGTCTCCCCATAGGGAGGGGCCTCTCACTGGGGCTCCCGTGAGCAATGGGAACAGATTGGAAAGCACAGGATAGCAATGACACCCACACACCATAGCTCTCGGTCAGAACAGAGGGGCCCACACACCACAGCTCTCGGTCAGGACGGAGGCGCCCACACACCACAGCTCTCAGTCAGGACGGAGGTGCCCACACACCACAGCTCTCAGCTCAGAACAGAGCTGCGTGCCTCGGCCACAGACACCTCCCTAAGGAACCCACCCGCCAGGCACCACTGACCATCAGGAGTGAAGCCACACTCAGAAAATCCACTGAATGAGCCCTGAAGGGGGAACTCCCTCCAAGAAGGCACCTTACAGAAATGCTGAACCTCACTGGACCCTCATCCTCCTTTTCAGAGGGCAGCACACTGCTCTCACTCCCAGGGTCCAGAAGCTTCCATCTGATCCCTAAGCCACACAGTCAAGGCCAGGCCCTCCAAAGTCCACCCTGAGCCTAGCCGGACAAACCTGGGTGTGATCAAAGGCCTGGGGTATGGGCACACCTCACTTCTCAGGACCCACATTAAAAAGAAACATCAAATAAGAACCAAAGAGAGACTGAAGACAATCCTACAGCCCCTTTCCATGCTCCCTCAGCGAGTTCCTCTTAACGTCAAAGCAGCTGGAGGGGAGCGAGAGCACCTGGTGCCTTCCCAGCTTCCAACAGGCAATCCCAGGTTTCCGTGGAAGACTTCACAGTGCCCTTGCTGAAAGCCGGCCTCCAGGAATCCCTGCACACCAGCCTCCCCTGGATCACGTCATCCTGCCCTCGCCTCCTCACCCAACTGGGGCCGCGTCCTCCTCTCTGCAGGGCGGAGCCGCTGCCGGCCCAGCACCCACGGGAAGGCCCCTGCTCCGGCAGCTCACAGACAAATCTCCACAAGCAAGTTTCTGCCTCCAGAAACCTATGTCAAGATGTCCAAAGGAGAGGGAGAGATGGATTAGAGGAGTGACAGAGGCCTGCTGCACTAGGCGCCTGGCTAGTGACGTCCCACGGGAGGAGACAGGGTCAAAAGCAGGTCACCAGCTCTACAGAGCACATGAGAAACATAAGCATGAAGGTGCTCAGGCGTGAAGGGAAGACGCCCACCTTGGGAGAAAGAGTCACATCTTTCATTCATTTCATTCACTCCAGGATGAGCTCACAGGCAATTCAAGCCTCCAGATGGCGGGCACAGCAGCGTGCCACAAACAACACAGAGAGAGGGCACGGGGGGACAGGGGCTGCACAGAGGACACTAGGTGGAGGGAGGGGAGAGGGAGGAAGAGGGGGAGGGAAGACTGCTCATTGAGATGTCAGGCTCAGCCTGGATACCAGCCCCATGGCAGGCCCTGCACTGTCGGCCAGAGGGGCAGGACACATGGTCAGCCGGGGCACATAAGCAGGTCCCCGCCAAGGAGTGCCAGGACTCCGACATGAGCACCCTCCCAACCAGCACACTGCCAGGGCAGGCACCACCACAGGAGCTCACCCCACAAAGCCCTGCCGATACTGGGTAGCAGCACTGGTTGCCACCACTGGACCTGCGTCCTGGAGAGACAGGTCCTCTAACTGGACAAACAGAAAGCCCGCCTGACCCCGACAGGAGCCCTCCCTGACAGTGCAGAGGGGAACAGCTGGCAAGCAGAGCCAAGCAAAAACGCAACTCTCAAAACGACACTTCTCACCTGACAAATACCACAGGACACATTCTGTTACAGGATTATTCTCATCGCATCACACATACAAGGAAAACCAGACCTAACCCAACTCACTACATAAAACCTCGAAGAGCAGGGCAGGACAGGTCCTCTCTAAATCAACAAAGCATGTGAGGACAGCTGCCTGGGTGAGGCAGTCCTGTAGGAGAGGGGACGGCCACTTCCCCTAAAACAAGGCACCACAGAGGATGTGTGAGCTGAGCTGGACAAGACGACGGTCTGAAGGAAGTGCCTTGCCCAGCAGGCACAGTGGCCCCCGGGAGAGGACAGCGGGGTGTGCAGCAGGGACAGTGGCCCCCGGGACAGGCCAGAGGGGCGTCCAGCAGGGACAGTGGCCCCCGGGACAAGCCAGCGGGGTGTGCAGCAGGGACAGTGGCCCCCAGGACAGGCCAGGGGGGCGTCCAGCAGGGACAGTGGCCCCCGGGACAGGCCAGCAGGGTGTGCAGCAGGGACAGTGGCCCCCGGGACAGGCCAGGGGGGCGTCCAGCAGGGACAGTGGCCCCCGGGACAGGCCAGCAGGGTGTGCAGCAGGGACAGTGGCCCCCGGGACAGGCCAGGGGGGCGTCCAGCAGGGACAGTGGCCCCCGGGACAGGACAACGGGGCGTCCAGCAGGGACAGTGGCCCCCGGGACAGGCCAGGGGGGCATCCAGCAGGGACAGTGGCCCCCGGGACAGGCCAGCAGGGTGTGCAGCAGGGACAGTGGCCCCCGGGACAGGACAACGGGGCGTCCAGCAGGGACAGTGGCCCCCGGGACAGGCCAGGGGGGCGTCCAGCAGGGACAGTGGCCCCCGGGACAGACAGCGGGGCGTCCAGCAGGGACAGTGGCCCCCGGGACAGGACAGCGTGGCGTCCAGCAGGGACAGTGGCCCCCAGGACAGGACAGCAGCGTGTCCAGCAGGGACAGTGGCCCCCAGGACAGGACAGCGGGGTGTCCAGAGCCACAGCCAGAGCCTGGGTTCTCAGTACATGCTCCTCCCTGACAGGCAAATGCTCTGCTGGTCCCAAGTCTTGGGGGTGAGGCCCTGACAGGTCTGGGTGCACAGTAGGTGAGGGACCCACCACGGCGCTGGTACTGGCTGGGGCAGGCTCAGGACCCCCGTTCACGTCCACACTCCTGTCCCGCTTGGTGTCCTCCAGGTCTGTCACCGTGCTGGGGCCCTTCTTCTTCTTGAGCTTTGCCAAGATGGAGGACTCCCGCTCCGGGAATGGGGGCATCTCCTCCAGCACGGTCGCCTTGGAAAGAACACAGGGTGGGACTGGTCAGAGCTCCTGGCCTCCAACCCTCAGCCAAGCCAGCCCGAAGGGCGGGGGCCTCCTACCAGAATGTCGGTGCTGGCCACGGTGCTGAGCCGCAGGTACTCCACAGCACGCTGCTGCAGCTCCACGTCTGCGTTCCTGAGCTGGCTGTCGCTGCGCAGCACGTCCTGGATGGTGGGCTTCACCTCCGGGAAGAGGTTCACGAACTTGATGTAGGTGGACAGGAGCAGCGCGCGGGTGGGGACGCTGCACAGGTGGAACTTGGAGTGCAGCAGGTGGAACTGGATCAGCGGGCTGGGGACGGGGAGGCACAACACAGGGACACCGTCGTCCCCTCGCAGGCTGCAGCACGCCCCCGCGGGGGGGGGACGGCGGCGAGACCCCCTGGCCTGCACCAGAGGCCGCTGGTCGGGACCCTCTTCCAGCTCCAGATCCCACCGCAAAGACGCCCCTTTCACTAAGTCAGCCATCAACCCCACGTCTCCATTTTCTACTAGAATCCCTGCTTTTTCTATCAACTGAAGGAAAACAAAAAGACGCCGATGGGGAGCAGAAGCGGCTCTGCGAGGCCTCACGGCAGGGCCAGCTGGTGCCTCGCCTCTTGCCACCGACCACCGAGAGGCCCGCCGGAGCGCACACAGCCCCGACTCGCAAAGGGCCTCTCACCTGGATCTCGGGTCTCCAGCTATCAAGTTTCCAAACTCCCCCAGGATGTAGCCGCCCACTTTGACCAGGTTCTCGTGGCACGCGGGAGCCTGAAGAGCCTGCGAAGCACAAACAATGAGCCGGGGTGGCAGCCAGGTGCCAGAGTTAAGGCGAGGCGGGCACGTCCTGGCGCGGTGCACCCTACACCAGCACCAGCCCCTCAGCTTCCTGGAGACCCCAGTCCAAGTGCCCATCCCTGCCTTCCTCAGCACCCTCAGTACCTGTGTCAGCAGCAAGGAACCCAAGGCTGCCACACGCTGACCTGCCCTGGAGGGAGCTGCAGCATCCACAACAGGCTCTGGCTGGGGAGGTTCTGCCAGCGTCCTCATGGCACACCCCTTGCCGGTGGCCTAACCCTCTCCGACGGACAGGGCAGGCCCCACCACGGCATGCCCCAGCATGCTCTCACACACACAGAGGCCGGCTTTCTCAGGTGGCCCCCAGAGAGCCAGAAGTTTGAGAGTTAGGGTGAGAAGAAACTGGGACTCAGCAAGGGGCACCAACAGTGGAGGAGCTAGAGCCTCAGGGAAGAGCTGAGGGGCAAGAGGGGTCAGCAACGGCCCTCGGCACCTCCACGCAGGCAGGCTGGAACCACTCACTGCTCACCTTCTGCAACTGCCCTCCACCCCATCCTTCCTGCCATCCTGCGGGCCATACCTCGAACACAGTCTTGGCCGCGTAGCCCTGCACGTCGTCCCGGTTGATGACGATCTGAATGACTCGGTACCACACCTCTTCACTCACGTAATCACCAGCAATTCGGATCAAGTTCAAGATGGTATCCACATACCAGGTGTAGTCCACCGCGTACTTCTCAGCCAGGATGGCGACCTTCAGCACCTGTGGGGGACAGGCTGCTGAGGGCCGGCACCTGCAGGCCATGGCAATCCCAAGACCAAACTGTCGTCCAAAGTCAAAGTGAGAGTTTCAGAAGCACCTCAATGTGTCTACAAAAGTTTGGGACATGGAGGAAGCTTGAACTCGATTCTCAAAAAAGCCCACGAGCCCAGAAAGTTTAAGATGCCCTGACTTAAGCAAAGAAAGCCAGGAAGAGGCGGAGACCAGTGCACAGAAGGCCACGGCCACAGCCAGGCCACCTCCCACCTGGGCCCTTCTCTCCCAAAGCCCCAGCACCTGGCGGCAGCACTCCTCTGACCTCATCACCCTAGGCTCCCGGTGGCAGCACTCCTCTGACCTCTGACTGCGCCACCCTGGGCTCCCGGCGGCCAGTGACTGCGCCACCCTGGGCTCCCGGCGGCCACTTCTCTGCTGGTTTCTTCCGGCTCTGGCCAGTCTTTCCTGCGAGCCTCACCTGGGGGTTCCCCTTCTTCCCCTCTCTGGCTCACTCTCACGGGTGCCCCCCGGAGGCACCTGCCCAGCCCACACCCACGTGGCAGCCACCCACATGGAGCTCTGCCAGGCTGTACAACACCAAACTCATCTCCCCAAAGTCACCTCGCCTGGAACCAAGCCCCCTTCGAACAGCGCCAGCTGCCAACACCAACGCCAGCAGGCATCAAGACCGCGCACCTCCCGAGGGCACCCCTAATACCCTGCCGCCCCTCCCCACACCCTGCCGCCCCCTCTCCACACCCTGCCACTGGCCTCTCAGGTGCTGGTGACTGTGCCCCCCCACCCCAAGTCCCTGCCTGGAGCCTGGACCCCCAAACCCCAACCTGACTCCGTGACACTTCCAGGGCATCATTCCAAAATGTACTGCCTCTGAGCCCTACCCGCAGCTCACGGCTGTGCACCAGGGGCCCTCAGGCCTCACTGGCAGGGTCCCCATGTCTGCTTCCACCCCTGCCTCGCGTGCCCTGCTCCCCAGCCTGTGCTAAGGTACCTCCCACCCCTCCACGAACGGATGCTCTGCCCTCCCAGTAGCCTCTGCACCATCATCCTCTCCAGACCAGGCCACTATCACCTTCTGCAGAAGTCCACACAGCCCCCCAGGAGTGTAATGCCTCCTGAGGCCCCCAGAACATGAGGCACTTCCTCCAGCCATCCCACCCACAGCACAGCAACCCACGGTCCTGCTCTCAATCCGTCCCCCTCCATGGATGGCAAGGTGCCGAGTAGGCAGGGAGTGGGCCATGTCCAGTTTGGACACTTAGCACCTAGCACAGCCAGAGAACACGCCCTGCCATGCTCGACTGAAAGGACAGAGGGAAACACCATGCCCGGCTGAAAGGATGGAGGGGAGCACCATACCCGGCTGAAAGGACAGAGGGGAGCACCATACCCGGCTGAAAGGACGGAGGGGAGCACCATACCCGGCTGAAAGGACGGGGTGGGGGGAGCATCGTGCCCGGCTGAAAGGATGGAGGGGAGCACCATGCCCGGCTAAAAGGACGGAGGGGAGCACCATACCCGACTGAAAGGATGGGGTGGGGGGAGCACCATACCCGACTGAAAGGATGGGGTGGGGGGAGCACCATGCCCAGCTGAAAGGATGGGGTGGGGGGAGCACCATGCCCAGCTGAAAGGATGGGGTGGGGGGAGCACCATGCCCAGCTGAAAGGATGGGGTGAGGGGAGCACCATGCCCAGATGAAAGGACGGGGTGGGGGGAGCACCCTGCCCGGCTGAAAGGATGGGGTGGGGGGAGCACCATGCCCAGCTGAAAGGATGGGGTGGGGGAGCACCATGCCCAGCTGAAAGGATGGGGTGAGGGGAGCATCATGTCCGGCTGAAAGGACGGGCTGGGGGGAGCATCATGCAGGCCAAGACACAGCACCTGTCTTACTCCTCACAGCAGGAGCTGGCTGAGGATTGCCGCTCATCACGCAGAGGGGCGAGAGCAGACACCGGGCTGACGAATGCCCAGGACCTCAAAATCTGCACAACTGCACTCAGAAGCACACTGCTTCTGTCTCTGTTCAAAACACCCAGAACAACAATCAGGAACGAGGCTCCCGTGACGGCCGTCCCCAGAGCCAGCCCCACCCCACCACAAGTGCTGACACCAGGCCACACTGCCCCAGCCAGGCCAGAGAGGGACCACTGGCTACAGTCAACGAGCACCTGCCTGGCCCCTCTACAGACAGCCCTGCCCTACACCACGGTGCCTGCCCTTGGGGCCTCCTGCCGGGAGTCAGCCCACCCCGTCCCTGTCCCCCTCAACTTCCCAGGCCCACTGTCCTGGAGGGTGGACAGTCCAGCGTGAGAGCCGCCTCCTGGCCCCTGCTCTCTGCAGGTCTGCAGTGCCTCACTGAAGCTCAGTCCATGGTAATTTCACCCCTCAGCATTGAAGCCCCAGCACCTGGGCTCCTCCGTTCACTAAAAGACCCCTGAAAACCCGAGTCTCTCACCTGGGCATGACCACACAACACCTGCCCAGAGCAACCCTGTCACCTGCCACTAGCTCCAACACTGGCTCTCGGCAAAGCTCCCAAGGAGGCCTTGAGCCGCACTTCGCCCAAAAAAAACAAATAACAAAGCGCTTTCTATACAACGGAGGCGCTGTCTCAGCCTCAACAAGAGGCTGTGGTCCTGGCTGGTCACAGTGGCGAACCCCACGCGAGGACACCGGGCCTCCCCCTTAAACCCCACCATCCACAGACACGGTGAGCCTGAGAGGCCTGTGAGTGTGGTGGAGGCCTCAGGCCCTCTTCTCTGCTGACCATGTGGCCTCCACAAGGGTTTCTTCCCTCAGGTTTTGGTTCATGCTCAGTCTTTCACACGTACAGGTTTGATGAGCTTCAGCTATCTGGCAAGTGTGCACACCTACTTTGT
Source organism: Homo sapiens (assembly GCF_000001405.40). Taxonomy (NCBI): domain Eukaryota; kingdom Metazoa; phylum Chordata; class Mammalia; order Primates; family Hominidae; genus Homo; species Homo sapiens. The sequence continues at coordinate 989,608 of NC_000011.10, read as the reverse complement.
GAATAAAAACAACACGGGACATTAAGCTATGGCCTAGATCCCGTCCTTCCCAGAGATCAAGAGGGACACCCAAAAAAGCCAAGCCACAAAGGATTAATTCAAGGGCTCAAAATGCAACACAATTAAAAGAATTTTGCCCACAGGAGTCTGGATTTGTGCAGCCCCAGCGCAGACGGCTGGAGCCTCACTCAGACCTGGGGCTACAGTGCCACCACTGCAAGGACAGGCAGGCCACAGAAGCCGCGCAGGACGGGCATTTTAGTTTTTTTTTTTTTGAGACAGAGTTTCGCTCTTGTTGCTCAGGCTGGAGTGCAATGGCGCAATCTCGGCTCACCACAACCTCCGCCTCCGCCTCCCGGGTTCAAGCGATTCTCCTGCCTCAGCCTCCGGAGTAGCTGGCATTACAGGCATGCGCCACTACGCCCGGCTAATTTTGTATTTTCAGTAGAGACGGGGTCAGGGTTTCCCCATGTTTGTCAGGCTGGTCTTGAACTCCTGACCTCAGGTGATCCGCCCGCCTTGGCCTCCCAAGGTGTACAGGCGTGAGCCACCACACCCGGCCAATAGTTATTTTCAAGACCAAACGACTCTACCAAAAATGCTGATTTTTTTTTAAGACAGGGTCTCGCTGTGTTGCCCAGGCTAGAGTGCAGTGACATGATCTCGACTCACTGCAGCCTCAACCTCCTGGCCTCAGGTGATCCTCCCGCCTCCACCTCAGGAGTAGCGGGGACCACAGGTGCCACCACACCCAGCTTGAAAATGTGGATGAAAACACAGAGGCAGAGGAGCCTTGTATTCAGCATCTCATGGGTTCTCAATCAAGTCCTGCTGGACGGAATCGCAGAGCACGAAGGAAATCCTGCCGCTGAGATTCACGCCTGTGGCAGGAGAGGACTCAGAGGCCACCAGAACTCACAATCTCTTCTCGGATGGAGTAGTCAGCTGTCTCCAGATAGCTCAGCATCTCGGCCACGATCTGTGGGGCGTTGCTGCGGTCGCACATGGCGTAGAGGAGGTCCACGGCCCGCTGCCGCACGCTCACGTCCCGCTCAGTCTGGGGAACAAGGCACAGAGTAAGAGGTCGCAGGAGCAAGGCACAAGCTTGGGGACAGGCTGGGGACAGGCTCGGCACCCGCATCTCAACACCCACTCTGAGTTTCCCTCACATGCACATCCAGGTCCAGGGAGCCGACCTGCACTCGGGCCACGTGTGTCTGGACAGCCCGGAATAGAGTTCCGCCTGCTGGCCCGGCCCTCCCGCACAGGCCAGCTTCGCTAGGACCCAGCGCACTGCCTGGATTCTGCCCGCTCGTCCATGCCTCCCTTGCCCTCCACAAGGGCCAGCTTCGCTAGGACTGAGCGCACTGCCTGGTGCAGGCCATCAAGGACTCCCTTCCATGCAGCCAAAGACCCCACTGCCTCGGACACGGAGCTGCCCCAAGGCAGGTCCTCACGCCCCACCCCAGAGCCCGTGCTGATGGGCCCCCAGGAGGCTCTGCAGCACGAGAAAGCCCGAGCTCTGCTCCCAACAAAGGCAGGAGAGTGGGCACCACCAGCGCTAGCACTGGCCGTGTGCAAATGAGTGTCCAGCCCTTCTGACAATAGGGATTGACTAAAACAAACACCAAAACCAGGACCAAGAAGAATCCAGAATACCAAATGCCCACCACGAGCCCCTTGCACACCACCCGGAATATCTGTGAGCTGCACGCAGACGTGCGGGGGACTGGGAGCAGCCCTGCCACAGCCTGAGGCTGAGCCAGATGGGGGACATGCAGCTCCCCGCCTCCCACTCCCTAACGCATGTGCACCGGTGACTAGGGACTTGGTGGACACACCGCAGGGTCCCCTATGTGGAACGAACCCTCGGGGTCGCTCTGGAGACTCGCAAAGGCTGGCAATGGCCAACCTCAACTGGGCTCTTCCAACTCTGAAATTTTTTTTTTTTTTTGAGACGGAGTCTCGCTCTGTCGCCCACGCTGGAGTGCAGTGGCGCGATCTCGGCTCACTGCAAGCTCCGCCTCTTGGGTTCAAGCCATTCTTCTGCCTGAGCCTCCTGAGTAGCTGGGACTACAGGCACCGGCCGCCACCACGCCCGGCTAATTTTTTTTTGCATTTTTAGTAAAGACGGGGTTTCACCGTGTTAGCCGGGATGGTCTCGATCTCCTGACCTTGTGATCCACCCGCCTCGGCCTCCCAAAGTGCTGGGATTACAGGCGTCAGCCACCGCGCCCGGCCCCAACTCTGAAATTTTAATCCCCGAACAAAGTGAGTTTCCTTTGTAAAAGGGGGATTTTCTTGGAGATAAGGGAAAAAAATTTCATCTTTCTACCAAGAAGAACCATTTCTACTTGTCAGCACTATGCACGCGCAGGATGGCACACGGGGGCTGCCCCCAGCAGGGAAAGGGCTGCCAGAGACTCCTCTGCTCAGCCTAACCAGGACAGCAGGGCCAACCCGGCCATCTCCAGGCAGCATGGCCCTCAACAGTGGTGTGACCTCCCAAGAGTAGGTGACAGGCGGAGGCCAGCAGCACCAGCACCACCTCCATCTCTGCGGGGAGTCAGGAGGCACTGCGTACCCCCAGCCTTCACAGGAAGACCCACGGCACCTGCTCAGGGAGTGAGCAGAACCCAAGGACAGGGCACTCGCCTTCAGGGCGTTGATGACCGTCTCGATGTGCGTCTTGACAGCCTCATGGGAGAACTCAGAGCTGGCCAGCGTGCACATGCTCTCCAGGGCCAGGTAGCGCAGGTTGGTCTCGCGGTGCTGCAGAAACTGGCCCAACTGGTTGCAGGCACGGACGAGCAGGTTCGGCTCACTGTGTGGAGGGAGGGGAAGTGGGTGGGGTTTCCTCAGCAAGTGCAACACAAACTGGACAGAGTCTGCGTTCCCCGACGGGTCCAGATGGCAGACAGCAAAGTCACACGGCACTCACCGCCACCACACTGCTCAAGTGGGAACTCGGGGGCCTCCCCAGATGCAGATGACGCCCGACCCCCACCCCTGACATCCATTTTGTGTCCATCCTGTGCATCCCCACAGTGAGTCAGCAGCCCGTGTGTCCACTGGAGCCTTCCCAGCACCTCCTGAGCCTCAATCTGCATCAGGCCCGCGGGAGGCCGGTCAAGCTGTGACCGGCAATGGGGTCTCAGCCAGAGGCACCAGCCCAGGGCAGGGAGAAGGCCGAGAAGGCCGGGAGCGCGGCTGCTGCCCCACTGACTCTACTGTCTCCTCAGGATGTGGCTTCTCCTCACATAACAACAGAGCTTTCTCCAAAATGGGAAATTTCAGTTTTAATAACTCTCAGTTCTGAAGTGTGACTCTCAGACTGAGTTTTCATCATTTGTAAAAATGCTGTAGTAGCAAATGGGTGGTGTTCACAAGCTGTAGAGAGCGTCTGCCCACAGCCTGGCACGTGCCCTCATTATTGGGAGCCTGGTGAGAACTGCGATCTCATTCTCACAGGACCCTAAAGCATGGCCCCACACGCAAGACCCACGCCAGACCACATGTGGTGCGCCGCAACTGCTGAGCAGAGAAGGCGTGGGAGCAGAGGAGGCAGACCCTCCAGGCTGTGTGGAGCGACCGCCACCCTGCGCCTCTGCGCTTCGTGGATGGGCACAGACGTTTCCAGCACTGCCCTGCGACCCTGGACCCACCAAGTGCGGCTCCACATCCAGCAAAGCCACGGGACATGCGCGCACACCCCCCACCCCACCCGTCTCCTCTCTGTTCCACTACATGAGAAGCCAGTCAGGAGTGGGGATGCTCAGGGGAAGGAGGAAAAGGCCCTCGTGTGGGATGAGACCACAGTCACCAAAGCAATCCACGGTGAGCTCAGAGCAGGAGGGGCCGGGCTGCACAGAAAGAAAAAAAGCATCCGGCAGGGAGCACAGAGGCAGGACGAAGGGGAGGCCCATGGAGTGGACAAACCAGACATGATCCGCCCAGTCTCGTGCCAACGAGAAGGAACGTGTGTGTGTGCGCGAGACGAAGCCTCTCCACAGGCAGCCGACACACCTGTCATGGTGAATGATTAAGCTGATGGCCTCGAAGAGCACGGCATTCTTCGCGTTGGAGTGCTGGACCTTCTTCGACTTGGGCGGTTCTTGGGCTTTGTTCAGGATGGTCTCCAGGCACTCAGTCAGGCGGCCTCGCACTGCAGGGTCTTCTGGGCAAGACAGAACGGTGCTCACCAGTCTCCAGTGGCCCGCAGCCCACCCTGCCCCTCCCGGCTGCACCCATACATCATGAGAGCATTTTTAATATAGTTCATTCACATTTGTGTACCCAGCTGGAAGCATTTACAAAACTGAGACAGGCCGGGCACGGTGGCTCACTTCTGTAATCCCAGCACTTTGGGAGGCCGAGGCAGGCCAGTCACCTGAGGTCAGGAGTTCAAGAACAGACTGGCCAACATGGTGAAACCCCGTCTCTACAAAAACGCAAAAGTTAGCCGGGTATGATGGCAGGTGCCTGTAATCCCAGCTACTCAGGAAGATGAGGTGGGAGAATCGCTTGAACCCGGGAGGCAGAGGTTGCAGTGAGCTGAGGTCGCGTCACTGCACTCCAGCCTGGGCAACAAAGGGAGACTCCATCTCAAAAAGAAAACCTGCACAAATCTGATACTATAAAAGCACAAATAGACCCAAACACTAACAAAACTGTAGGCTCTGCAATAACTGCTCCACGAAAGCCAGCGCATACAGCAGCACTGGCAGAAAGGTCCATGAATCAAGAGACAGGGCTAGTAACACACTTCTTAAAATAACAAACAAACCACTTAAATCTGAGACAGGGAATCAGACTGGCACTGGTGCAGCTTCAGGAGCCGCGGCCTGCGCGTTACCTGGGGGTGGGTAGCACTGCAGCAGTCTCAGCAGTTTGACAGACAGCCAGGGAGCCGGGACAAAATAGTAAGTGTAATCCTGGAGATCTGTGGATGCAGACGTCACGATCTGTAAGACAGCACAGGCAATGAGACACGCTGCCGGACACGAGCCCCTACTGCGGGGACCCAAAGAAAAGCCATACTCACTCCTCGGGTCACGCCTGAGCTGGAAAAATGGTTTTGTTTCATGTGCCAAGAGTGTCTGACACTGCTTGGTACCCCCTGGGTTCGCCGTGAGAGGGCTGCACTGTCACTCGGCAACACGCTGCCGCAGCTGAGTGGCAGCCCTCGCTCGGTACAAGACACCATAGCACCTGGATTTGAAACTACAGTCTTTCCTTTGTGGACCGGCACGTGAATGAAATCAGAGAGAGAGCTTTAGCCTCCTCAGAAGGAAGAAGCACCCCCACCCCCAGAAGCCGGCATTCTGACCCTACCCCACAACCCCACAGGGCCCCCCGACCACAGGCCAACCCAGATGGTGAGCTCACGGAGGCAGGGAGACTGCCCACCTCACTCACATCCCATCTCTGTGTCCAATGCGGCCTTTGGCTTGGCAGATCCTCCGTCAACCTCCTGAACAAGTGACAATCACGACTACCTCGCATTTCCACTGACATACAGCCCGATGTCTCCTGTTTCCCGGAGGTCAGGGTAGTTCCTCCCTTCCTACAAAGCTCACATGTGACACTTTTAGGCCGTAAGTGAACCCATTCAGAAAAGTTCACCCTGACTCCTACCCTAAACTGCAAGATGCCAGCCCAGACTTGGGTCACGGACTCCTGCTGCAAGGAGGCAAGCTCTAGGCTGTCAAAGACAAGGCTGAAAGGCACAAACACAAAGCAGGAAAAGGCAAGAATCACAGCACTTCCGTGACACACAGACACGGCCAACATGAGCTGTCTCTCAAACAAGTACGCACCTAAGGCCGGGCTCAGAGAGAAATGTACAGCCTTAACTGTATATATTTGAAACAAATATAAAGAGAAAAGCAACAAAAATTCATCTCAAGCGTTTAAAAAGAGACTAGGCCAGGTGCGGTGGCTCCCGCCTGTAATCCCAGCACTTTGAGAGGCCAAGGCGGGCGGATCACAAGGTCAGGAGATCGAGACCATCCTGGCTAACACAGTGAAACCCCATCTCTACTAAAAAATACAAAAAATTAGCCAGGCATGGTGGCGGGCGCCTGTAGTCCCAGCTACTCGAGAGGCTGAGGCAGGAGAATGGCGTGAACCCAGGAGGCGGAGCTTGTAGTGAGCCAAGATCGTGCCACTGCACTCCAGCCTGGGCGACAGAGTGAGACTCCATCTCAAAATAAATAAATAAATAAATAAATAAATAATAAAAAGAGACTAGCAAATTAACCCAAAGAAAGTAGAGGAAAGGAGTCCAGGTGCGGTGTCTCATGCCTATAATGCCAGCACTGTGGGAGGCCAAGGCAGGTGCAATCAATCACTTGAGGTCGGGAGTTCGCAACCAGCCTGGCCATTGTGGTGAAACCCCATCTCCATCAAAAATATACAAAAATTAACTGGGCGTGGTGGCGACGGCCTGTAGTCCCAGCTACTCGGGAGGCTGAGGTAGGAGAATCGCTTGAACACAAGCAGAGGTTGTGGTAAACCGAGATCGTGCCATTGCACTCCAACCTGGGCAACAGAGTGCGACTCCGACTCAAAAAAAAAAAAAAAAAAAAAGAAAAAGAAAATATGCACAGTTCCACAACTTATAAAATAAATTGAATTCATAATTAGAAAGTTTCACAGCCAGGCGCAGGGGCTCACACCTGTAATCCCAGCACTTTGGGAGGCCAAGGTGGGCAGATCACCTGAGGTCAGGAGTTCGAGACCAGCCTGACCAACATGGAAAAACCCCATCTCTACTAAAAATACAAAATTAGCCAGGCGTGCTGGCGGGCGCCTGTTAATCCCAGCTACTCGGGAGGCTGAGGCAGGAGAACCGCTTGAACCTGGGAGGCAGAGATTATGGTGAGCCGAGATCGTACCACTGCACTCCAACCTGGGCACCAAGAGCGAGACCCTATCTCAAAAAAAAAAAAAAAGTTTCCCACAAAGAAAACTGCAAGTTCAAATGTTTTTACCAGTTAATGATAAAAACTGTTTGACAAACTAGATAGAGAAAGGAACTTCTTTAATGTGAAGAGTACCAACGACAACAACAAAATTCTAAAGCAGACATCATACTTAATGGTGAAATATTCAACACAAAAAACGGACAACCCAGGGTAAAAATGGGTAAAAGACTCAGGCACTTCACAAAACAAGACACCCAAACAGCCAATCAACATGCAAAGTTGCTCAACCTCATTGATAATCTGGAAAATGTAGATTTAAATCTCAAAGAGGCCGGGTGCGGTGGCTCACGCCTATAATTCCAGCAGTTTGGGAGGCCAAAGCAGGAAGATTGCTTGAGGTCAGGAGTTCAAGACCAGCCTGGCCAACATGGTGAAACCTCATCTCTGCTAAAAATACAAAAATTAGCCAGGCTTGGTGGTGGGTGCCTGTAATCCCAGCTACTCTGGAGGCTGAGGCAGGAGAATCCCTTGAATCCAGGAGACAGAGGTGGCAGTGAGCTGAGACTGCACCACTGCACTCTAGCCTGGGCGACAAAGTGAGACTCTGTCTCAAAAGAAAAAAATAAAAAATAAATCACAGAGCTCCCACTATACACCCAGATGACTAAAACCCAAGAGACTAGCACTACGCGTGCCGCGCCCGCGCCTCCTGCTGCCGCTGTGAGAGCCGTGTGCACGGCAGGGGAAGCTGGTCTGGCAACGCCAGTCTCCTCAGGTTCAGGAGCCGCGGCCCCAGCTGAGCCATCTCGTGCACATGGAAACCAAGGGACATCCAAGACTGCTCATGCTGGAGGATTCACAGCAGCCTCAGAGGGCAAGGAGCTAAGTGTTCAACAGGACAGCAGGTAAACTGCAGCGGACAATTCACACAACCAATTCTATGAAGCATCAAACATGAATGTATAACAGCTGCACACAAAACAAAAATTTTACCATGTTGAGCAAAACAAAAGAATGTGTGCTGCAGGTCCATCTGCATCAAACTCAGAACAGGAAGCTGAATGGCAGGCTTTAGCGTGCACGCCAGATGGTGGGTCCACGAAGCACCAGCCACGCTTCCCCAGTGGGGGACACGGGGCCACTGGGTGCCCCTCCTCCACCCACATGGTGTTGGGTGCTCACTCACACCATGGGAACAGGGAGCTGTGCTTCTGTACAGACAGGACAGTTCTCAACAAGAAGGCTGACAGAGAAGCCAAGTTGGTTTTCATCCCTGAATTTATAAACTGATCAAATACCTTGCATTCTACAAATAAGCTAATAAATAAATAACTAAGACAAAACCCACCCTGACTTCTGCTCCCCCACGAACAGACTTACTCTGCTTAGCCTAGAGACAGCCAGAGACACGGAGGTTTTAAACTCTTCTGGGTTCTTCTGTGCTAAAGTGGTGATCAGACTTGTGGCTGCAGTTACCACACCCTGAAAGAAAACACACACACAAGAGTCAGAACACTTGAAGCTAACCACTTGTGTTCACTCATCTTCCAAAGAAAACCTTAAACCAACCAGCAGCACAGTGGCAGCCCACAGCCACCTCGGCCTCAGGCCTACTCCGAGAAACCTACAATGTTCTCCCAGATGGCACATGCAGATTTTCTTTTTCCAGCTTCTCCTTAAAAACTGGGAAGTTCCGTCATGCTTAGCCCAGATCCCTGCCAGCATCGAAGAGCCAGAGGGCCACGTCCAGCCATGCAGGTCAAGCATGTGGGCTGCACACGCCACCTTGCCTGCTGCCCTCTCCTGGCCTGGCCTCCACCGTCATCTGCACTTGCTGCCTCTGGTTTAATAACGCATGTTCACTGTAGAGGGAGACGCTACCTTTACACTGATCTGAATCTTTACAACCCAGAAGTGAGACTATAGAAAAGAGCAACTGGAGAAGTCCTTTTCCATTCTCCTTTTTGGAAAGTGGCCCTGGCAGTCACTCAACCACCATAGGCTGGATGAGGCCACTAGGCCCAGCACGCGAGTCCTCCCTCCCCGCTCCTCCTGGCCCTCAGTGAGAACAGATTCAGATCCCAGGGCACAAGCAGTCCTCCCCAAAGCACCGGGCAGCCTGTCACCGCTCCAGGACACGGCACCGGGCAGCCTGTCACCGCTCCAGGACACGGCACCGGGCACCCTGTCACCGCTCCAGGACACGGCACCGGGCACCCTGTCACCGCTCCAGGACACGGCACCGGGCAGCCTGTCACCGCTCCAGGACACGGCACCGGGCACCCTGTCACCGCTCCAGGACACGGCACCGGGCAGCCTGTCACCGCTCCAGGACACGGCACCGGGCAGCCTGTCACCGCTCCAGGACACGGCACCGGGCAGCCTGTCACCGCTCCAGGACACGGCACCGGGCAGCCTGTCACCGCTCCAGGACACGGCACCGGGCAGCCTGTCACCGCTCCAGGACACGGCACCGGGCAGCCTGTCACCGCTCCAGGACACGGCACCGGGCAGCCTGTCACCGCTCCAGGACACGGCACCGGGCAGCCTGTCACCGCTCCAGGACACGGCACCGGGCAGCCTGTCACCGCTCCAGGACACGGCACCGGGCAGCCTGTCACCGCTCCAGGACACGGCACCGGGCAGCCTGTCACCGCTCCAGGACAGCCACTAGGGAATCAGTCACTCAGACCTCTTGAAAAAAGACTTTAATTATATAAAGACATTCTCCCATAAATTTTTTTAAAAAATATAAAATAAATGATACCTATTCACTCTGAAGATGTAAACAGTGAGCTCAGGAAGTGTCTACTTGCGTGGGCACGGTGGCTTATGCTGTAATCCCAGCACTTTGGGAGGCCGAAGCAGGCGGATCCCCTGAGGTCAGGAGCTCAAGACCAGCCTGGCCAACACGGTGAAACCCCATCTCTACTAAAAATACAAATATTATCCAGGCGTGGTGGCACTCGCCTCGCCTGTAATCCCAGCTACTCGGGAAGCTGAGGCAGGACAATCGCCTGAACCCAGGAGGCAGAGGTTGCAGTGAGCTGAGATCGCGCCACTGCACTCCAGCCTGGGTGACAGAGCAAGCCTCTGTCTGAAAGGAAATGTCTACTTGAATGACTGATGCAATCCCCCCACCACTCGCCCTGTGCCACGGCTCCTCAGCCAGGCTGGGGTGCACCTACTATAGCACGGCACTCTCCCCAGAGACCTGCTGTGCCTGTGCCCTCAGCTTTCCAAGGAAAATGTGAAAGCTGTAAGAAAGAAATTGGTCTGATTGGTCTTCTTCCTGTATTTCTCGGTGAGCAAAGTGCTAACGGATTTTGCCATGTCCAATAAAGAACTTGTAAGAAACTGCAGGTCTGTAACTTCCATGAGGGCAGAGTCATTCCCCACGGGGCTCCTGAATGTTCACGGTGTGTTCCCCCAGGAAACACGCATCTAGAATGCCCCCTGCAACAGGCTGACAGGCGCGGAGCTCAGCCTCTCATTTAGGACGTCCTCCCCCTGCACTGAGACTGTAAGAGGCCTCTCGAGGGGCACACTCAGGCCCGCGACACGTGGCCCCACCCCTGTGGTGGCAGCTGGTGCCAAAGCGACCTCCGTGTCTCCTCAGTGGCCTCCAGCCCTTGGCCCAGCCCCCCAACCCTTCTCCCCATGGTGTCTCCTGTCCTTGTCCACTCCAACCTGTCTGCTCCATCAGGCCACCCTCAGGCTACAGACCCAAGGCTCGGCACGGTGCCCATGCAGCACTCGGGCCAAATCACCTCCCTCCCCACCACCCAACTCCGGGCGCAGGCCTGACCGCCGACCTTCTGACCCTCACCCACCTGGTCCCGCCCACGCTTCCTGTCCCACTCCACAAGACCTCCCTGAAGGACACATGGGGGAGCTCACTCACTCTAGGTGAGCAAATGACACCTTTCTTGGGGGCTCCTGACTTGAGACCAGAGAAGCCAAGCCTCAGGCCTTCGCTGTCAGAGGTGGAAGGCATTTGACAAAAGCCATGGCCACACAAAAGACAGCTGCCAGGGGTGCAGGTGCGCAAGCTGGGAGAGCTAAGGAGGGAAAGTACTGGGCAGCAGGGAGCCCACCCTGGGGTTGGCTGTGGCGTCCCTTCAGGATGAGTTTCCGTTGCCTATAACCAAGAATATGCTGACTCAAGTGCCTGGTGAAATAAAGCCAGATGCATAAAAATACAAAAAGCAAACCAAGTAGCTGGCGTCACAGAATCATAAAGTATCCAAGGAGAGGTGCCCTTGTGGCCATCTGAGGCAAGGCCCTGCCACCCTGAAAAGCACTCAGGGTGACCCTGCGGCTGCATGGCCATGGAAACTTCCTGCCAAGGCAGGAGCAATGACAGCAGTCCCGGCCAGTCCCACAGAGCGTGCACAGATCCTGTCTGCAGAAGGCCCAGGGGAAAGCAGGCAGCCCCGGTCCCTCAGCAGCCCAGTGACCGGCTGCCATGTGCAGCAGGAGCCCGGGGCCTGCCTCCCTGACCAGGCCCTGCCGACTCACAGCTCCCACATAGCTGCTTCACCCGCACACTCTCTGACGCCCAAGACCCCAACACGCCAACTCTGGGTACAGGCCTGGGGCTGTCAGAGGGCATTTCCTCTTTCCCAGCTTCGGCCTCCTTGACTGCAAAGCGGGAAAATCCCATGACCTCCCACGGTCCACGGGATGGTGGACGACAGCCTCCAGCAGCACCGTCTGAAAGGCTCCCCCGCCAGGATGGGGCTCACGGCAACATGGGAAAGTGGCATTCTCGGCCCTCTATCCTGGATCCTTGTGAACGCGTGACCGGCCCACATGCCTCTCCACGCAGCAGGAAATACTTCCACTCCTGCCAACTCTCACCCTCTCATTCATAGAGCAGAGTTCAGGCAGGACAAGCACATTCTGCCCACATCCACCCCTGCTGGATGCGGTGGACGGCTCTGTGACCCTCAAGCCCCTGAGGCTCACACACTAGCACAGCCCCTCCCCCACACGTGCCTCTCACAGCACCTGAACACACATCACCAAATCGCTGGAAACCTCCACCCTTGGTGTATGCCTATACCATGGGGGCCTGGCCCGTGGAGTAGGCACGAGGATTAGTAAGACTGCACGTTAGAGCCTAGATGAGGGCACAGGCAGCCGGGACACCAGGCAGGAGCTCCGCATACTAGATAGGTGTTTCCAGGAGACACGTGTCTCAGCTGGGGGTGTCTGCAGAGCCTCTGTGCTACCCGAGGGCTTCAGCCAATGCCTGGCCACAGGATGAGCAGAGGCGGAGTCTTACTCATCCAGCCCCAGGAAGGGCCCCCGTGGCCTCAGCACGCAGCCACAGCAGCCCCTGTGACAGCCTCTCCTGGGCATCCCGAGAAGGCGCACCATGGTGTCTTCACAACGGCCATCCCAAAGGTCACCTGGGGGAGCGGGGAGAACCAAAGCCAAGGGTGCTTACCAAGTGCTGGTCATTGAGCAGGTGCACCACTCGGGATGTCCAGTCGCCCATGGGGACAAGATCGGGGGACGTCCTGTACAGGCGCAGCAAGCACAGGGCCGCGCTCTGCTTCACGCTGTCCATAGTGTCTCTGAAAGACAGACGTCAAGAGTCACTCGCAACAGGCTGAAGACAGCGCAGAGCTGCACGGAGCACCCCCCCAGAGCCAGCAGGAGACGCGGGGGTGGGGCTGGCGCAGGGGCCAAGACAGCACTCAGGGCCGCCTGCCGAGGCCGCCTAGGGGGCAGCAGCAGTGTTCTCAGCATACATGGGCCCTGCTCCAAAGGTCTCCCTGCCAACCTTCTCACCACCAAAACCACCAGCCGACCACATGCAGCTCACATTGCTCATTTGTTGTTTGAACAATAGCTTTCTTGTTGTTGTTGTTACAACTTAATAATCCACAATCACAACAGAAATGCTTGGAGGGCCCTGCACCGCCATGGAGCTCCACATCTGCTTGATGATCTTCCCCTGCCCCACGCCCACCCTCACCCCACCACGCCCCACCCTGAACAGTGGGCTGGGCCACACATGCCCTTGCCCCTGGAGCAAAGGGCTTCGGGTCCCTACAGACACGGTGGGAAGGGAGCCGGCCATGGCTCTCCTGCTCTGCTGCCAACATGCTTGTCCAGGGCACAGACGTGTTCCATGCTCCGCTTATCCCCCTTCGCCCTCCTGCCACCAGATTCTGCTAAGCAGCTGGGAAGGCAACAGGGACCCTGGGGTGGACGCTGTGGAGGCACAGCTGAAAAAGGGCCAGTCTCTTCTCCAAGCGCTTAACAGAATCAGCTGGAATCTGCTGCCCCACATGGAAGGCAGAAAAGGGTATAGGGACTACCTGTACCATTTACCTTTTGGCTTTTTTATTCCTAAATCTCCCCCTATACTATTCCAAAAAATTACTTTGAATAAAAAATTCCCCTTCTGGGTGCCAACGCCCCTGCAAGGAGGAGTAGGTATTGTGTCCCTCTTCCGGCCCACCCCATCCTCACCAGATCAGCCCAGAGCAGCAACCGCACACACACCCTGCCATGCGTCCATGTGGATGTGTGGTCGAGGCCACGTCAGGGGTGTGTTCCAGGCGCCAGCAGGGCTGTCCTTGCCAGGCGGCTTCAGGACCCCATGACTGGGCCCCCAGCAGTCCTTCAACATAGAAGAGCCAACCAGGTTCCATGCTTGTGGCTACAAATGCCGACACACGAGGGCGCCCAGCATGCCACACTCCTCAGAGAGGAGGAGGATCCGCCTCCTCTTTTAGGCAGAAGAACACAGTCTAAATCATCAGCTCACACCAAGGGGACGGGGGCCCCACCACTACTCTCCGGTGTCAGCTCACACGAGGGAGACCGAGGACCCCACCATTACTTTCCAGCATCTGCTCACACAAGGGAGACAGAGGACCCCACCGCCACTCTCCGACGTCGGCTCACACGAGGGAGACCAAGGATCCCACAGCTACTCGCCGACGTCGGCTCACACGAGGGAGACCGAGGACCCCACCGCTACTCTCCGAGGTCGGCTCACACGAGGGAGACCGAGGACCCCACCGCTACTCTCCGACGTCGGCTCACACGAGGGAGACCGAGGACCCCACCGCTACTCTCCGACGTCGGCTCACACGAGGGAGACCGAGGACCCCACTGCTACTCACTAATGTCGGCTCGTAAGAGGGAGACCGAGGACCCCACCACTACTCTCCGATGTCGGCTCACACGAGGGAGACCGAGGACCCCACCGCTACTCTCCGACGTCGGCTCACACAAGGGAGACCGAGGACCCCACTGCTACTCACTAATGTCGGCTCGTAAGAGGGAGACCGAGGACCCCACCACTACTCTCCGACGTCAGCTCACACGAGGGAGACCGAGGACCCCACTGCTACTCTCCGATGTCGGCTCACACGAGGGATACCGAGGACCCTACAGCTACTCGCTAATGTCGGCTCACACGAGGGAGACCGAGGACCCCACGGCTACTCTGCACCTCCACGGGTTCTCTTTCCACCAACTCCGTCCATCCCAGCAGAGACACCACCCCACTCTTCTGCCTTGGCCGCTGCCTCCCGTCCCTACCTCTGGCCCTAGGAATGACCTGACCTCCTCAGCACCTACTCTGTCCTTCCATTTCTAGGTGACACACACACCAGCAGTCCTCCAATGACAGCACCTCCTTCCCGAGCATGTTTTTGTTTTTGTTTTTGAGACAGAGTCTCGCTCTTTCGCCAGGCTGGAGTACAGTGGAGCAATCTCGGCTCACTGCAACCTCCGCCTCCCGGGTTCAAGCGATTCTCCTGCCTCAGCCTCCTGAGTAACTGGGACTACAGGAGGGCGCCACCATGCCCAGCTAATTTTTCTGGTTTTAGTAGAGACGGGGTTTCACCATGTTGGCCAGGATGGTCTCGAGCTCTTGAACTCATGATCTGCCCGTCTCAGCCTCCCAAAGTACTGGGATTACAGGCATGAGCCACCATGCCCAGCTTTCTTTTTTTTTTTTTTTTTTTGAGACAGAGTCTTATTCTGTTGCCCAGGCTGGTGTGTAGTGGTGCAATCTCCAACTTACTGCAGCCTCCGCCTCCTGGGTTCAAGCGATTCTCCTGCCTCAAGCCTTCTGAGTAGCTGGGACTACAGGTGAGCACCACCACACCCAGCTAATTTTTGTATTTTTAGTAGAGACGGGGTTTCGCCATGTTGGCCGGGCTGGTCTCAAACTCCTGACCTCAGGCCCGCCCACCTTGGCCTTCCAAGTGCTGGGATTACATGCGTGAGCCACTGTGCCCAGCCTTAGCATATTACTTTGAGTCATCTACTACTTAGCTGGATTTCAACAACTAGCCCTTTTCTTCAAGGAAGGCCCATGGGTACCATGTTACCTGAGCTCTCTGAGGTAGGAGAACCCTGCCTGTGACCTTCATCCCCATGGGACCACTCAGGCACCAGAACACGGGCCACCCACTCCCTTCATGGGACCACTCAGGCACCAGAACACGGGCCACCCACTCCCTTCATGGGACCACTCAGGCACCAGAACACGGGCCACCTGCTCCCTTCTGGCTGCAGATGCTGTGCACTGGCCACCTGCTCCCTTCCAGCCGCAGATGCACTGCACTGGCCCCTGGAGACCCCTCCTCACCCTGGCTCCTCCCTCCTCTGTCCCTGGCTCCTGCAGCAGGTCCTCGGTTCAGGTAGTGCCCCACTTCATCAATCTGCACGTGCCTCAGGGGTGGCCCTGTCTTGCATTCCGCTCACGCGCAGACATCCACCAAGCACCTACTAGGGACCTGGTACTGTTCAAGATGCTAGGTTTGTAAAGCGGCCACCACAGTGGACAGAAACCTCAGAGCCCAGGAAGCTTCCACCCCAAGGGTGGAAACAGGTAATAAACAGGCAAGCAACAACCCTGGGGGCAGGAGGAGAGGGAGGGCCAGGAGGCCGTGGCCCTGAGGCAGAATCCACTGGACCTGCTGGCTGGTTTCGACCCCCAGCCCCACCCTCCCTCTCCTGCACCAGCGCCCTGTGATCATTCGAGCCTTCCTTCCATCTTGGGCACCCTGTTTTCGGGGCGCCCACATGCTCTGCCACCTATGACTGAATGGCCTGAGGAGCAACAGTGCCTTCAGGCACTGCGCCTGCTCCCCCGGCTCGGTGGTTCTGCTCCTGTCCATCCTACTGTGGGGTCACCCATCTCTGAGCTCTTGCGCTTCTGAATATCTGTCTTCTCGTGGTTATGCTGCGGTCTCTCTGCCAGCCGGGCTCCTCCTTGCCTCACAGCTGACAGGAGGCTGCCTCATTCTCTATTGTGGGACGTCCTCACCTCACAGCTGATAGAAGGCTGCCTCATTCTCTGTTGTGGAGCATCCTGAGTGGTGTGGGGTGCAGCACCCTGGTCTCTACCCACTGTGACAACCAAAAATGCCCCAAGACACGGCCCAGTACCCTCACAAAGCCAATGTGGCCCAGTTGAGACGCCGGTCTAGGCCTGTTTCTCTCATGCCTTCCCACCACCTTGTCTCCAGTCCTCACTGTGTGGTCTGGGTGGATGTCCACCCACTCTCCCGTGGCCTGAGGCCTAGCTCAGCCGGGTGGCACCGTGTGGGCGAGGGGTCAGTTTCCCAACTCCGCAGGGTATCCTGGAACACACAGGTGGGGGCCCTGCCTGTGGCACAGACACCCCAGGGTTGCTTTAAGCTCTTCCAGAGCTGGTGACTCAGCCCCTCGAGGCTTCTCTCCAAATTAACAAGGGACGGAACGGATGGCCGAGGGCGCTCCGGCGCGGTGCTCGGCTTCTCCGCGTGAAGCCCTGGGGAACGGGCACGAGGAGGAGCTGCCCAGAGATGCATCGTTCTACCCAGTGCCCTGCGGGGCTGAAGCCCCTTCTTGGTTTTGCTGGCAGGGTGTGGGCGTTCTTCTTTGATCTGTGTTTTGAATCTCAGTGGTATTAGATTGCACTTTAATTGAAATCTAAACTTGTAATTCTCTTTTTGCTTTGGAGACAGGGTCTCGCTCTGTCGCCCAGGCTGGAGTCTCCAAGGCATGAACACGGCTCACTGCAGCCTTGACTTCCTGGGCTCAAGCAATCCTCCTGCCTCAGCCTACCAAGTAGCTGGGACGACAGGAGCACGCCACCACAACTGGCTAATTTTTTAAAACTGTTTGTAGAGATGGGATCTCCCTATGTTGCCCAGGCTGGTCTTGAACTCCTGGGCTCAAGCGATTCTCCCACCTTGGCCTCCTACGGTCCTGGGATTAGAGGCGTGAGCCACCGTGCCCGGCCTAAACTTGTAATTCTGGATCCCACCTTAGGCTACATCTCATCTCCCATAAGATGGGGAGAGTAAAACATTTCCTAGGCTAAGCAGCTCCATATTTGATGTATTTGGCATGAAAGCAGCACATCTTCAGCAGGAGCCCGGCACGAGCCCGGCACATACCCGGCTACGAGGACCTTAGGGATCTCCCCGGCGAAGGCCTCGGCCATCTCCCGGCTGCCCACGCTGGCGATGCAGTGCAGGGCCAGGCCCATGAAGGTGGGGTTGCGGCTGGCCAGGTCATTCTTGATGGCGTTGTTGATCAGGCGGATCAGCTCACTGTTTGAGTTCACCAACACAGAGATGAAAAGGTAGCCCTGCGTTCCAAAAGACAGGAGAAGAGAAAGCTCATGACAATCCAAGTCCACCTGTGGCCCTGAGTCACCCAACAATCAGTGACACACAGATGCGGAAGCAGCCCAGGCACCACCCACGCACCCAGGGCACTGCTGTGGGAGCGGCGCCTCTCAGGATTCGGCAAACGTCTGTTCCAGTGGAACCGAGGATGCCTCTGCTACGATGCTCTCATGGCGCAGCGTTCCTGTGGGGCACACCTGACTAGCGTGCCACGAGCCAGATGCCAACAGGAACTGGACCCCCCGGTCCCACTCACTTCACTGTGGGCCACGCGTCTGAGTGTTCCGGACATCACACTATCCTCAAGTTAAGATGGGCAGGAACCTTCACTGAGAGGCTGATTTTAGCTACAACAATTTCCAGAAACCCGGCTGCCTGTTCCCTCCCACTCTTTAATCTGCCTGTGTCACAGCCTCATGCCGCCCCCCTCCACCCCCACTGACCCAGGGCAAACCCCAGTCCTGTGTCACTGCCACTTCTTCCCAGCCATCCTCGAAGGTGACACCCTCCCCACCTGGAGGGAAACAGTGGTTTTCTCCAGGCCCATCACTGAGCACCCCGGTTAAAGATGTACCCAGCCTCCCACGGCTCCCAGGAAGACGCCACGAGGGAGCTCCCGCCCTGCCAAACACCACTGCCCTTTCAGCCCTGCGCTCGCACGCCCAGGCCACTGCCAGGCACCACCTGCTCTGCTCTCCCTGCTCCTCCCACCCTCAGCCCCCAGTTAACTTCCCCTCCCTCCAGCCTCAGCTCAACACACCCACCTCCACTCCCTCTCTCAAATCCTTTCAACTTCTATGTCTGTGGAGCCATGTGACACCCATCTCCCCCAGGACAAGGGCAGGCCCAAGTTCCAGTCCCTGTGCCTCCGTCCTCAAGGCTAATCCCCCATCCCCCCAACACACCACAGGCACTCCACAAATGCTTGAATAAACACCAATACTTATCAAAACCCCAAGACATCTACAGTCTCTCTTAATTTCTCTAAGTTAAATTTTTTGACAAATGGAAGAAAATATTACTTTATACCACCAGGGAAAACATAGAAATAATGTGACTGCAAGAGACTACACAGCTCAACGTGCAGAGCCCAAGAAGACTTCAAAAGTAGAGTGACAGGACACTGTGCACCAGCCCGGCAAGGGCTGGGGAGATGGTGGGGTGAGCACCCTCCGCACCAAGACCCAGCCATGTGCCTCCAGCGCCTACTGCAGAAACAAAGCTGTCCAAGGGACCACGGGACGGGTCTACTTGGGACAGTGCGTCAACAAGGCACTGTGTCAGGGAGACATCCTCCCCTCCTCTGGAGGCCGACCTCATGGGCACAGAGCACCAACCACATCAAACGCTGGGCCGCGTGCGGCACTCTCCAGACCAACCGGGCAGTCCTGAAACTCGCCGTAAGGGAGGTTGCAAAGAAAGGAGGAAAAGGCATGGCCACCTCATCAGGAAAACCGCATGCAGGAGGAGGAACCCTGTGAGGGCATCAGGGCTTCCTGAAGAACACCCAGCTTGGGCGGGAAGGGGGCCCGCAGGGTGTTGGCAGCAGGTGCTAACAAGGACTGGGCACGCGTCTCCATCTGCAGCAGACCCACGTGGCTCACGTCAGCTGTGGGCAGAGAAGGAAGCAGCGGCCCTACACGGGCACCGGGCCTCAGTCCTGCCAGGCCCACGCCATCCTCTGCCGTCTCCACCTGCAGCGATACTCACGATCTGCTTTTCCGTGTATCTGTTTGAACTCAGCAGGTTCACAGCCTCCATGTGTCCAAAGTCAATGTCATGACCAAGGAGAAAGATGAAGAGCAACTTGCAGACGTACTTTTTTTTACTATAGCCATCAAGAGCCTTGTCACCTACAGAAAAGGTGGGGAAGAGGTTTTATTCCAGGCGGGCAGAGGCAGGGGAGAGGGGAGAGCAGAGGGCAGTGCAGCAGTACAGCAGGCAGCACGGACAAGCCTCCAGGAGAGGGGTGGCCGGGCCCAGGCAGGTGCAGTGCAGACGCTGCTGAGCATGAATAACCTTTCTAAACTCATGGTACTCATGAGAGTCCAAGTTTTTTATTTCCCTTTTAAAAACAGGCACCAGAACATCTGGCAACAAGAGTTCTACCCTCCCACGACAACCCTGGGCAGGTGCAGCCCAGCTGGCCCTCACAGGGCCTCACTCCGACCAGCCAAAATCCCACAGAGGGCCCTGCTGTGATGGAACTTGCAAACCCTGCCTTCAACCATCAAGCTTGTCTTTGAAATCAGTTTAATTTAGGCATATGAACACAGTCTAAATTATCTGCCACTTCATAGCCATTCTAGGGCAAATCAGCTGGTCATGAAAACAAGGCCCACACGCGACGGCCCCTAGGGCTTCTGTTTCTCTGCCTCATCGCAGTTTGTCTGAGCCCCTCACAAGGGATCATGGCAGGGCAGGTTCAAAACATGTAATTGGCAGAATATAAAATTCCAAAATATAAAACCAACCCTTAAAAAAAGGGCCATTCTGGGCCCGGCACGGTGGCTCACGCCTGTAATCCCAGAACTTTGGGAGGCCGAGGCAGGTGGATCACCTGAGGTCAGGAGTTCGAGACCAGCCTCAACATGGAGAAACACCATCTCTAGTAAAAATACAAAATTAGCCAGGCGTGGTGGTGCATGCCTGTAATCCCAGCTACTCGGGAGGCTGAGGCAGAGAATTGCTTGAACCTGGGAGGCGGAGGTTGCGGTGAGCCAAGACCACACCATTGCACTCCAGCCTGGGCAACAAGAGCAAAACTCCATCTCAAAAAAAAAAAAAAAAAAAAAAAAAAAGGGCTGTTCTACATTGCCAGGAGTTTCTATCCCACCTGAGAGGTGAGGGAGTGTCCCTCAGAGCCAGCCTCCAGCAGGCTGTGGAGGCGAGCGAGAAAGGTGGCCTTGTGCAGGCCGAGTCTCACAGAGA